>NC_000006.12:46120606-46423636 GCF_000001405.40 Homo sapiens | reverse complement strand
AATGTATAAGGAAACAGGTTAATGATTTATACAAGTAGATTTAAAAAATGTCTATCGAAGGTGAAACCCTGAGTATTGACTTCAGAGAGGAAGGGTCAGTATTCTCGAGCTAATAAGTCCATATTATACCAAGGAAGAGGAAAGAGCTCACCAGAGTTGTGGATAAGAATCAACCTTCAAGAAGGAGGAGAAATAGCTTGGTCTCATCTTGTCTCTTTTCTGTTCTCTCTTGCTTTTTTCTTTGTTCTATCCTCTACAATATTGAAAAGTGTAAAATACAAACACTATAGGATTGGCCATCTAGAGTCCTGGGTTTTAGACTTGGTCTGGTCTGCTATAATCAACAGTGTGATCTTAGACAAGCCACTTGGCCTCCTGGGACCCCAGTCTCCTCATTTGGAAATAAGAAGGCAAATTATCTTAAGAGTCCTTTCTTAGGCTGATTCTTGGAATCACCTAAACAATCCACAAATACTAGGACTTCCTGGAATAAAATTAGGAATCCAGATGGTCTAATACTAATGCTTAGACCCACTCCTTCACCAAGGCACTAGATACCCCAAATGAAACACCTGGACCTCCCCAGGAACCAAGGTCCTCTGGATCCTCTGGCCTGACAGTCACAGGAGGATGGTCTGAGATAAGTCTGTCTGGTCCTAAAGTAATGCATACTTGACAAGAAGTTGGTTATCTTGACATAGCATTACTCCTTGTGAAAAATGCCCTTGAGAGCTTTGTTTATTCTCTTCACCTCCTCATCAGTAGTACTGTGCTAACATTTCTGTTATTCATCATGTTTTAAAATTAGCTTCTTAATCCTCTTAATATTTTCAACTTCTCTGCCTTGAGATAGGCACCCAGCCTGAACTTGGTTTTCTGCAGCCTTTGTACAGCATATAAATAACAAGAATGGATTGTTCCCATAGCCTTGGCTTCTTCACTAAATTAACTACATTTACTCATTACTCTTATTTTTGTTCTTGGTGGAATAGACCTAAATTTTCTCAACTAAATTTGGCTTTGAAATTCTATGGTATGTTCTTTATCTCCATTCACTTTGATGTTGGTAGCTTTTTAAATCTGTTTGGAACATGTCTTCCTTCGTTTTTAAAAGCATCCCTTTTCTATGAGGCTTTGGCTTATTTTCTTTTTCTTTTACTAGCTTCTCTTTCTTCTCTACTCCCTGTCTTAGTCCATTTGTGTTACTATAAAGGAATACCTGAGGTTGGATAATTGATAAAGAAAAGAGGTTTATTTGTTGTTCTGCAGGCTGTATAGGAAGCATGGTGCCAGCATCCACTTCTGGTGAGGGCTTCAGGCTGCTTCCACTCATGGCAGAAGAAGAAGGAATACAGGGATCACAAGGCTAGAAAGGAGGCCAGAGAGGGCTGGGCCGGGGAGGTGCCAGGCTCTTTTTTACAACCAGCTGGCAGGAGAACTCTCGCAGGAACTAACAGTGAGAACTCACTCATCCCCACCACCCAGGGAGGATATTAATCTATTAGTGAGGGATCCTCCCTCATGACCCCAACACCTCCCATTAAGCCCCACCTCCAACACTGGGGATCAGATTTCAAATGAGATTTGGAAGAGTCAAACAAACCAAACTGCAGCACTCCCTAAGGCATCTATTCTTATGGTCCTATACGTAGCTCACTTCTTATTTCTAAATAATTATTTTCCTTGGAAATTATATTTACTAACAGTTTTCTATCTCCTTTAAGCAGATGATGTTTATGTTTTGATATTTATTTATTTTTATCAGCTGGTTACTTTCATCATTCATTAGCCATTTATTGAGTACCTATTATGAATTATGTACTGTGCTGGTACTAAGGATATAAAGATCAGTGACTTTCTCTACTTTTAATGAGTTCTAATGGAGTCTCATTGAAGTGACAGACACAGAGTTAGATAATGCCAACCCAATATAACATGCTAAACTAGGATGTTAAACAAACTGCTTTTGGAACCTGGAGAAGTGAGTAAATGACCTCTGAGGACTATCAAGGAAAGACTTCCTGGAAGAAAGGACATTGGCAGTGGGTATTAAAAGTTGAGTAGGAGTTTGTGAGTTGCGACATCTCCCAACTTCCTTCTGCTCTGTTCACTCTGATGTTTCACTGTCATCTTAAATTTAACATGTCAAAAGTCAAATTCTTTATCTTTCACCCTAAATTACTTCACTCACTTGAGTTTCCTATTACATTATTCTCTGAATCATCCTTTTGGCGTTTTTGTCTCTTTCCTCTCTGTTGTCCTGCTGTCAGCCACAAAGTCATCTGCGTGCTTTCTTCATTTTTTCATTCAGTTGTTCCCACTGCCCCAGACACTTCATACTCTGCCACCTCCTGTCTGGGTTATTACAGTGGACTCCAGCTGATTAATCTGCCTAAGTTTACTTTCCCCATTTAATCTGTTTTGTACATCATTGCCCATTGCTCTTTTTTTGGATATCAGTTTGATTCTGTCACTCATCTATTTAGAAATAATGGCAAACTGGCACTTGCTCAATGCTGGGATGGTTTGTGAAGTAATTTTAAAAAATGTTATCTCATTTCATTATCAAAACAACTTTGTGAAATAAATACTGGAACTTACTGAATATCCTCTAAATTTAGAATTCAGTAGTCTATGAGCTCCTGTAACCAGGGATGACATCATGTTCATCTCAGCCTCCTTAGTGCCTAGCACAGTGCTGATTCATAAATGATGTTAAAAACACATTATGGATTCACTCCTGCCTAGTGTCTGTGCATCTTTATGTGCCCAGTTAAAAATAGTTGATCAGGCTGGGTGCAGTGGCTCATGTCTGTAATCCCAGCTGTTTGGGGGGCCGAGGAGGGCAGATTACCTGAGGTCAAGAGTTCGAGACCAGCCTGGCCAACATGATAAAACCCCATCTCTACTAAAAGTACAAAAAAAAGTAGCCGGGCCTGATGGTGGGTACCTGTAATCCCAGCTACTTGGGAGGCTGAGGCAGGAGAATCACTTGAACCCAGGAGGGGAGGTTGCAGTGAGCCGAGATTGCACCATTGCACTCCAGCCTGGGAGACAGAGTGAGACACCATCTCAAAAAAAAAAAAAAAAAAGTTAATCAGAAGACATTGAAATGACATTATAAAAAATAACAGGACAGTTTTGCCAATATTTCCAGTGCTGATTCCACACCCTGCTCAGCAGTCAGAGAATCACTTCTTCATGCTGTGATTACTGCTGTTGCTGAACCGCTCTTGAGCCTGAAGATTCCTGATGGATTCTTAACAGTCAGTGCTATATAGATACAGAACCACTCCTTGCAAATAGCTCCCCTTAATGATGCAACCAAGACTCTTGCACACGGTAGTCTGTATTATTCTTAAAATCAGACTCAATTTAATTGTCTTGCATGGATTTTAGTGATACGATGATAACTAAAACATTTGTTTAAATGCTCTAGTCTTTCAGGTTTTGTTTTTTTTTTTAATGTGAGGGTTGTATGGCTTATAATCTGTACTCTGTTTATCTGCCTGTCTTAACTCCTAACTTCATAGGAAAACTGGTTGTAGAAGGGATAATATTAAATATACTTAAAAATATTAATGAAGTAAAATAATTTAAGTCTTGTCTGCGAGAATTTGAAATTTTAAATCTGACAACACAGTGAAAAGGATCTGTCTACTCTTGTCTGGCATGAACCAATTTGGGTAAAAAGACTACATGACTTTTTTGGTTGTTAATGTTTTTATGAAATCATAGAATATAATCTATACTGAATTTTGAAAGGCAGTTTGCCAACACGAAGAATAAATGAACCAGCAAACTATTTAGAAATGTGCTTGACTTATTTATGTTCTTTCTCAGCCAAAATGGTTTGAAGACGTGAGGCTTTCTTTCCAAGAGTCCCTGCTGCCATCTGCTGGTCTTCATTATTCAGCAGCCAACTTCTAAATGGAGTCTGGATGACATGGTTCCATGAGATATGATTTTCAGGGGAAAAATATTTTGTAATTTTATTATATTTTAAAAATAGAAGTAATACTAAATTGAGATTAAATAAACAAATAATCTGCTTAGAACAATTTATTTTTATAAAATCTTGGGCAAAAATTTAAAACAGGGTCCCAGGGAAAGTCATCTTTCTCATATTAACATGTACCTTCCGTGGATGAAATCAGGTGGTTTGAAGCTGTGATAGATTGGTTTTGAAGTGAAGCAAGCTCCAAACTCCGGTACTCTGTGTGTGGATGAGGAAGAAGTTGGAATATTGGGAGAAGAGCATACTAGGCCTTCTAAACCGGTGGTTCTCAAGCTCTAGCAGAATCAGAATCACTTGGAAGGCCTGTTTGAAAAAAGGTTGTTGGGCCTTATCTAGTGGTATACTATTAAATGCTTTACAACTGGCTTATTGGTTAAAAGGCCCTGATGTGTAGCATTTGCTGACTTCCATGGTGTAAATGCTCCCGCTGTGGCTGGTTTCAAACTTTCCACATGGCATCACTAAATGTAGGGTTGAGAAGAGATGTACTGTAGCTCACTATTACGTCGTATTTTCACCATATGCCTACAATATATGCACACGGCCTGAAGAGCACAGATTGTAGCCAAATTATGTTATTTTCTTTTTTCTTTTGGGCTTTTTTTTGCTATCTCGGCTCACTGCAGCCTCCGCTTCCCAAGTAGCTAGGACTACAGGTGTGTGCCGCCACGCCCAGCTAATTTTTATATTTTTAGTAGAGACGGGGTTTCACCATGTTGGCCAGGATGGTCTTGATCTCCTGACCTTGTGATCTGCCCACCTCGGCTTCCCAAAGTGCTGGGATTACAGTCATGAGCCACTGTGCCCGGCCAATCACATTATTTTCTAAAGAAGCATTGAATTTTGAGTATTTATTATTTCTGTCTTAATCCATTTACCTGCAACTGTATATATATATATATATATATATATATATATATATACACACACACATATTTTAGAGATGATTATATTTAACAATCAGCCGATAAAATTCCTGGAAATTTAAGCCACTCCCCCAGAGTGGATGGGAGCTGGCTCCTAGCACATGACTAGTTCCACCTGTAGAGTGTCTGGTGTGGGTCAGTGGGTCTGGGGACACTGAGACTGGTCAGACGAGAATGACAAAAAGATCCACGTAGTCATTAAAGGGTGGTTACAAGGCACTGATTGTAAGGAGGGGTGGGATATGAAATCCAAATTTTGTAAGGAATTGAGGACGTGGAGCAAGTTACTTTGATTCTGGATGGCGAAAAAGTGGCAGCTTTAATGATTAGAGGGCTGAATGAAGTGGAAGAATTTTTGGAAGGGTCAGAGAGGAATATTTGAAGTGTTTATTATTTCCGTTTTAATTGATTAACTTGCACATTTATATAACTTAGTTTTTAGTGATGGCTTTAGAGTTTTAAAGTGTTTGCTTTAAAAATTCAGGTTGTTTGTCTCTGACCTTATAATGGACGTTAGATACCTAAAGTATAAGATATTTTGTTAAGATAATGTTATATTACTATATTATCATAATTTTCCTTTCTTGAAGTTTAAATAAGGATAGTGATAATAATCTCATATATGATTAATGTCAAATGATGTACAAAACAAAGGTGGGATTTGTGAGAGAACATTGGCATTTGCACCAGACAGCTGGATTCAAGTTTCAGATTATTCATTTAATAGCTGTGTGACTCTTATCACAGTAAAAATAAATAAACAAATCTAAGCCTCAGTTTTCTCATCAGTGAAATAGATCTAATAGCTTCTGCAATTAAGTATTGCAAAAATTAATTGTGTGTGTAAATTACCTGGCACAGTGCCTGGCTCTTAGGAAATGGCAGCTTTATTTTTATTGTAGTAGCATTAGACCTGTCACACAAATACTTAAGACAGCGTTTTAGTTCGTTTCTCTGAAATACACTACCCCCAAATGAAATTGAATATGTTGGATTATGTCGATAAGATTATATATAAGGAATTAGAGAAAACTGGAACATCAGTGTTTTACCCCAGCTCCTGTATTGTTTGGGGAACAGACTTCAGAAAATGGCCAGAGGAGTAATGGCAACTGAATGATAGAGGGATTCTTTCCCTGCAGTTCTTGGTTATCATAAATGAAGAGTGTCCTGCTTTTTATCCAAATTGATATGTCCCTTTCTTGGTTTTTTAAAACTAAATTTTAATCTGAGTTCATTATCATAATCTTTCTTCATCAATTTGTTTCTCTTTATTGACTTTTTAATCAGGAGGCTTAGAAACAAATTATAGCTCTTAAAGAATAAATCTTACGTGAGAGCTCTTTGAGGTAAGATATGCACATCCAAACAACAGTGAGATATCATTTTTATCTCTCAAATATGTGAAGTGAATGAAGCTAACACTCAGTAGGGGAGAACATGTAGTGAATCCTTCATGAAGGATTGTAAATTGGTACCTTTCTGAAAAGCTGTTGGACAATACAGCAAGAGTCATAAAAATGCCCATGAATTTTGACATAGCATTTTCCATCTATGACACATGTATTCTCCATCTATGCATTTACTTGAAGGAAATAGTAAAGCAATATTGGACAAAGATTTAGGAACAAACATATTCATCACAGTGAAAATAGCAAAATAAGTATGGAAGAAATAAAGTCTAGCAATATGAGAATGGTTTAAAATGATGGCACATTTATGCAATGGTAAATGCTGTAAGATTGAATTTTTTGGACAAAAATTATAAAACTGAATGTTTTTTATAATCTCAGTTCTATAATAAGCACAGAAAAAATTTTGGAATATCTATCAAAACATTAACCATTGTTATCAGTATGGTAGAAAATCAGAGCAGGACACGGTGGCTCATGCCTGTAATCCCAGCCCTTTGGGAGGCCAAGGTGGGCGGATCGCTTGAGCCCAGGAGTTCGAGACCAGCCTGGGCAACATGATGAAACCCCATCTCTACAAAAAATAAAAACATTAGCTGGGGATGGTGGTACATGTCTGTAGTCCCAAGTCCTAGCCACTCGGAAGGCTGAGGTGGGAGGATTGCTTGAGCCTGGGAGGTTGAGGGAGCAGTGAGCCATGATTGTGCCACTATACTCCAGCATGGGTGACAGAGCGAGACACTATCTGAAAAAAAGAAAAGAAAGAAAAAGGCAATCAGACAACTTTCATTTTGTTCTTATTTAAAAAGCTATCTATTTTCCAATATTCTACAATAACAATGTTTATTTTTATATTAAAAATGAAACTTTAAAGGATGTTAAACTTATTGAGGAAGAAGGTACCATACTAGATCCTTCCACTTTTGACCCTCTTACTCTTTGCTTACAATAATTGAATTTCTGCCATTCCTTCATTATTGGAATTGCTTGCTTAGAGGTGATTGGTGCCTTAAGTGGTCAACTGCAAAGACCTCTTCTTAGCCCTTAGCTCACTTAATTTTTTACAAAATCTTACTTAATCGATTTATTCTTTATTCATATTAAATAACAGCTTTATTGAGAGATAATTCATATACAGTTATCCCTCAGTATCCATGGGTTCTGAATCCATAGATTGAATCAATTGTGATTTGAAAGTATTAAAAAATACTGTGTCTGTACTGAACATATGCAGACATTTTTCTTGTCGGTTATTACCTAAACAATACAGCATAACAACAATTTACATAGCATTTACATTGTACTAAGTATTATAAGTAATCTACAGTTGATTTAAATGATCCAAGAGTTTGTTAGTAGTTATATGCAAATATTACATCATTTTATATCACAGACTCAAGTATCCATGGATTTTAGTATTCATAGGAGATCCTGGAACAAATCTCTCACAGATATTGAGGAACGAGTGTATATGAAATTCATTATTTTGAAATGTACAATCATTGTTTTGTCCTTCACATGCTCATCTTTTTGAACTTCTATGACTGGGCATCACCCTAGTTTATTTATTAATTTTTTTTTAAAAGTCATTGGGTGCCACCTATGTGCTAGGTACTAGTTCCTCTCCTAACTCTCCTTTTTAGTCTTCTTTGCTAAATCCTCTTCCTCTGCCCAGCCCTCAAATATCAACATCCTCCAACTCTATTCTCCTGTTCCTCCATAGTTTGTTTATGCAAATGGTTCTCACTTCACCTTTGCTCAGGATATCTCCTGAATCTATTCACTCACATGTGCTACTGAGGCCTGAATGCTCACAGGTCTGGGACTATAGCTGAACTTAACACCCTGTGTCCCTGCATACAGCTTCATTCCTGTTTCCCCTTCTGTTTTCCTTATCTCATTTATGGTGTCACCGTCTTGCAAGCCAATCATTGTAGAAGTTTTAGAGACATGTTTGATTCAGACTGTCCATTCAATCCTCAAATCTTACTGATTTTAAGCGTCTTGATTCTATACCCTTAATCCGTTCCTACAGCTAGTGCCCTGGTTCCGCCGTCATCAGCTCAGTTCTGCTCATGTGGATAGTGCAGTGGTCTCTGGCATCCTGACTCTATCCTCCGCAGTTGCCAGGGTCACCTTCCTAATGGTAGCCATGGTTATATCATTCTTCTGCTCCAAAACCTTTCTACAGAATAAAGCTCAAACCCCTTGCCTCAGTAACCAAAGACATACATGATCTGGCCCCAGTCTACCTTTCCAGGACTATGTACCACTAGGGAGCCCTGTGATACCCATACAATCCAACCACATTAGAGAATTCACAATCCATAGGCACATTCTCTTCACTTCTCCATACAGTGCACTTATTTCCATTGTCCACTCCTCTTTCTTTACTAATTAAAATATGGGAAATTGTATTAGAGTTCTCAATAGAGAAACAGAACCAATAGGATGAATATATATATGTGTGCACATATATAGACAGATTTGTTTTAAGGAATTGGCTCATGAGATTGTAGAGGCTGGTAAGCCTGAAATCTGCAAGGGAAGCCAGCAGGCTTGAGACCTAGAGAAGAGCTGCAGTTCTAGTCCAGAGGCAGCCTGCTGGCAGAATTCCCTCTTTCTCCAGGGAAGTTAGTCTTTTCTCTATTAAGGCCTTCAACTGATTAGATGAGGTCCACCCACATATGGAGGGTAATATGCTTCACTCAAAGTCTACTGACTTAAATGTTAATCTCATCTAAAAATATGTTCACAAAAACACCCAGAATACTGTTTGACCAAATATCTAAGCACTGTGACCTAGCCAAGTTCGACACATAAGCTTAACCATCATAGCCATCTTTCAAGACTAGTTCAAATGACCCAACTTCTAAGAAGTCCTCTGTCATTTCTCTAACTACCTCTAACTTTCCCACCTTTGCACTCCCATAGCCATTGGTCTGAAAACTTTAAGCACTTACCACACTTTACAAGGCCTTTGCAATTTGTGTTTGTCTATCTCCCATTTACACTAATGGCAGCTATTGTTCCTCATTTATATTTGTATAATTCATGATATCTGCATAAGAGTCTATGCAAAATGGGCACTTATTAAATATATTTAGAATAGAAAATTAATTTTTAAAGTCCCATTTACAGAACCTCAGTCTCCTCACTGGCCAGCATATTGGCATTTTAATCTCTAATTTTGTCTCTAATGCACCATGTCCAGAGTCCCTACAGATTGGCCCATTACTCCCACCTCCTTGCTACCTTTCATATCTCTGCTAAATCTACACAAGCATTTAGTTACCTATTCTGAGAGCCGGGTGGCTGGGGGCCGTGGTCTTGCTATAAGAGCCAAACTAATAGAGAAGAAAACTCAAGGAGTGGTCACCAACCTTTGTCTTTGTCCCATTCCTGACTCCATCCCACCGACGATATTAGGTAGCACTTCTCTCATTCAAGGAAGCCTCATCTTTCAATCTGTCAGGGGTCGGTTTCCCCAGTTCAGTAAGAAGTGGTTCAAACTGTGTTCTCTACTCTGTAATCATAAAGAGACTTCATTTCCAAGAAACTTCACATGTCAGCATCCTCAGCAGGAAGCAAAGACAGGAGGCAGGGCCATTTGGTGCCGTTGGAGCCAGCTCTGATCTAAGGGATCCATCAACCCATAGTAAATCTTATATTTCTAAGATCATATACTCGTACAGGCTTATTTTAACCCAAAAATTCTTTTATAAAAAACCTCACATACATGCAATTGCATTTATACTGTTGTTCCATCCTAATGATTTTCTTCAACAATATCTTCCAAGTGAGCTAATCCACAAGTATCAGGAGGACTTAACTGCATAACAGAACTGAAGGGAATTTCACATAAAAAAAATCTTAGCAGGAAATCTTTCAACAGAACTGCCTACCGTTTCTAATTTAATTAGCCTAATTAATAGATTTAAATACCAACTAATTATCTTCATGTTTCCAGGATGTAATCTGTCCTTTAAAAGATGCACACTTCTGCTCTTATTTTATTTTCATTCATACTGTCTCTGAGAACCTTTCATTAAATGCTGCCTCTGGTTTCAAATGCTGCCCCTCTCCTCCTTAGTTGAAAATTTAAAATATAATAAAGTCTCTATTTTTCTTTCTACTTAAGAATTCCTGTGGGTATCAGCAAAGTTGCTTTTCTTTAGTAAAAGTTGAATCTACAGTGCTACCCAGCTTATTCATTGCATCTTCATACAGCAACAACTTTGATTAAAGACAATCATTTTTAATATGAAGAAAGTGGATTAAGAGTAAACATAAGAACACAAAGCCAAGGGATTGTTTTATAATTTATTCTTGCCTCACATGGCTCTAAGTGAATTAGAAAGTCTACCAGCCCTATTATATCCTGGTTTACCCACGCCCTCTGGCTTCCTCCTCTGGCAAAAGCTATCATTCTCTCTGTTCCTAGCAAAGGCCCAACAACCCCTCTACTGGTCTCAGAGTCCCAACTCCTCTTGCCTCCTCATCAGGCTTCCCTCCCTGCTCTTCCACTAAGACAGCTCTCATCAAAGCAATCACAACCTTCGTGTTGCCAGACCCAGCAGTTGTATTTTTATGTTCTTATCCTTCTTGACCTCTCAAGAACGCTTGATGAAATTGACCACTACTTCCTTCTCAAAGCTCTTGACTTTTGTGACATTGCCATCTGTTTTCACCTTCCTCATTGCTACTTCTTTTCAGTGTCTTATTCTCCTGTTTTTCCTCTGCTAAATTTGGAGTGCCCCTTGGAGAAGTTATTGGCTACCTTCTGTTTTGTATTTATACATCATAGTTGATCTCATTCAGCCCCATAGCTATGAATGCCATCTCAATGCCAATGATGCCCCCCACAATCTGTACCTCTAGTCTCAACTATACCCCAGAACTCCAGACTCTCAGATTTGTCTACTGAACATTCCCATATAAGTTGGAACTTCTTCTCAAACTTAATAAGGACAAAACAGACTCTAGATATCCCACCAGAAAGCTCGTTTTCCTCACCACATCTCAGTAAATGCTGTCAACACCTACTCAGACTCAAGCCAAAAATTTAGGAGACACTCATTATTTCCTCCTTTCCCTCTTCTTAATATATAATCCATATACAAGTCCCAGGAGATCTACCTCATAAATCCTGGATCAAATTTCTTCACCCTGTCTCCACCACTAATATTTTAGATCAAGTCACCATTGTCTCTTTTCCGTAGTAATCTCCCTAGCTGGTATTCCTGCTTCCACTGTTGGACTGCCTACAATCCAGGCTCTTCACAGCAGCCAGAGAGACCTTTACATAACACGAATCTGATGATTATGTCAATTCTTTATTTAAAGCCCTCCAATCACTTCCCATCATACTTAGAATAAAATTCAAACTGTACTCTGATCATACCTGCCAATCTTTCAGACTTTATCTCTAACCATTCTCCTTGCCCATTACATTTCTGCACATAATTTTTTTTGTTTCTTGAACCAACTGGTCTTTCTTCCTGGAATACTCTTCCTCTTAGTTTTTATAAGATTAGGTACTTCTTTTAACTCAGATCTCAGCTTCACTGACTCATCCTTAGAGATTGGACTTACTCTCACATTTCTCTTTTTTTCGTTCTCTACTTGGCAATAATCTGATAAAACATCTGATCTTATTTATTGGTTGGTTGGCTCATTTTTCTGTCTCCCAAAACCTCCATGACAGAAGAACTTTGTCTGTACTGTTTTCTTCTCTAGTCCCTGTGCCTCTAACCATTTTTTAATGAATTTATTGTGATAAAAATACATAACATAAAATTTACCACTTTAACCATTTTGAAGTGCACAGTTCTGTGGCATTAACTGCATTCACGTTGTTGTGCAATGATCATAAACACCCATCTCTAGAACTTTTTCATCTTCCCAAACTGAAACTCTGTACCCATTGAACAATAGCTCCCCATCCTCCCAGGCCCTGTCAATCACGATTCTGTTTTCTATCTCTGAATTTGACTACACTAGGTGCCTCATTGTGTTTGACTTATTTCACTTAGCATAATGTCTTCAGGGTTCATCCATGTTGTAACGTGTGTCAGATTTTCCTTCCTCTTAAGGCTGAATAATATTCCATCATAGGTATATGACACATTTTGCTTATCCATTCATCCCTGTATGGGCTCTGTATACTATATGCTATCGGCTATTCTATATGATCTTCCCAGAAACTGTAAGTTCTTCTCTCACTATTTGATATTTGAAATAAGTGAGCACTTTTGAAGGCTAAGTGTTTGTTAAGGGTCACATGGTGAAGAAATGGGGTTGTTGATGGGCAAACTTGGACCTGCCTCCCTCCCAAGCCTGTTCTTTCCCTGCTGCCCACCATGCTGGTGCATGGCAAAAGGCTTTTCAGTCTGTTGTCAGGATAACCATAATCATGGATATAAAAGGGCTTTGAAATTGATAGATAGCTTAATATAATATCATCCTTGTTAAAACTGAATATTTTTGAAATAATATTATTAATGTGTTTTTGAGTAGTTCAAAGAAGATTTGCTGTTATAAGATGGGATTTTTTTCACAAAATAAGAAAAGCATATTTCCTGCAGGTTATTCCTATGGGCCAGTTTCTAATCTGGAACCTCGCCTAGAATAGACATTCTGTAAATATTAGAATAGTAACAGGCAAAAGATTTCCATTTTAAGAGCTGTTTCCAGTAGTTATGTAACAATTATTTCTCAGACATGCCTTTTTGCCTTGTGGCCAGAAGGTGGAGAAAGACGATGTCAAATACTTCACTTGTTGTTTCCTGCTCTGAATTTTTCTCACCAATCCTGGTTACCTTTTTTTACCATGTCCTAATCTACTTCAAATGTACGATTGAAAATAGGGTCTATTATTGATATATGTTAGTCAGTGTTCTCCAGAAAGTCGGAACCAGTAGGAAAGGTACGTAGGTAGGTAGATAGATGGATGAATGAGTGGGGATTTATTAAGGAAATTAGCTTAGCAATGATGAAGGCTAAGTCCCATGATGGACCTTCTGCAAATTGGAGAACCTGGGATGCTAGTAGCATGGCTCAGTTCAAGTCAGAAGGCCCCAGAACCAGGGAAACTAATGGTATAACTTTTAGTCTAAGCCCAAAGGCCTAGACTTTTAGTCTAAGCCCAAAGACCCTAGAGGGTCACTGGTGCAAATACCAGAATTCTAAGGCTGGAGAGCTGGAGTTCTGATGTCCAAGGGTAGGAGAAGAAGAGTGTCCCTGCTCCAGGAGAGAGAGAGAGAGAGAAAACAAAATCACCTTTCCTTTGCCTTTTGTTCTGTCTGACCTCCAGCTGATTGGATAGTACCTGCCCATGTTGGTGACAGCAGATATTCCTAAGCCCACTGATTTCAAATGCCAGTCTCTTCTGGAAACACCCTCACAGGCATAATAAGAAATAATGCCTTTCCAGCTATCTGGGCATCCCTTAGTTCAGTTAAATTAACACCTAAAATTAACTATCACACGATATATCTCATATCAAACTCATATATCAAAACTTTGATCAAAAGTATTTTATGAACGTTTATGTACAGAAAAGAATTAAAAGAATGTATGATGGAGGAAATAGTAAAATGTTGGCATAGTTCCTGGCACTCAGCAGGCTCTCTGCTCATAATGTACATAATGAACTAATGAATGAGTGGTGCATTTAAGAGCCTGTTATAGATGAAGATATATTGGAAAAAGTGATCTAGTACTTTCATGGTTGCAAACTGCAGATGCCTTTCTTGGCCTGTACTCTCTTGACAATGTGGAATGAACATGGAGAGTCTAGTGTATGTATATATAGTTTGTGTATTAGAAATGTGATCCCACAAAAGTCAATTGAAAACATTAATTTAACTGCTGCCAAAATGGGTTAAGTGGTATTTAAAGTTCATGAAGGAATTAATAAAACTTTGAAAGGTGAATAATAATGTAAAAATAAGTTCAGTATTATATTTCTGATTTGGTTATATAACCCTTCCATACTTACTAAATGTGATTTTTAGTTATTGCTTTCATATATACCTGTACAATTTTATTCAAAAGAAAGTGTATCTATGGAACTCGGTGGTTAAATGAGAACCTTGAGAAATCATGTTAGACCATTTCGTTTCTTTAAACAGAATTGTTAATATTTGTGTCTTCCCCTAAAGACTCCTAAGGGAAAAACAACATTTTCCTTCAAGTAAATCAGTATATATGGAATCTATTTTATTAGTATAATTTAAAAACACATCTTAGATAGTGGCAAATGATCTTCATTTGGTTTTTGCAGTTTGATATGTCTCTATGAAATTTATATACCCTAAAATGTCTCCCAAGACCCAGCATTTTATTTAATGACTGGCCTTTCCTTAGCTCATACTTCATTTTCTGACATGTAAGAACAATGTGTAGGAGTAAACAGGATACCAGGCATCCATGGAAGGATGATATTTTTCTTGGCCAAACTATCTCCTGTTGGAAAAATAAAAATAAAAACAAAACAAATAGAAATTTTTGTTTCCTTGCCAAGCCTCTAACCAGTTTTTTTTAAATTATTATTCCTTATTGTCTGGTATTCATGGTGGTTGGATAACTCAGTCAGATAGAGAACCAAGGCAGAGAGGCCAAGGAGCTGGGTTCCTTCTCTTTGTGGGCTGGCAGCTTTGCTCCGTTTGGGTGGCAGGAATCTGTAGCCAAATCTTGGTCAATGCACTAAGAGTCCTAGTGGCAGTGCCTAGCATCTGTCTTTCACCATTACTAGAAAACAGTAACAATGCTGGGAATATTGCAATGACATAGAGAATCTTCTATATGTGAAGGGCAGCACATCCAGCTCTTCTTTTGCAATATAGAGAAGTCAGGCTAAAGTGCTCAGCTAGTTAGTCCCCGGCATCCAAAGCAGGACAAAGAGAACCCGTGTTGCTGTGTGAGCGACTCGCCAGCTGGTACCATCTGCAGCAGGTTGCCACAAAGAGCCTGCAGTCATCACAGCTGTTTAGCCTCATATCGGATGGCTCTAAACATGTAAACAGGTACCTGAGCAAAATTATGTAGAGCTGAACAGTCGGAGCCGCCCGCAGGGAAGTAATAGGAGCATTGTCGAAGGACTTTAAAAGGCTCTCTCCTTGAGGTATCTGACAGAGGCGCCCTTGAAAACATAAAATATTCGTGATTCCAGAAGGACTCTGACCAGAAAATCCTCAGAAGTTGTTTTATAAGCAGCTTCCCTCCTGAGGGAATAATCATGGATTTTGTAAATATCCATCTCAACATACTGATGACTGAAAAATCAAAGCTGCTGTTTTCCAGATGGACAATTTCAGTGCTGGATGGCATTTGAACTTCCAGTTACTCATTCTGTTTATAATCCTTTGGGGCATGCCAAGTTTTTAATTTTTACGTAGCACTCCATCAATCTTTTTCTTTTTACTCTTTCTCTTTTTGGAGGCACGCTTCTAAAGGTCTGCTGCATAGCAAAATTATGCAATCTCACCTTTAGGCTAAGGTTTGGGTTTCCAAACTTGGTTAAATATAAAATTATAAAATCACCTAAGTACATATTTCCTGACCCTGTTGCAAAGTAGGACATTGATGTATATGAAATAAAATGATGCACAATTAGCCATTTGGAAATGGATTCCCTTCTCTCAACTCTACCTATATTTTTACCACCTCATCCTCCAAGATGCACTCCTTCCATAAAGCAGTTGCCCATAGCAAGACGAGCTCTTTCATTTTTCCAAAGTATGTATTTTTCTGCTTTTACTACTACTGTTTGAATGTGAACTTTTAAAGATGGGATCTTTGCCTGAGTCGGCTTGGAATTTTCCATGGGGACTTGCGTAAAACAACTGTTTTAAAAATGTTTACATCATCACTGGCTTTTTCATGGGAAATCAAGACTTCATTTTTGCTAAGATCTTTGTATGAGTGGTTGCTGCCTGCATAGAAAGGATGTGATTTTTAAAAACAGCAGTATATACTGCTCTTGATTGACTGCATTAGCTTTGTACCTGGTTTCATCTAAATTTAGCTCTACCAAAGGTCCTGAAAGGGAACTCTCCCTGTGTTGTGTTTCTGTGTGCTGATTTTTATCTCCTGTGGTGCTTCTCCCTCTTTTCTACTCCCCTGCCAGGCTATGGCTCCTTTACCAAACAGTTCAGTGATATGAGTTGACTAGGAAAATAGCCCCTGAATGCCTTCCAGGCACTGGGGCACAGTAAGAGTCTCAGTTCCATGCCCCAGGAGCTCAGACTTTGCTTTGGGGTTTTGGAGTCCATTTTAGAAGTCTCTGTCACCTTATCAGACAGGAAAGGTCTGGAGGGACCAGTTTGGGGGTATTTGTTACTGAATCGCCCAGCACATAATTGTGTACCCAGTCTTCTACTGAAATATTGTAATTTTTATCTTGGGGAAGCTATCTGCTACCTGTCTAAGTTTTTGTAACATAAAGAAATGAGAATAAAATATAAAATGTCAGGGATTAAAGGGCTGTCGTTTACACTGAAAGTTCCCTGATAATTTATAGCCAAGCCATTCAAGGAAGTAGCCTCTATAAGTACATAATGGGTCTTTCAAAGTGTTCACTGCCAATTTATGGTAAAGCAAAGGCTTTTCTAAAAGAAGAACATTGAAACCTGTTTCTCTCTGAGTTACTTGTAAGCATTAAGAAAAAAGAGAGCTGACAGAAACATTTTCTTTTAATTGCCCTAAAATTCAAATAGCTGTCCTTGGTCTCCTATCAAAATCATTAATGCCTTGAAGGCTGAGTGATCAGTGAGGACTGAACCAAGGGTTTATTGCTTTGATAAACACATTTGAACCCTAAGAAAGAAATGAAAACAGACCAAAAAATAGCTGCCAGAACTTAATGAGATTTGGAGGAGTGACTTTATTTGGGAAAATTAGGTCATATATATACATTTTAAAATTTGAGTATGCATGGAGACCCTTTTGAGAGGTGACAGCGTGCTGGCACTCCTCAGAGCCCTCGCTTGCTCTCGGCGCCTCCTCTGCCTGGGTTCCCACTTTGGCGGCACTTGAGGGGCCCTTTGGCCCGCCGCTGCACTGTGAGAGCCCCTTTCTGGGCTGGCCAAGGCCAGAGCCAGCTCCCTCAGCTTGCAGGGAGGTGTGGAGGGAGAGGCGCGAGCAGGAACCGGGGCTGCGCGCAGCGCTTGCGGGCCAGCTGGAGTTCTGGGTGGGCGTGGGCTTGGCGGGCCCCGCATTCGGAGCAGCCGGCCGGCCCTGCTGCCCCGGGCAGTGAGGGACTTAGCACCCGGGCCAGTGGCTGCGGAGGGTGTACTGGGTCCCCCAGCAGTGCCAACCCACCGGCGCTGTGCTCGATCTCTTGCCAGGCCTTAGCTGCCTTCCCGCGGGGCAGGGCTCGGGACCTGCAGCCTGCCATGCCTGAGCCTCCCACCCACTCCATGGGCTCCTGTGCGGCCCGAGCCTCCCAGAGGAGCACCACCCCCTGCTCCACGGCGCCCAGTCCCATGGACCACCCAAGGGCTGAGGAGTGCGAGCGCACGGTGCGGGACTGGCAGGCAGCTCCACCTGCAGCCCCGGTGCGAGATCTACTAGGTGAAGCCAGCTGGGCTCCTGAGTCTGGTGGGGACATGGAGTCTTTATGTCTAGCTCAGGGATTGTAAATACACCAATCAGCACCCTGTGTTTAGCTCAAGGTTTGTGAGTGCACCAATCGACACTCTGTATCTAGCTGCTCTGGTGGGGCCTTGGAGAACCTGTGTGTTGAAACTCTGTATCTAACTAATCTGATGGGGACGTGGAGAACCTTTATATCTAGCTCAAGGATTGTAAACGCACCAATCAGTGCCCTGACAAAACAGGCCACTGGGCTCTACCAATCAGCAGGATGTGGGTGGAGCCAGATAAGAGAATAAAAGCAGGCTGCCCAAGCCAGCAGTGGCAACCCGCTCGGGTCCCCTTCCACCCTGTGGAAGCTTTGTTCTTTCCCTCTTTGCAATAACTCTTGCTGCTGATCGCTCTTTGGGTCCACGCTGCTTTTATGAGCTGTAACACTCACGGTGAAGATCTGCAGCTTCACTCCTGTGCCCAGCGAGACCACAAACCCACCAGAAGGAAAAAACTCCGAACACATCTGAACATCAGAAGGGACAGACTCCAGATGCGCCGCCTTAAGAGCTGTAACACTCACCGCGAGGGTCCGCGGCTTCATTCTTGAAGTCGGTGAGATCAAGAACCCGCCAATTCTGGACACGCTTTCATCTATGTTTCCCCAACCCGTTATAAGATAGTAGTGTGAGTCTTAGCAGATTGCAATTTATCAGTGTCATATTTTATTGCAAAATGGTTTGCATTCACCTGTTGTTTAATCTTTACAATACACTCATGAGAACATAATTGGTTTTCTTCAGTACGTGGAAGAAGAAATAAAAACCTGTGGTGCAGTCATATATGGGTTATTTGCTTTTCCTATAGATTTCCATGGGGAAACTGATGTAGCAATGTGTTAAGAAATCTGATGATATCATATAATAAAGATTTCCTGGACTCTGACCTCCATTTCTCTACCAGGTTAGCCTCTATTTATTTATTTTTGTCTTAGTAACATTTAGCATCCAGCAATTTGTTTGTATCACATCTAAAAAGAAATTGGTAGACACAAGATCAATATATTTAGCTTATACCAAGAAATATATTTCTAGGCTATATTAAAGATATACATATTTTATGGTTTCTATTAAATTTCTAGAATAATTTTTGTTCAAACCCACATTTAAGAACTTGATATATAACGTATAGTAAGGTACTCTAGACCTGATTTGAGGATAAATGTTAACAAGAGTAGGGTTTCTACAACTTTAAAATGTTTTCAACAACTTTAATAAGAAGGGCCCCAATAACATGAACAAAAATATATTTAGGTACTTACTTTACCTGTAATGAATTACTTTTATGTAACACCATAGATGTAAATACTTGGTGGCTATAAAATTGTAAAGATTAATTTATCAAGTCAGCATGGTCTATGATCAAACAAGCACTCATTTCCCTCTTCCAAAATCACCTCTTTTTTTTTTTGAGACAGAGTCTTACTCTGTTGCCCACCCTGGAGTGCAATGGTGCAGTCTCAGCTCCCTGCAACCTCAGCCTCCCAGGTTCAAGCGATTCTCCTGCTTCAGCCTCCTGAGTAGCTGGGACTACAGGCACGCACCACCACACCTAGCTAATTTTTGTATTTTTAGTAGAGACGGGATTTCACCATGTTGGCCAGGCTGGTCTTGAACTCCTGACCTTAGGTGATCCACCCTCCTCGACCTCCCAAAGTGTTGGGATTACAGGCGTGAGCCAGCGCACCTGGCCTCCAAATCACCTCTTACACACCTTTCCACCCCACCTCTTATGACACAAATGAGGATCCAACCTCACCTCATCGGCCCAGAACACCTACTGTTTCTGGAACACTCTACAATTATCCAAGGAGTTTTTTATAAAACTTTTTTTTGTAAAACGTTTTTTACTATTAATAACTCACTTTGTGTAGAGATTTATTTTAAACAGCAGGAGCAGGTAAAGCTAGATAGGAATGAAAAATATTTTCTAGATTCTGTCCTTTGTTGGTAGATTCTGCTAACCTTATCTAACCAGCAGGTCTTAAAAAGCCTGAAGATCCAGGATCAAGAATCAACTAACAGCTCTCTGGCTTGCAGAATTTTTTTTTTTTTTTTTTGATACGGAGTTTCGCTCTTGTTGCCCAGGCTGGAGTACAATAGCATGATCTTGGCTCACTATAACCTCCACCTCCCAGGTTCAAGCAATTCTCCTGCCTCAGCCTCCCAAGTAACTGGGATTATAGGCATGTGCCACCATGCCCAGCTAATTTTGTTTTTTTAGCAGAGACAGGGTTTCTCCATGTTGGTCAGGCTGGTCTTGAACTCCTGACCTCAGGTGATCCACCTGCCTCTGCCTCTCAAAGTGCTGGGATTACAGGTGTGAGCCATCGTGCCCAGCCACAGAATTTTTTAAAAATCAAACGTAGGCTGGGCGCGGTGGCTCACGCCTACAATCCCAGCACTTTGGGAGGCTGAGGTGGGCGGATCACAAGGTCAGGAGATTGAGACCATCCTGGCTAACATGGTGAAACCCCGTCTCTACTAAAAATACAAAAAAATTAGCTGGGTGTGGTGGCGGGCGCCTGTAGTCCCAGCTACTCAGGAGGCTGAGGCAGGAGAATGGTGTAAGCATGGGAGGCAGAGCTTGCAGTGAGCCAAGATCGCGCTACTGCACTCCAGCCTGGGTAACAGAGCGAGACTCCGTCTCAAAAAAAAAAAAAAAATTCAAATGTAGCATAGCAACCTAGTATGTGTGTTGTAGGGGCCAAGGGCTTGGCACTGTGAAAGTCTGCTGAAGTATCACCTCAGAAAGGGCAGATTAATTGGAGAGAAAGGCATACAAACATTAAACGTGTATACACAGGAGCCTTCAGAATAAAGACCCAAAGATATGGGGGAAACTGTTCATTTTTATCCTTAGGTTCAAAAAGTATGGCCAGCTGTGTAGAAATATGTTTGGACAATAAGGGTGTACTCTAATGTTACTAGACGGAGTGGGAAAACCCAGCAGGGCTTGTCTGTCTAGAAGACTCCTCTTGACCTGTCTGAGCAGTGTTCCTTCCTTCTGGGTGTGCGGCAGGACCCTCTCTGCAATGGGGGTCTTATGACCTACAGTCAAATAAGGGAGGTCAGATAGTTTTGTTATGGCCAGTTTTACATGGGAAGGCAGAGACAAACTTAGAGTAATATTTTTAGGTTTTATGGCTGGCTTTGGGGAAAAGGGTTCTGGTTTCTGACTTGCCTTGGGGAAGAGGGATTCTAGTTTCTATGACCAAGCTCAGGGGAGAATGGGACTGAGCAACTGGAAGGCAGGAGGGTAGAGGAGGCTCCTGAGGCTGCTCCAGAGGCCTTCCCTTCGGGGTATCATTTTCTGAGCCCCAACGGTGTACACACACAACACACACATATATACACACGTATATACTTACCTGGACATACAACACACACACACACAAATTTTTACACAGCACATAATAAGTGCCCAGTGACTCCATGCCGGTTGGTAAACTGAATCCAGCTCTTTCAGGCCTCTTTGTTGCTTAAACTTTTGCTGCTTCAGCTTTCCAGTTACACACATTCTTAATATTTAATGGAAACATTACTCATTTTCCCAAATAACAAGCACTGTTTTTTATGTCTTCTGTATTTGTCTATGTACTTCTACATGCATCTCAGACTCTCGATGGTGTTTTTCCTGCTGACCTGCCATGACATGGGCTTTGCATCCAGGCCTGCTTAGGCTGAGCTCACAAGCTGTGTGATGGAGCCTCTGCCCTGTCTTTCACAAGTGTCCTGTTGCAGGGGCTTGATCAGATGTGTCTGGGGAATTCCAGTTAGTCTCCCCCCATTATGGAGGCAGAAGCTCAGATGTCTTACTTCTCTGGGGCTCTCATGGGAACAGAAGGAAGGCACCTGCTTTTACTATTACTATATCTATGGTTTAGAGTTAGTTTGCCACATAACTAAAGATGTGCTGACAATTGTGGAGGATTTAGAAAGCTTCAGGGAAAAGTTAGGATAGACATTAAATTAACGCTAGCTACTTCCACCCGTATAGTTCGCAGATTACTTGGAAACAGACCTGAGTACACTGAAATTGAGGGGCAGCATGGTCAGTCCCCATTATTATATAAATTCAAGCAAGGACACTTTCTTCTGGGGAAGAGGTATGAGGGATCTTTTGCTGTGCCTCTCTCTCTCAGGACATCTCAATACCTTTGATAATTAGAGCTCTGAAGATGGATGGATTTATTTGCACAAAGAATCCAAGGGAAGGCACCTGAATCTCTACTGTCTCCCCCATGTTCAAACTGTAGGGGGACCCTTGTGGGCCCTGACAAAGGCCCAGGGGTGATCAGCAACAAAGTCCCTAAAGCAAGGCAGAAAGAGACAGTTCTGTGGATTGGTCCCTGCCTAGGTTGGAAGGACAGAGGAGGGACAATGATTCTGGGTCCATGAGGTTCTGATCCAAACCTGTTGGCAAACTTGTGCTCCAGGGAAGAGTTTTGTGAGTGAACAGAAGAAGCAGTAACTTTCCCAGAATGTTCAACCCACTGTGGACATTGGGCTCCTCATCTGGGTCTAATTTAACTCCTGGGAACGTGGCTGTACTTTGTACCTTCTTGATTATACTAGGCTGGTGGTTCTTAGAATTTAATGTGTATAAGAATCACTGGGAAACTTATTAAAAATGCCAAGACCTGTGTCCTTTCCCAGAGATTCTAATAGACTTTCCTGGAATGAGGCTCAGAAATATGCATGCTTAACAACTATCCCAGGTGTTTCTCATTTGGGTGGTCTGTGAAGGGCGTCTTTTAAAAAGCACCTTGCCTTCCATAGGGAATAGCAACCAAGATAGAGACCCAGCCATTCTTTTCTTACAAATGTTAGGGCTACAAATGGCACCACCATTTTACCCTGCTGCTGTGGGGCAGTGGCCCCTGGAGCTCTGGGCCCGGTCTCTCCCACCATGGCAAGGTGGGGAAAATACCCTGGAATTTCTGGGCCAGTGGATGAGAGATGCTGATCCTCATCCAGACGCAAATCTGGAATGACTGAAGATGCTCTTTGCTAAAGTTAAATCACTGATCACATTGTGGCCTGCGTACTGAGAGCTGAGGGCAAGTTCTTTCGAGTTTGGCATGTCTGGTATTCACTACTTTCTCTAGTGGAAATTCTGCAAATTTTAATTTGTGCAGGGATCTATGGTTTTTACTAGCCAGATCCTGGGGAAGGGACAAGAGAAAAAAAGCATCAGCAGCCAGGGAACTAATGAGAGAGATTGATTTCCAGGCAGGGCTGGTCTGCCTTCGCTTCTAAGAACAGTTTAGTTCCCAGTATTGGATCTCTGGTCCAAGATAAATGGTAGTCTGAGGAACTAGGCTGAAGGAGGGTGAGAGGGACCTGGTAATGAGCTTTCTAGGAAGCCTGGACCCAGAAGGCTTGACTAAGTGCTAAGGAAAGTGGAAGATCATGTCAGGGAGATAAATTGGTGAAAGCTGGGCAGCCCCCTCACCCCACAGTAGAAGTGATCATCTGAATGGGCAAGGCAGTGGGGAATTGCACTTTGAGGCAGAGTATAGAGATACACTAGAGGTGGAAACCAGAGGTGGGATCCAGAGCCTGGAAGAATTTGCAGATGCAGGAGATGTGATTCTGGTTTTCCATGGTCTTATGTGAGGAGGTAATCTGTGAGACACATGAGTGCTGAGCCACCTCAGGGATTTTGTGTGCAGGAAAGTTCACTTTACAGCTTAGTGGTATGGATCATGACAACCCAACAGAAGATATGTCCATCCAGAACCTGTGAATGTGATCTTGTTTGGAAAAAGGGTCTTTGCAAATATAATTAAGTTAATGATCTCAAGATGAGATCATCCTGGATTAAGGTGATCCCTAAATCCAATGACAAGTGTAGTGTCCTGAGACAAGGTGAAAGAGAAGTGGGAAACACAGAAGAGAAGGTGGTGTGAAAAAAATGAAGGCAGAGATTGGAGTAACTCATCTAGAAGCCAGGAGTGGAGGGATTGCTGGCAGCCACCAGCAGGAAGGAGCAAGTAGTGAGACATAAAACAGATGCACCCAAAGGGTCTCCAGAGGGAATCAACCCTCCTGACACCCTGTTTTTAGACTTCCAGCCTCCAGCACTGTGAAAGAATACATTTTTGTTGTTGTAAACCACCAGATTTGTGGTAATTGGTTAGGCAGTCCAGAGAAACAAATACACCTTGCCTGCAGTTCCCCCTGTTAACAGATTTGGGTTGTAACAGGGGGAATTGCAGGCAAGGTGTATTAGTTTTCCTGGCACCTTCCTTTGAAAATGCAAATACCTCACAAAAAATTAAGTGTATTAGCCATTCAAAGCAGCTTTTATTAATTTAAAATATTTTTATCCTTCTAATGACCTGGGAAATAGAAATAGTTGTGAATTACTAGGGATTGGAGGAGAAAGATCAGCGATCTTGGCATCAGACATGTCTGCTTTGGTCCCATTTTGTTACTAGCTGCATCAATGAGATTAAATGACATTTTAGTGCCCAGGAGTTTATGTAGTTTCTGAAGGTACTTTATTAATACTCAGGGAACAGCTATGGTTCTAGAAGAATGTTTCTCAGACTTGAGGAATGTGCAGTCTGAAAAGGAAAAAGATTGTTGTCGACTCCAGTTGATTTAACATTTTTGACAGTATGCTCCTTAAATAAGTATAACACAAAACAAAATAGACACATACTCACTATTCTTATTGCTTTTATGTATATATATGTATATATATATATATTTATAAAAGACCAAAACAAATTTACAAATCAAATACAGTAAAAACTATAAATAAACACTATAATGCACCCATTAATATGGAATGACTGAAGATGCTCTTTGCTAAAGTTAAATCACTGATCACATTGTGGCCTGGGTACTGAGAGCTGAGGGCAAGTTCTTTCGAGTTTGGCATGTCTGGTATTCACTACTTTCTCTAGTGGAAATTCTGCAAATTTTAATTTGTGCAGGGATCTATGGTTTTTACTAGCCAGAAATATGTTGTTACATTTGACTCTGTATTATTTTTTCTCATTGGTCTGTGAGAATTAGGACAGTGGGGCTTGTTAAACTCGCAGCCATAAAAATAAAAGCAAATATAGGCAGTGGCCATCTTTGTTATACCTGCTGAGATCGTGAAGATGATCCAGAACATGTCTATATTACTGGGTTAAGGTTAGCATCTTAATGAAAACACTACATCAAAAATTCTCATAATAATAATAATAATTGGCCACTAAGAAATTATCTTTGGACCTCCACGGGCTCACTCACCAGAGTTTGGAAGAAACACTAGTCTACGAGGAACTTGGTTATAATATATACATTGCTTTTTCGTCTTACATTTATTACAAACATAATACATATTCACTGTAGACATTTTAGAAAATTTAGATGTCAAAAGAAGAAAAACAATGTTATTTGCCATAACACAGAGAAAAATCACCATTAACATTTAAATATCTGTTCTTTCCCTATGCATACATATATATTTGTATACCCTATTTAAATTTGTTTTCACTTAGCAAAACATGAGAGCAGCTTTCCAAATTATGAAGTATTCCTCTGAAATAACATTTTTATTGTCTTCACTTCGCTAATTCTGTGTTTCTGTCAAAATGTAGTAAACAAGTCACCTATTCTCAATATTTTGATTGTTTCCAGTTTTCGGCCATGAGAAACTATGCTGAGTGTGCCTATTGTTAGCGCACTTAAATAAGTCTATTTACCTGTAGAATATTTTACTAGTATTAGAATTTCTGTACCAAAGAGAATGCAAAATTTAAAAGATTTTTTCACGTGTTAATTATATGAATCAAACATGTTAAAATGAATAAACATGTGGTGGTGATAACTTCATAGCTGAGTGGGGCTGCATGGCTTAGGTGACCATCAGAACTCATTCATTCATTATAGACTACTTTGGGATGAGAGCTGACTAATAAAATGAAAAGTGTTTAATATTATAGGGCATTTATTTTTTTACATGTAAAGGGTCTATTATTATTTTAACTAAATCAATGCATAACATTTTTCTCTTTAAAAGGTTAAAAAATAATTATAGATGTATACAAAGTTGCAAAAATAGTACAGAAAAGTCTCATGTACCCTTCACCAGCTTCCCCCAAAGGTAGCATCTTACTTAGCTATAGTACATTATTAAAACCAGGAAATTGACATTAGAATAATACTCTTAACTAGACTTCAGACCTTACTCAGATTCCACCAACTTTTACAGTCACTGTGGTGTGTGTGTGTGTGTGTGTGTGTGTGTGTGTGTTTCTGTGAAATTTTATCCTATATGGAGATTTGTGTAATGATTATAATCACAACAGACACAATAGAGAGCTGTTTATCACTGCGTGGGAACTCCCCTATGGTACCCCCCTTTGTAGTTACCACTCCCCTGGAAACCAGTAATCTATTTCTATCTCTATATTTTGCCCATTTTGGAATGTTACATAAACAGTCACACTAGAGCATATATTGTGAAACACAGTAACTTCAGACATATGTTCTAGGTTACTTTTTTATTTTTTTTGAAATAGAGTTTCTCACTTGTTTCCCAGGCTGGAGTGCAGTGGTGTGATCTCGGCGCACTGCAACCTCCACCTCCTGGGTTCAAGAGATTCTCCCACCTCAGTCTCCCTAGTAGCTAGGATTACAGGAGCATGCCACCACACCCAGCTAATTTTTGTATTTTTAGTAGAGACAGGGTTTCACCATATTGGTCAGGCTGGTCTCGAACTCCGACCTCAGGTAATCTGTCAGCCTCAGCCTCTGAAAGTGCTGAGAATACAGGCCTGAGCCACCGCACCCAGCCAAGATTACTATTTACTATTTGGATATCAAGATGGTTGTAATAGAGATAAGAAGGGATAGATGCCTCTTTGAAATCATTAAAACAAACAAAAAAACTTCAAAAGATAGAAATGTATTCTGTTTACTTTAGTATCTCTAACATCATGGATGATATTCATAATATGTAACAGCATTTATGAAACAAGTACTAACCAATCAGAATAGACACCAGCTGCAAATTACCAGTACAGCCGTGCCAGTGGGCACAGCTGAATCTCAACCCTGCCTACACCAGATCAAAAGGAGCAGGTATCAAGCACACATAAACGCATCTCAAAACACACTGCTTAACCCTAGCACAGTGCCAGCGAATGGTAGGGTCAAATACGGGTCTTTTGAATAAATGAGACATATCAGCCCTCTTTAATGGTTCCTCTAGCCCTCACCTCCAACTCTGAAGCTCTTCTGTGTGGTATTCTCGCAGCTAAGTAAGAATAGGCTATGGATCCTTCATAGTTCTGAGCACCATTCAAACAAACCCTAGGACAGAAGCTTTAGGTGTTATGCACTGGAATAAAGAAATCCAACCTGTGCTTGGTCCCATCACTTTCATGGACCTTAAGCTCTTCTCTTGTCGATAAAAATGATTCTAAAATTGTAACCAAGATTCAGACCAAAAAAATAAGAATGCAGAATTCAATCAAGTAGAAAAGACATTAGTTGAATCCAGTTGAGGCATGAAAGAAATTAACTGCAACTTGGTTAAAGGCGCAGAATTTCGTCTACCTAAATTAGGTGATAACATGTTGAAATAAGGTTATAATAAAAATTGATTGAAGGTAAAGCTTGAAATATGTTCTAGGAAATGTGTGACGTGCAGGGTTGTGAAACTAAACTCCAGCTGGAAGATATAGGCATGGGGTACCCTAATGACATTGCACACAGAACTCAACAATCAGAACGGGATCAGCTTGTTCAGTTAGAATTTGGAGAGAATCAGCTTTGAGGTACGTAGTGGCCAGGTCTCATATGTTGGTATTAAATTTGACAGGTAAATAAGTATATTGTAATGTGGCTCCACTGATAGAGTAAATGTTTCCTCCTAGATTGCGAAAATGACCTTACAACCTGTGGAGTAGAGAAGGGATAACATGAGCCAACCCTGTTAGCCTTAACGTTAAGCCTTAATGCTTTTGTGCTAAGTTTAGCAGTACATCTCATAATCATTCATTTTATTTGTGGTTATTTATTTTTAAAGGTATATTACTGAAACAATCTGACATATTAGAGTATCTGACAAATTAGCCTTGAGATTTTGATTTGAAATGTGTAATTACTATTAGATGTGTTATTTTATTTTGAAAGGAGTAAAAGACTTTGATTATATTTGTGAATTGGTTTAGAATATTTAAGAGACCAGCCTTAGACACATGGGTTGTTCGTCCTTTGTTGAAACCTTCTTCATTTGGTTCTTAGGACTCCACCTCCCTTTGTGGCTCCTTATTGCTCCTTTGTTGATTTCTCCTCTTTCTCCAACTTCAAGTTAAAGTGCCCAGGACTCAGCTTGCATCTTATCTTTCCCTCCTCTCTTACCCTATCATGTCTCATGCCTTTAAACACCACAGATGCACTGCAGCTTCCTTAATGCATGTCTCTTGCCTGAGTTGCACCCTGAATGCCTGACTTGGATATTCATCTTCTACTTGACATGCCTACTTGATGTCAAGGCATTTCAAACTTGACGTGTCAGAAGTCAAATAAATTCATGATCTATCTCCAACACCCTATCACCACTCCTGGCAACTTCTCTCAAGTCTTCTCCATCTCAGGAAATAGCAACTCTTCCTTCTAGTTGCTAATGCTGAAAATCTTGTAGTGATTTCAGGGGATTCATGGGTTTTTTTCTTACAATGTACATCTGCTCCATCAATACATTCATTTAATGCTTCCTTCAAAATATAAGATTCCTATCTCACTATGTCCACTGCTTCCATCTTGTTTGGACTAAGCTATTGTCATCTCTTTATTATTATTTCAATAGCCTGTGTATTGGTCTTCTTTCTTTGCCTTGATTCCCATACAGCAGTGAGAGAGGGATCAATGCAATGAGAGGAATCCTGTTAAAAGGTAAAGCAGGTCCTCCCTCCCCTTTGCTCAAAATGCTCCAGTGACTCCCATCTCACTGAGGGTAAAAGCAAAAGGCCTTACAGGCTATAAAGTCCTAGGTAATCTACTTTTTATAGAGAAAATTTAAAATGCAAAGAGAGATAGAGGGAATGAATTGAAAGTATAGCAATATCTCGGTCAAGGAAGAATTTCTACTTATAAGTTAAGACTGGGCCTGCCTTTTGGACCAATTCTTTATCCATTCCACTTTGTTCAGTAATTACAGCATTCTATGCTTTTATTTCTCTAGCATGCCCAGCCACATTTTAAGCTTTAAAGTCATAAATGTGAAACTAACATAGGCAGTAATGAAAAGTAATTCAGGAGTTATTCAGCACATCTTACTTTGTGCAAATGCCAAATCATAGGACTCTGATGTCCTTCAGTTAAGACCTTTGTATTTCAAGCACCTTCGTGTCCAGATTTACTGCTACTGAAGAATTGAGTTCTTGAATTCTGCCACCTGTCACGGACTTAAATCTGATCACTGTTAATGACATCACAGTATCACTCCTACTAAAGGAGAGAAGCATTAGCTGTAGTTAGAACAATGCATTCTTTTGAGTAGACACTGCTGGGTATTGTCACAGAGGATGAGCTGTGGAGGGCTGATGGCAGCTCAGCTTTCAAACATCGGTCATCTTTCACATTGTTTGAGCTTTCAGACTTGAAGTCACAGGCCTAAGGACATGAATTTCCACAGCATTTGGACACAATCTATTACCTGGTAAAGAAACCGAGCCGGATTTGTTGATATTAATGTCAAAGGTTCTTATCAATTTTAAAAACTTGCTAAGAGTGTTGGTCATATTGGCAGTGGCAGACAGGGCCCGGAGGAGGTCAGGAGAAGCAACACCCTTGGTACACTGACAAGCAAGCTTCAGGTGGAGGAGAAAATGGAAGAGTTCCAAGAGTTAAGAGAAAAAGTAATAGGTGGTTGGCCCTTCTACAAAGAGGTGGGTGAGTGCCAGAGAAGGCAGGCAACAGAAGTAGGAGCCTAGGAAAACAAATGAAACAGGAGCAGAGAGAAAACCATCCTTTTGGTAACTAGTTGTGACTCTTGTTTATTTCTCTGGTAATAGGGGGCAGGGTACAAGTATTACAAGCCAAATAATCTATTCTGCTGTTGGAAAATAGAGTATTTAGAAAATGGTATGTACTGACATCATTATCCATTAGAAATGCCCCTCATCCCACCGTTTCCCCTGGGACAGAAGATCTGACAAAGGGTGGGGGTGGCTATCATTTTTATTGAACACTTACTACAAACTACTCACTGCATCAAGTGCTTCAATTGTATTATCTCAGTGAACTCTTGCAACACCATGGATCAATAATATTATCATCCCCACATCACAGGAACAAAAACCAAGGTTCATGGAAGTTACATAATTTGCCCATAGTTAGTTTTAGCCTCAGCTTTAAATGCATAGACACCAACCCCAAAACTACACACAAAAGTATCCTAAACTTTAATAATACATAAACATTTAAAACATATTAGGGAGCCCTTAAAGGTCAAGTGGTTCTGTCTTGAAATTCTAGCCTATGGACTGTTTCTGGCCAGTAATGAAGTTTTTGATGGTCTGTTGCGAAATTTTAAAAGTAAGGCCAATATTAGGAAATTTTATATAACCAAATTCACTTAACCCAAGGAACATTTTATTCTGATGTCATTCCTTTATTATAGATCCCTTAAAAATGGCCTTTATATTTTTGAAAAGTTTCAGTTTTCCTTTAATATACTAGACCTATAAAAATTTGGCAAGCTTATGTTGGCACCTACCACTTTAAAAATTTATATTGGTCTATGAATTCCAAAGCTCTTTAACCATTGATCTAGTTCTAGCTCCAATTCATCAATTTTCTACAACTGTCCTAAAAGATGGCCAAGGAGGATTTGTTTTTAAACATTTCCAGTGACAGAATTCACTACTTTTTGACAGAGCCCATATTCTGTTGGGAGAAAGTTCTTCCTTTAATTGAATTATTATCTATCTTTAACTCATGGCACAACAAATAATAAGTATATCCCACTAGGTTTTAATGCAAATATGTGAGGATAAACACCAGGTACAGTTCCATCCTTCCCCCACCAGACATTATTTTCTGTGCTTCCTTGTTATGGATGGTCTTCCCCATCCTCCATTAAGTGTTAGGTTCCAGAGGGCAGTGACCTTACTGCAGTATCTAGGACAGTATCTGGTACAGAATATGTGGACAATCAATATTTGTAAAATGAGTAAATGAGCATTTTGCAAGCAGCAGACATCCAAGAAATATTTAACAGCTTCAGTAAGGCTAATTCATCTTCTACATGGCAGTGCTTCAGATATTTAAACATTTGAAGTCGACTCTTCTGTTTTCAATAAGATTTCTTTCTTTTTCCATACCAAGACTTATAAATCCCTTGACTTGCTGCCCCTATGATAGAACTTTCAAGCCCTTGCTGGCGTTCCTCCTCTATATCTACTCCCTAAAACTAAAGATGGGCTTGGCCATGGTCAACCCCAGAGGGTCTGTTTCCTCTCTGAATTTAATAGCATGGCTTACATGTACATTTTTAAACTCCTACTAAAGGAGAGAAGCATATGGTTGCCTATTAAGCTTGTAATTAATGACATCTCATAAATCTTTGTGGCATTTATTTCTGCTGGGCAAAATCTCCACCATTCGGCAAAACTTGACATTTCTTCCCTCTACAGCTCATCCTGATTTTGACCTATTATTTAGCCTATTGACAGCTTTGTAAACCTTGATTTTTCTCTTGTTCATTCCTTCAACCAATAATTACTGAGCATCTACAATGTTCCAGGCCCCATATGCAAGCCTTTCCTCTCCTCCACCTCAGTGTCTCAGGTAAACACAAACACACACTCTGCCTTGTCACCCCCCTTCACCTTCATAATCCTCTAAGTTGGCATCTTCTACTAATCAATAGTAGAGAATGGTACTTTTATCTTCAATAAAAGATGATTGGTTGTTTAATCAGGTATAACTCCTCCAACTTCCACTGTCACAGCCCACAGCAGACCTTAGGATAGAATAAGAGCCATGTTCATGATATTGCTAGTTTTGCTCTCAAGATTTGAAGTGTAGCCCCCAAGAAACATAGAGCAAATTGTCTACTAAAGGAGAAAACAAATGGCAGTGTACTTTGCTCCCCATGTCAGCGTCCTGAGAACAGGCTCTTGCCCTATCTATGTGCAGCTTCCAATAAGCCAAATGAGGTACCATAACACTTCCCAAACACCCTGAGCTGAACACGTCACTCCTAGCACCCCAGTTTTAGCCCTGCCCCCCTGCCTATCAGCTGCAGTTAAGCAGCCACATATTTTGAGAGCTCGTTATGTTCCAGACTCTTTGCTTTCATGATCTCAATCTTCATGCGATAGTTTGCTGAGAATGATGGTTTCCAGCTTCATCCATGTCCCTACAAAAGACATGAACTTATCCTTTTTTATGGCTGCATAGTATTTCATGATCTCAGCTGCATGAACTGTAGCAACTGTTATTATCCCAGTTTCACTTATGAGGAAACTGAGGCACAGGGCAATTGTATAACTTGCCCAAGTCTCAAGAGTTAAAGAAAGTGGAGCTGAGCTATGAGCAAAGCCTCCTGACTCCTCAGAATACACCTCTCCCCTCTGACACAGGAACTGTGGGTTTTAGACAAGCTGGACTTTGCCTCAGCTTCCTTTGTCTGCCCAGGCTGCCCCAAGACTCCCTGGTCCCCCCTGCCACTCATTTGGCTGCTGTGATACCCAAGTAGTCTACTGGGCACTTCGCATTCATTTTCTCACCCAACCTCATACAATAGAGTTATTATTGTATCTGTTTTGTGTATCAGGAGGCAGACAGAAAGTAACTTTTCCAAGATCGATATACTTCAAAAATGGCTCTCATTGCTCCAGGTCCCAATATCACTCACCTTTAATCTTCTTGCTTCTTGGTTCTCTACGTGAAGTTATTCTAAACACTCTACTTATGACATTCCTTTACAGTCTAGTAATCCTACAGAATGAAGTTAATGTGACTCAACTGGACTTTTGTAAAGAAGTGAAAGTTTGTGGTAATCACAGATGTTCATTTATTTACTGATCGATTTTTAATAATAAGAGGTCACTAACTGACAAGAAATGCATTAGGTAAAAATAACGTAGGAAAGTTCCAAATGTCACATTCCATAGAGAACCCACCTGCAGTTATGTTTCATGCAGAGCAAAGTAAAAAGACTTTTGACTTTGTATTTGGAAAGGCTCAGCCCTGGGTTTTGGATCTGTATGAAAGAGACCACAAATGCAGTGAGAACAATACCCTGCTCACATGGTATATTTGGCATTCCATTCATCCATGATGTGTAGACTATTAACAATTGTGAACAAAGTTGTCAGGGGGAACTTGGAACAATGTCATATTACTGAATCAGTGGCACAAAATTTATCTTCTTCCCCCAGCCCAAGTCCTCTTCAAGATTCTTCTGCTTCATGAAAAATAATGCTCTGATATCAACTGCCTTGAAAATTTCCCCTTGTTTTCCTGTGATTTTTCAGACTTCTTGCTTGTGACATCATGCAGACATTTAATGTCTAAATATCTAACCACGATAATTTCAAAAACAGTAGCCTGGTCAATTTTCAGGAGTTTGATTTTTTTTTTTTTTTTTGGTCTCGAATAATAATGCTATATGTTCATTTTTCTTTGTTTTTGTCATTTCATTTGGTAAAGGATCATCACTGAGGTGAGTGTTTGGCAAAATTACTTCTTCTTACAGAATAGAAGAATTTTGTCAGCCTTCCTTTAGACTTTATTCCAAAAGGCTCTTTGGAAATCTCACTACCTACTTGAAACATTGTTCCATCAGAACTCAGCAACCTAACTAAAGGCATGGCTGTTGGCTGCCGTAAAGACGGTGGAGGATCTGAATGAGTCCTGAGCAGCCTCAAGCGGGCTATAAGGCCTCAGCAGCCTCAAGCGGGCTATAAGGCCTCTACGACTTTATTTTCTTTGCATTCATAAGCCACATAGCATAACCAGCTCCAGAACACCTATATAATAGTCTGACAAACATTTATTGTGCATCAGCAAAGTACTAAGCCCTAATATTACTGGGAGTGCAGAGATGACTAGCACATGATCTAGCCCTGGAGGAGCTGATAGGCAAGTGCGGAGGCTGGTACCCCAGCGGGTAATATCGCTGTCATCAGTACTTTGGGAAGCACCTGGGCATGGAGGATTGAGAGTGCCTTGAAGTTCTGGGAGCCCTCCCTGAAGGAGATGATTCCTGAGCTGAGTCTGGAAGAATAAATAGAAGGAGAGGAAGGACATTCCAGTGAGAGGAAACAGTGTAAAGAAAACTGGGGAGTCTGAAACAGCAGGCTGAGTGAGTGCAGGTAGCTGCAAAAAAATTGCTATCATCAGAATGCAAAGAAAGAGACAGTAGTGATGGGAGATTAAGCTGAAGCTTGCATCAAACTTTGCTTGCCTTTCTCCTATGGAATCTAGACTATATCCTGTGGTCACAGGAAGCCTCTGAAACTATTTTTTTTTCTTTTAAATAATTAGGATAGTATTCGTCTGACCTGCCTTCTGGTTTCTTTTGCCTTCAAAGTTGCCCAAAGAGTACCATTGAGGTAATTTTCTACCTCATGATATATAGAAAACTTTTGACTTATTTACATGTTTTCATAGGTTTTACATCTCTTCTTTTTTTAAAAGTTTTATTTTACTTTAAGTTCTGGGATACACGTGCAGTACGTGCAGGTTTGTTACATAGGTATACGCGTGCCATGGTGGTTTGCTGCACCTATCAACCTGTCATCTAGGTTTTAAGCCCCACATGCATTAGCTATTTGTCCTGATGCTCTCCCCACTCTGCCGGCTCCCCAACACAGGCCCCGGTGTGTGATGTTCACCTCCCTGTGTCCATGTGTTTTCATTGTTGAACTCCCACTTATGAGGGAAAACATGCAGTGTTTGGTGTTCTGTTCCTGTTTTAGTTTGCTGAGGATGATGGCTTTCAGCTTCATCCATGTCCCTGCAAAGGACATGATCTCATTCCTTTTAATGGCTGCATAGTATTCTGTGGTGTGTATGTACCACATTTTCTTTATCCAGTCTATCATTGATGGACATTAAGGTTGATTGCATGTCTTTGCTATTGTAAATAGTGCAGCAATAAACATACATGTGCATGTATCTTTATAGCAGAATGATTTATAATCCTTTGGGTATATATCCAGTAATGGGCTTACTGGGTCAAATGGTATTTCTGGTTCTAGATCCTTCAGGAATTGCCACACTGCCTTCCACGATGGTTGAACTAACATTCCCACCAACAGTGTAAAAGTGTTCATATTTCACCACAGCCTCGCTGACATCTGTTGTTTCTTTTTTTTAAAATTTATTTATTTTATTATTATTATTATTATTTATTATACTTCAAGTTCTAGGGTACATGTGCACAACGTGCAGGTTTGTTACATATGTATACATGTGCCATGTTGGTGTGCTACACCCATTAACTCGTCATTTACATTGGGTATATCTCCTAATGCTTTCCCTCCCCCCTACCCCCACCCCACAACAGGCCCCAGCGTGTGATGTTCCCCTTCCTGGGTCCAAGTGTTCTCATTGTTCAATTCCCACCTATGAGTGAGAACGTGCGGTGTTTGGTTTTTTGTTCTTGTGATAGTTTGCTGAGAATGATGGTTTCCAGCTTCATCCATGTCCCTACAAAGGACATGAACTCATCCTTTTTTATGGCTGCATAGTATTCCATGGTTTATATGTGCCACATTTTCTTAATCCAGTCTATCATTGATGGACATTTGGGTTGGTTCCAAGTCTTTGCCATTGTGAACAGTGCCACAATAAACATACGTGTGCATATGTCTTTATAGCAGCATGATTTATAATCCTTTGGGTATATACCCAATAATGGGATCGCTGGGTCAAATGGTATTTCTAGTTCTACATCCTTGAGGAATCGCCACACTGTCTTCCACAATGGTTGAACTAGTTTACAGTCCCATCAACAGTGTAAAAGTGTTCCTATTTCTCCACATCCTCTCCAGCACCTGTTGTTTCCTGACTTTTTAATGATCACCATTCTAACTGGTGTGAGATGGTATCTCATTGTGGTTTTCATATGCATTTCTCTGATGGCCAGTGGTGATGAGCATTTTTTCATGTGTCTGTTGGCTGCATAAATGTCATCTTTTGAGAAGTGTCTGTTCATATCCTTCACCCACTTTTTGATGGGGTTGTTTGTTTTTTTCTTGTACATTTGTTTGAGTTCTTTGTAGATTCTGGATATTAGCCCTTTGTCAGATGAGTAGATTGCAAAAATTTTCTCCCATTCTGTAGGTTGCCCGTTCACTCTGATGGTAGTTTCTTTTGCTGTGCAGAAGCTCTTTAGTTTAATTAGATCCTATTTGTCAATTTTGGCTTTTGTTGCCATTGCTTTTGGTGTTTTAGACATGAAATCCTTGCCCATGCCTGTGTCCTGAATGGTATTGCCTAAGTTTTTTTCTAGGGTTTTTATGGTTTTAGGTCTAACATTTAAGTCTTTAGTCCATCTTGAATTAATTTTTGTATAAGGTGTAAGGAAGGGATCCAGTTTCAACTTTCTACATATGGCTAGCCCGTTTTCTCAGCACCATTTATTAAATAGGGAATCCTTTCCACATTTCTTGTTTTTGTCAGGTTTGTCAAAGATCAGATGGTTGTAGATGTGTGGTATTATTTCTAAGGGCTCTGTTCTGTTCCATTGGTCTATATCTCTGTTTTGGTACCAGTACCATGCTGTTTTGGTTACTGTGGCCTTGTAGTATAGTTTGAAGTCAGGTAGCGTGATGCCTCCAGGTTTGTTCTTTTGGCTTAGGATTGTCTTGGCAATGTGGGCTCTTTTATGGTTCCATATGAACTTTAAAATAGTTTTTTCCAATTCTGTGAAGAAAGTCATTGGTAGCTTAACTGTTGTTTCTTGAGTTTTTAATAATCCATTGACTGGCATGATAGCGTGAGATGGTATCTCATTAGTTTTTAGTTTAGTTTTTTTTTTTTTTTTTTTTGTGAGACAGAGTTTTGCTCTTGTCACCCAGGCTGGGGTACAGTGGCGCGATCTCGGCTCACTGCAACCTCCACCTCCCTAGTTCAAGCAATTCTCCTGCCTCAGCCTCCCGAGTAGCTGGGATTACAAGCACACACCACCACACCTGGCTAATTTTTTTTTTTTTTGTATTTTTAGTAGAGACGGGGTTTTGCCATGTTGGCCAGGCTTGTCTCAAACTCCTGACCTCAGGTGATTCACTCGCCTTGGCCTCTCAGAGTGCTGGGATTACAGGTGTGAGCCACCGCACCCGGCCTCCTTGTGGTTTTGATTTGCATTTCTCTAATGATCAGTGATGTTGAGCTTTTTTTCATGTTTGTTGGCCGCATAACTGTCGTCTTTTGAGAAGTGTCTGTTCATATCCTTTGTCCACTTTTTGATGGGGTGTTTGTCTTTTTCTAGTAAATTTATTTAAGTTCCTTGTAAATTCTGGATATTAGACCTTTGTCAGAAGGGTAGATTGCAAAAATGTTCTCCCGTTCTCTAGGTTGCCTGCTCGACTGATGATAGTTTCTTTTGCTGTGCGGAAGCTCTTTAGTTTAATTAGATCCCATTTGTCAATTTTTGCATGTGTTGCAATTGCTTTTGGCATTTTCATCATGAAATCTTTGCCCATGCCTATGTCCTGAATGGTATTGGCTAGGTTTTCTTCTAGGATTTTTATGGTTTTGGGTTTTATATTTAAGTCTTTTTTTTTTTTTTTTTTTTTTTTGAGAGAGAGAGAGTCTTGTTTTGCTGCCCAGGCTGGAGTGCAATGGCATGATCTTGGCTCACTGCAACTTCTGCCTCCCAGGTTCAAACGATTCTCATGCCTCAGCCTCCTGAGTAGCTGGGATTATAGGCATGCGCCACCATGCCCTGCTAATTTTTGTATTTTTAGTAGAAACAGGGTTTCACCATGTTGGCCAGGCTGGTCTCGAACTCCTGACCTCAAGTGATCTGCCCACCTCGGCCTCCCAAAGTGCTGGGATTACAGGCATGAGCCACTGTGCCCAGCCCTACATTTAAGTCTTTAATCCATCTTGAGTTAATTTTTGTATAAGGTGTAAGAAAAGGGTCCAGTTTCGGTTTTCTGCTTATGGCTAGCCCGTTTTCCCAGCACCATTTATTAAATAGGGAAACGTTTCCCCATTGCTTGTTTTTAGGTTTTGCATTTCAGCTTCTTACTAATCATGCTCTGCCCCTTCTAGCCTGAATAGTATTTATAGTGATAGAAAAGATGCAAATTTGGAGCAGGGCAGTGGTGCCTTGTCTACTGTGTGCAGTTCCTTGGTGTATTGTAGAATGCTGCTAATTCTCTGTTTGGCTACTGAATGCTCTCCTTGCAGATTTGTGCCTCTCCTGTATTTTCCTTGGGTTGGAGTCATCCTCCTGTATTTGATATACTTTAAAATGGTTTGAAGCAAAGTGGTTAGTGGAAAGAACATAAGCTTTGAAATCACAGAGACTTAAAGGTTCCTTTTATGATTTTAGAAAATTTTAGTTTGGAAAATTTCAAACATATGCAAAGTAAACAGAGTAAGTATAATGAGCCCCTAGTAGCCATCACCCTTGTCCAGCACTAATCAACATTCTGCCATTCTTGTTTCAGTCCTAATTCCAGTCCCTCCTCATTTCCCCTGGATTATTTTTTCAGTGCTTTAAATTCATTTATTTATAATGTACCTACATGGTGATGCACTATCTTAAGTGTGTGATTTTGACGAATGTATATATCCATTTGCCTCACACTCCTTTCGCCATAGAGAACATTTCCATTTCTCCAGAAAAGTCCCTTGTATCACTTCCCAAGCAGTCTGCTTCTCCCTCTGGATGCAAGCATGGTTTTGACTTATGTCACCTTAGATAAGTTTGACCTGTTTTAGCATTTCTTGTAAATGTAATCATACAATATGTCCTATTTTTGTGCAAGGCTCCATTTGTTCAGCATTTTAGCTTTGAATTTCTCCTCTTGGTATCCATCTGTTGTTGGCTGAGACTTAGCCTCTTTAACCCCAGTTCCCTTCTCTAGAAAATGGAAAAATAATAGCAATAAAAATTAACAAAAATTACATTGGCCTTAGGATAATAGGAATGTCCTCTCTAATACAAACAAATGCTAATTATGTTGTACTTGAGATGCAGGAATATGAACACCTTCAAAATTTACTTTTTGTCCGGAAAGATATTCCATGTTTGCTAGTGTTCTACTGATAATCCTTGTTTTGAAATGTGATGCTTGAATATGTATAATATATTGGTCAAGGTCCAGTCAGGAAAACAGATCTTATACCAGGTAGTTCAATAGAAGGGATTTAACACTGGAAATTAATTAAAAGCTGCTAGAAGAGCTGAGAAGTCAAACAGGCAATGGCGAAGCAGATGAGGGATTAACAATGCAGGAAGTCACCCATACCCCTAATACTAAAGGAGAGTGGGGAAAAGGTGCTGTTCCCAGAGCCCAGCAGTGAGGTCCACCAATGGGCCCTGGAACCTCATAGGAGGCTGCTGGCAACAGAAAGGAGATGCAGCTACTGCGCGGGATCCCTCCTGGCTGGGTGGGGGAGTATGTAGAGATGAACCCTGTTTTTCCTTTTGTCCTGCTATTGTATCCACTGTCCAGAGAGGCGGGGAAGCAGCAGCAGGAGTCAGTAATCCCTGGTACAGGGCAGAGGAGGGGAAGGCAGGGCCCAGTGAGAAAATGATCAGCAGAAAAAAAAGAAGCATATACAGAGACAGTTAAGAAAATTGAATTCAATAATACTTAGCATTTGAGATAATTCTTACCTTCCAGAATAGTACTGCCCATCAGAACTTTCTGTGATAATTAAAATGTTCTATATCTTTGCCATCCGGTAAGATTGGCCAGTAGCCACATGTGGCAACTGAGCACTAGCAATATGGCCAGTGTAACTGAGAAACTAAATTTTTAAATGGTATTTTATTTTAATTAATTTAAATTTAAATAAAGCTAGTGCCATATTGCACAATGCAGCTTATAGAAAATCATCCTTTAATTCATATATATTTTTAATATACATTCCTTGGGCACTTAGAATAACACATGAGAAGCTGAGACTATCCAGATGACTAGAATTATGCTTCTAACCTTTAATATTCATATCTTTCTTGCCCAACAAGAAAGATTTGAAAAGTGGTATCACAAGAACTATTTGTTTTCACAGATATAAAGTCTGGGTAAAAAGGAAGCAAAAAATTACCTACCTCTGAGTCTTCGCCTAAGCTGTTCCTGACTCCCAGATACGCTTCCTCCTCCACTTCTTTCATTCCACTCATGCAAATTCTATTCATTCTTCAAGGCGTACTTCAAATGCCTCCTCCTCCACTAAGCCTTCTCTGGTTGCCTCTCCTACCATACACACGTACACACACACACACACACACACACACACACACACACACACTACCCAGGCTGCACGAATCTTTTCCTTCCTTTGAACTCTCCTGATGTTTTATCTCTACTCTTATCACTTTTATTACTTTGTACTTCATGTTCAAGTTCCTGATAGAAATTCATTTGTCTCTCCTACTAGACGCCTTGAGGGAAGATTTTAGGATGGTTCTGTCCTTTGCCCACACAGCACTTAGCACCAAATATTGTGTATAATAGGTTCTTTGTACTATTTGAAGATCATGCTGAGCAATGAGTCTTCCATTTCTGTGCCTGTAACTATCGGTAGGTGAGCAATTCAAGGACACCATTCAAAGAGAAAGGTTTATTTTTCCCAGGCTACATGTTTCCAGGAAGCAATTGTAATAAGCAAACAAACCGGTTTTCTGTTTCCATTCCATATGCGGGTATTCTTTTCATCCACATTTAAAATATTTCTTGATCTAATATTCTAGAGCTAGACTAATTTCTGTGTAATCTTATTATTCTTAAACATAGTTAAAAACACAAGATGGCTATAGCAGTATTTAAATTAAATTATGCATTGGAGCGCTTTTATTATTAGAACCATCCTAAATATGCAATGTGGTGTTGTTGTTCTTTCTTGTTTTTTAACTCACCTGGAGTTTGTTTTGCTGAATTTGTACAGTTTGCCTGTGTGCTGTTACATTTGCCTGAGTTCAGTGGAGTACAAACTGTTTTCATTTTCCTGGGAATTGTGATTTTTTTCTAGTATTCAAAGAGGAATATTTTTGTCCCAGCATAGCTTTCTAAGGGTTCTAGGACTTAGCTGTATGTAGTTTCCATTACCTACAGAGTAGCTGGAAGATGAGCAGCACATTTCAATTGAGAGCTCTTATTACGTACAAGGTACTGACCTAGGTAGTGTTTTGGATACCTAACAAAGAATATAATTTAATATTCCCGATAACCTTATGAGAAAAGAACTATTAGTATTCCCATTGTATAGGTGTGCAAATCATAGCATACAGAAGTTAAGTGAATTATCCAAAATGTAAATAACTCTTGGAAGACAAGAGGGAATCCTAATCCCCAGACAATCTAATGCCCAGCTCTCCCTTATCCTTAGCCATCTCACTCTACTGCTCCACATTAGCATATCAGAATTGGAAATCATGAAAAGGAAGGGTGCATTATGTTGCTTAGGGGCTAGTTTTTCTATTTCCAGGCAGCTCCTTGTGTTCTGAGAATGATGGCACTTCTAAGGGCTTTTGATCTATCGACATATTGGAAACCACAGGCCTGGGTGAATATAAGCCATGGACTCTGGAGAGCAGTTTACCTTGTAGGCCAGTTCTTCCAGCCAGAAGCCCTTGAAGACCTGGCTTTACCAGATAAGATTTTTTAAAATGCCAAAAAAGGGCTTGAGTAGGACAGCTCTATGCTGTCACCTCTGGTCCGAGGTGAGCAGGTAGAACAGGATGCCGTGACCTCAGCTAAAAGTTAAGCACTGGACTGTGGCCAAGGCAGAAAGGAGAATTCTTATATGGACTGAGCCTTTCCTGAGAGACTTATTTTTTCCAATAGTAATAGTAGCACTATAAGAAGCTAAGTGTGAATAAAGAGCTCTTTGTCTGGGGGAACGAGAACGCCTAGTAGGATTACTGTGTGAGGGCTTGATACCCTGAAACACAACTCAGCTTATATTTCTCTTCCCTACCTGGGCTTGTAAAAGGCGATATAGCTCATCTCCTGTTCATTCTCAGTAGATTTGTATATTGTCACATGTGTCCTCAGTTTATAGAATCTGATTTCAGAAACTGGCAAAATAAGCAGTGGATAAGAGAACCGAGCCACAGGAGCAGTGCTTATAACTGGAAGCTGATGCCCAGAGAGGATAAAGTGACTTGCCCAAGGTTGCATGGGGCAGAGGTGGGATCTTTCCATTGTATTATCTGCCTCCCTGGATTGTTTACTTTGCCATTCATAGCACAGAAGTCCAAACAGCAGAACATGTAATCTGTCTTTCAGCATTGTTTGAAATCTTTTCTGAAATGAGATGGGGGAGGGAATATGAAAATGCACTTATAAATATACTTCACGGAATGTGTCAGTCTTTTGCACATTGTCATGTTTTAATGTGATCTGATTGAAAATATGACTCTGGGTCTCCCAGAGACAGGAAACCTGAATTAGATGGCATTGTAAGTTTATTTTTCTTATATTGCTTTTCCAGGCACAGATGTAGCATTTTACATTTTCAATTTGTTTACTTTCTGTATCACATAGCACTGATCTGCTGATTAACTTTTGTTCCATTTAACAATGGTGTTATTTTATCCTTATTTTATCCTTATTTTAAAATAGTATATACACATTATAGTTATCTATCAATCTTTTTTACATGCGTTATCTCTTTACATCTACATAATTATCCTACCAAACTAAAAGGGCAGGTAGAATTATCCCCATTTTGCAGATTGGAAATCAAAATAATAAAAGATTATGTGTCATAGCTGGTTAACTAGGACTCAGGTTTCTTTAGTCCTAGACCAGTGTTTATGCTTGAACTCCTCCAGGAGTGGTTCTTAACCTGCTGTGGGTTTCAGAATCCCCTGCAGAGCTTGCTAAACACAGACAAATTGCTGGCTCTGCCTCCAGAGTTTCTGAATCAGTAAATCTGGGGTAGGGGCCTAGAACTTGCTTTACTCACCTGTTCCCTGGTGTTCCTGATGCTGCCTGTCAGAGGACACACTTTGAGAACTACTGATCTAAAACTTTGCTCTAGCATCTTTAAACATTTGGCAGGTAATCAATCCCTTATCTGCACTACTGAAATCCAAAAATCTCTGGAAACTGAACTTTTTTTCACTGAAGGTTGGCACAAACTCATTTGGCAGCAAAGCCTGACCTGAACTGAGGTGAGACTATTTATAGTCTTTATCCCTTGGTGTGACTGTTCCTACAGTTTGCTGCAGAAATGTTAATGTGTTGTGTTATAGGGGTTTCCCCAGACCTTTCTGAGGGGGGTGTGTTTTATAACAGGCACACTGTAATTCCTTACAGAATCTGAAAAACCCTGAGATCTAAAGCATATCTAATGCCAAAGACTTCAGATAAGGGGCTGCAAATTTGTGCTAACCTAGCCAACAGGAAAAGTTTTTTGCTTTTGATGCTGCAAAAAACCTCACCATTTTTAGATAGCCACCAGAGTATACACATTTGAACTTGATATATGCCTCTTGAGACATCTTTTTGGAAGGTTTTTCTAAAGCTTCTGTCCTTTAGCTGCAGAAATGATGCTTCATGCTGAACTGCAAGAGAAAGCATTGAGCCATCCTTCCCAGTGAGCTGGGCAAATCCCAACGACACAGTGATCTGAAAGGAGTATTTCCTGATGCTTACACTTAGTAGGCATGCCATCAATAACGACATTCACACCCTTAACCACACTTTCTCTAAAGGTTGGATTCTCTACCTAGGAAGGAGATGTCATTAAGGCTGCAGAGTCGGGTAACGAGGAACAGAGAAGAGAGCTTAGTATTTTTATTTAATAATGAATCAGGCTTAAATCATGAGATGATTGTTCAAATCCCCCAAACATCATTTCATTTAAATGAGAATGGTTTTTAGAGCTATTGCAAAACCATCAAAAGCATATTCATCAGGAAACACTAACATATTGTAACTGGATTACATGAAATTGCCCGGGCTAAAATGAGTTACAGAGAAAATATATTTTAAAAACCTTCCCAATTCATTTATCTGGAGCATATAATTTTGTGTTCTATTCCTAGGACTGTTGACGTTCATTGCCACTGAGCTGATGTGGCTGTGTTCCTTAGCCGTGCTTTCAAAACCCTCTCTCTCCTGGGTGATGCAGGAGAGACCCAGAGCAGTTAATCATTTTCAGAGACTGGCATCTCATGTCCACAGAGTGACTTGCCTGGAAGTAGCCTTTCCTCCCCAGCAGCAAAGAGGCTCTTTGTTTCTTACATTGCAGGGCCCAGCAGGTTTGATGTACCCACATAATTGGCAAACTACCTTCACCCTCTAGGAGACCTAATTCTCACAGTTTTATAATTCTTACTCACCTGCCTCCTATTTTATAGATCCATAGACACTCCTCAACTAGAGCCAGAACTAATTTGATTGATGAGTCATATCAAACTTAAAAAGCTTCTTGTGTCCTCATTTGGCTACAGTACTCTGGGAGTCCTATTTTGCACAATAGGCCACTGTTCCTATTCAAGTGATTTGATTCAATGTGCATGTTAGGTTCAGAACCCTCTAGATTGACCAAAAGTATAATCTATTCAGTTTTCCAAAAAGAGTAACTCTCTAGTCCATCAGTATCACAAGCCAATTAGTTTGCCAAATATCTCCTCAAACTTTATGCCAACATTGTTCTAAAGAAACTTCTGTTCTGGGTTTAGTGTCTTTAATGAGAAGCAAGAAGGTCACAGATACTCTAGAGTATCTGTTTAACGGGCTGCTACAGCAGCATCAGTTTGCATACTCCATAACCCTAGGAGCAGCCTGCTCCATGTGACTAACCCCCCTGAGGCTTGTGCAGTGTACAACCTGCACAACTGAATATGGCAGCTCTTTTTAATGTCTCACATATTGTAAATAAATATTCCAAGAATACAGGATTTGTTGGACCATCATCACCTTCAAACTTCCCAAGATGTATGGGATTTACATAAATCCAGCCTATTAATACTCTGGTAAATCCTGAATTTCTCTCTGGACAGGATCACTATACCAGAAGACCAGATCTCAAGCTCACACAGTAGAATGATGAGACTAATAGCACCTACCATCTTTTGAGTGATTTAGACATTGGACCAGGTATTCATAAGCTTTGCTAAGCAGTCTCTAGCTCAAGTTGAGTAACATTTTACTCAAATTACTCAAACTGAGTAATGTTTTCTAAGCTGTCTTTCATCACATTCTATTTTCTTTCTCGTATTTATCCACTCATAAGAAGCCATTTATAAATGACAAGCCTTGACTATTTACCAACAAATCATGAGACCCATGGCATCTGTGAGGCAAGTCTCAGCCTCCCTGAACTGGCACCACGATTAGCAAATGAATGGCCATCAGCTTAATTGCAAGAAATTAGCTAATCAATCAGCGAATATTTAGTTAGTGCCTACTATGTACAGCTGTTATGACAGGGCTTGTGGATACAGGTAATTATGGAAGTAGCTGACATTTTTGGGGTGCTCATGCATTATATTTGTAGTGACCTTTTAATCCTACAAGATCCTACAACAAGTTTATTAGGTCACTGGCATTGTATCTATTATGTAGAAAATTGTGGTATGGAGCGGATATCATAACCCAAGGTGATATAATTAACAAGTGTTTCATGTGGGTTTGAACTCAGGTCTTTCTGACTCCAAATTTCATGCTCTGAATTAGTACCCCTCCCTTTCTTTCCTCCCTGACTTCCTGAACTTGTCAAAATTTAGCCTCCATCTTTATAACTTGTACCAGAGAGGACTGATACAATTTTAAATAAAGTAGATGCAAATGCTTCATAACAAGCAGGAAGTAAGGTTCTCATTTATGCCACCTAAATAGTATTGATAGGGCAAATTGGGAGTGACCTCAACAGGCAATCTCTTCTGTTAGCCAGTGTCTGCCAGAAAAAGACAGCTGCACCCTTGGCTTCGAGGGTCTTCTTCAATTGGTTAATGATAAATAACGCTGTACACCAAGTCTCTTTAGTTTTTTACTTGGGGCTACGTTTCACAGCTGACTGACCCTGGTAGTTCCACTGGGAATTACGTGACTCCGTTTAGTCACGTAAGAAAGTGCCATGGAAATTTCCCTGCTGCCAGGATGGGGCACTGCCCACACCCGTTTTCCAAGTTAAAGTAGTTTCTGCTAGGCTCTTTGGAGGAGGTCTCTAAGGTCTGAATTACTTTCTTGAACCAGGGCTTGAAGCCCATCCAGGCTTCCCCTTGGGCATACCAGCGACTTTAGAAGTAGGTTACCTTGAGCATCCAGCTGGGGGAGACTGTGTTTTGCCCCCACCCACTTTCAGAAGAGAATGTCCATTCCACCACCCCGGCATAACCATGGGTATATCCTAAGTTCTGTTTTTGTTTCAAGTTAGGGCTCCAGAAGGCAACATTTAAGTGCCTTTTTTTCCTCATGAAATTGCTTTTGACATTTTCCAACTTATTCTGAGATAAAGCCTTATAAAATTACATCTCTTTTTTGGCCAGTATAAACAGCCATGGAGGGCAGTGTTTAATCTGTCACCAAATGCCCTATCTACACTTCCACATGAGCAACTGCTTTTAAAACTTAATACAGCTGTGGGGGAGGGGGTGCGGGGCGGGGGGAAGTGAAAACTGAAACAAAACTTTGCCTCTGTTACAGATGTAGCCCACTTCCTCCTTTCTGATAAATAAGACCTGGTCATTGTCCTCTTTCCCTTTTTGCTCTGAGTGGAGGCCCAGAGCCTACCGTGTTTTTTTTTTTTGTTTGTTTGTTTGGTTTTTTTTGAGGTGGAGTCTCACTCTGTCCTGTCACCCAGGCTGGTGTGCAGCCACAGTGGCGTGATCTCCTCGGCTCACTGCAACCTCCACCTCCCAGGTTCAAGCGATTCTTCTGCCTCAGCCTCCCGAGTAGCTGGGACTATAGGTGCACACCACCACACCTGACTAATTTTTGTATTTTTAGTAGAGACGGGGTTTTACCATATTGACCAGGCTGGTCTCGAACTCCTGGCATCGTGATCCACTCACCTTGGCCTCCCAAAGTGCTGGGATTACAGGCGTGAGCCACAGAGCCCACTCTTAATGATGGCATCAGTTGTTGTGGTCAGCTCGCCCCAACTTTTATGGTTTTAGTTCTTCAATTTGATTTTGTTATCAACACTCTAGGTTTTGCAAAGAGGCAAGGGATAGATTTTCATTATTAAATAAATACTTACTGAGGATTGTGTGCCAGGCATTACATAGCAGAAGTTGGGGAGGGCTGTGATGTTCTTGTGGAGCTGAGTTAGACACAGGATCACAGCAAATCATGATCTGGAGAGCTCATAAATAATAACAATCAGAGCTGACTGCGTTGTGTACCTTGTCTGGAATATAACCAACAAGAAAGGAAGGAGCAGGGAATCACCTCTGAGAGGAATTGATACCTATTCCAGGGAAAATGGTGTTTGAGTTGGACATTGAAGAATGGAAAGGAACTCAGAGATGCGTTGAAAAGAAAGACATCAGAGGAAGCATGTATAGTGTCATAGAACAGAGATTGGCAAACTGTGGCCCATTGTGTATGGTCTAGGAGCTAAGATTGGTTTTTATATTTTTAAGTGATTGGGAAAAATCAGAAGAAGTACATTTAATAACATATGAAAATTCTATGAAATTCAGATTTCTGTTTCTATAAATAAAGTTTTATTGGAACAGAGCCACACTCATTCTTTTATATATTGTCCATGGTTGCTTCTGCACTACCATGACAAAGTTGAATCGTTCGACAGAGACGGTATGGCCTACAAAGCCTAAAATATTTACTCCCTGGCTCTTTATGGCAAAAGTTTGCTGATCCCTGACATAGAAGCATAAATATGGAGGATTGTTTTCCTGGAATGACAAATTGGCTGATGCAGTTAGTATGTGGGGCAGAGAAAAATTTCAGAAAGATAAACTAGGGCCACATTCAAGAAGGTTTTTAAAAGCTTGTTGATCTTTTGGACTTTAGTTTAAAGTAAGAGTTGCCATTGAAGAATTCTGAACAGGGGAAAGATGTGATCATGGGGAATACCATGATCATATCTGTGTCTGGGAGGAGAAGTCTAAATGCTGCAAGAGGGTAGGATTTGAAGAGGAGGCCAAGCATAAGTGATAAATGTGGGGAGAATATTTCTCAACTAGCTTTATTTTGCAAGTAACCATTTGGGAATCTTTATGGAACCTCATGAATTGAACTTCACACTGCGAGTTGCCCAGGCATGGTGGTTCACACCTGTAATCCCAGCACTTTGGGAGGCCAAGGCAGGCAGATCACTTGAGGTGAGGAGTTCAAGATCAGCCTGGCCAACATGGTGAAACCCCGTCTCTACTAAACATACAGAAATTAGCTAGGCATGCTGGTGGCTACTGGGCTGCTGGCTGTAATGCCGGCTACTGGGCTGCTGGCTGTAATGCCAGCTACTGGGAAGACTGAGGTAGGAGAATTGCTTGAACCCGGGAGGCAGAGGTTGCAGTGAGCCGAGATCATGTCACTGCACTCCAGCTTGGGCGACGGAGCAAGACACCATTTCAAAAACAATAAATACATAAACAAATAAATAAATAAATAGCTGTGAGTTAACAGAAGTGGATTTTTTTTTCTTTTGCCAGCAAAGGTGTTTTCTTTTATCGTTCTGTAACTGAGCTATTTGAAAAACATGCATTGCATTTCTATGGCTTCCAAATTGTATGCTTACAAATATGGTTTGATAAAGAAAATCCTGGACTGTGTAGAGCAAACAGAGGCAGGCTTGATGAATTTATGTTTAAAATAGGCTGAAATTTTCAGATTGGTTTTGTTTATTTTCATTGTCAAATTTAGGCCTCTTTACAGTATTACACCCGTGGAATCTAGAAATCACTTTTTATCAAATTTTAGATCCATAGGGCTACAAATGGTTAAGCGTTGCCATCAGCCTCATATTTTAACCATTCATTTGTGCAAAAAATATCAAGCATCAAGCATCACAATGGCAATATAATTATACTACGTTCTGTGGAAGAGAATTCTAAGGAAATATAAAAAATGATTTTCTGTTTGAGAGCTGGAGCAACATGTATGAAATGTTAAAATAATAGTGTAAAATAAAAGATGATTGTGCATCATAGAAATTCAGAGAAAGGAGCAATTAGGGAGGCCTGAGATGGATTCTAGGAAGATTGAAGGATTTGTTTAGCATGAAAAGCCAGGAGAAAGTATTCTGGTAGGAGGTATTGCATGTGAAAAATAAAAGGAGTTTTGATATAATAGGTACTGGGTGAACTGCAGAAGATTTTGGAGTATTCACATAACCAATAATTTAGTAGATGTGTTCTGTGGACTAAGCACTGTGCTATACCATGGAGAAATCAAGATAAGTAAGACATTGTCCCTACCCTCACGGAGTGGGACTGTAAAGCCTTCAAGGGGAAACAAGCAATTAAGTAATTACAATTTACATTAAATTCTATAATTCAGGCAGCCTCAAAGTGCTGGGTTGACATGGTAGAAGTAGAATCTTAGGGATGTTGTGATGACATCTGTTGGCTAGAACATTAGGGGATAGATTATTCCTGTCAAGACTTCCCCTAAAACATCCAAGACTGCCCTGGGGTTGGTTCTAAGGGGAAGGGAGTGGGAGATAGGAGTAGGGGTGGTGGAGAAAGAGAGAGACAGAGATAGAGACTGATTCATCTTCTCATACGTCAAAAGTCTCAGTCAAAAAGTTCTTCCTGAAGACTCTGTTATGTTTGCTACTGTCCCTAGGTACCTATCTCCCTTGTTTGTGTCTTACCAGATAAGTAACACATCACCATCTTCATTGATTACTTATTTAAAGATAAGGAAAAAATGTGGGAACAAAGTAGTGATACATTTTCCCCTGCTTAAGGACTTGTTAATTTTTACTTTATGAAAAATAGTCTGGGCATGGTGGCTCACACCTGTAATCCCAACACTTTAGGAGGCCTAGGTGGGCAGATCACTTGTGCCCAGGAGTTTGAGACCAGCCTGGCCAACATAGTGAAACCCTAAAAATACAAAAAATTAGCTAGGCGTGGTAGTGCATGACTGTAATCCCCGCTACTCAGGAGGCTGAGCCATGAGAATCACTGGAACCTGGGCGGTGGAGGTTGCAGTGAGCCAAGATTGCGCCACTGCACACCAGCCTGGGCAACAGAGCGAGGCTCTGTCTCAAAAAATAAAAATAAATAAAACCAAAATACTAACCTAATAAAAGAAGGAGATTCTCACATTTATGTTTCTTGACCCCGTAGCTTTAGTTTACCTGCCAGCAACTGAACTTATAATAAAACAACAAAAATTAATTAACAGTAATTTCTTAGAAACCCAAAGAAAGCAACCTTCATGAAAAAACACTAAATTGTCTGGCTCCCTCACTGTAGCTTACTGCTAGGATGTGTTGGTAACTCTGAAAACATACAGAGGAAATACTGGTCTAACAGTAAGATGCTGGTCCCAGCTCCTATATTCACTACGAATGTCATTTGAGACAAGGAATTTCCTTTGTCTGAGACTCATTTTCCTTTGACTTCATGATCTCTAATTCTCCTTCCAGATCTGAAATACCATTTAGTTTTTATTTTCCTGTAACATGTTCTTGGGGAGAATACTATTTTCCTTATTTTACAACCCAGACTTCTGATAGTTAAATGGGAAGTTGTTTTCTTGGCTGGAAAATGACCAGGGAAATTCTGGGGCAGGTTTTGCTCCAGGACTTCTCTTATAGGTGTGACTAGACCAAATCCTTTGCATCATTTTTCAGATGTGAATATCCAAAAATAATTGACAAGGGCACTTTCTGGACTATCATATCTCAAATAATTCTGAGCACTTAGCAATTTATATAATGTGTGTCACCTAGAGATATTGCCTAGGAAAAGGAATCCTTTAGAATTTCTGACTTTGCAGTAGAGGACCAATTGGAGAAGAAGAGGAGTCCCTGAGCTGGTCTTGGTTTATGTCCACAACTCTTAGTTTGGGGACTGTGACAGCCCATGGTTAAGAGCACAAGCTGCCAAGCGACATGCTTGTGTTTACAGGTAATCTTGGGCAACATGCTTCCACCTCTAAGCTTTAATTTTCTTGTCTATAAATTGGAGAAATAATACCTAGCTCATAGAATTATTGCAATGCTTAAATTAAATAATAGAATGCATTTCAATGTGTAACACAGAACCTAGTACAAATGAAGTGCTCAATAAAAAATAGGTGCTTCTGCTGTTGTGACAGTGCTGGGAAATACGATTGTTGCTGTCATGTACTAGTCATCAGCCTTTTGTCTTTTCCATGGTTAATAAGAAACACCATGAGCATGCCATCTGGAAGATAATTCTTCCTTTAGTTATATTCCATGTAGTTCCTTTAAATTAATTTTGAATTAGAGTCCAAAGGGGTCTCTGTCCAACCCTGGTTCTGGGCCATGCATATGATGGTTCAGCCCATTTGGTTTCTGTTCAACACATATTTAAAAACATGTTTATTGAACATCTGTGCTCTGTTCCCCATTTATGAAATTCAAATGATCAACAAGAGATCTCCATGTCAGACTAAAATGTTATTTGTACAAGAACTGTGGTTATAAAAAGAGGAACAACTTTAAACATGGCAACTGTACTGGGCATTGTTGGTTGCCCACCCTTCGATCTCCTTTCTTCCTAAGAAAGCCCCATTTTTGTAGGTGTATCCACTTTCCCATATTCAATTCATTGACACATGAAAGCTGACTCCATCTTGATCTCCATCTAGGCCTGATTAGTGGAACAGTAATCCTCTCTCTTGTCAGTGATTGGCTGACTATGGGCATCTAGCCTTCAAGTCCTGTAAACAAAACAGTCTACATGTTCAAACCAGTTTTAGTAGAGTATTCTGTTATTTGAAGCCAAGACTATCCTGACACCCTCACTTAGCATGAATCAATTCTGTTTATAAATGTAATGGAGTTTTTCACTCCACTTTCTTATTCCTCTACAAGTTGCTCATGATGTTGGGTGGTAAATGGCTATGAATAGAGCTGGCCTAGAGATACCATGAGATATGATGGCGGAAGCCTGACCCAGAGGCATAGGCATGGCCAGCAGCCCTGTGCTCATGCTTCCCAAGTGTCACATGAAAGATATTAAGGGATGTGACTTAAAATCTTATGTAATTTAGGACAAGAAAGATTAAAAAAATATACCATTTTTTAGTGGGAATTCTGCCTCTCTCTACCCCTCTACTCACCGTTGAGGAGGTAAAGTGACATCTGATTGGTAAATCTGGGGGGAAAGGCTGGTCTCAACTTGCATATGTTCCTTTATATCTTTAGTTATAATTAATCCCTAGCCTTTAAGTCATAGGTCCTTTGAGAAGGTGATGAAAGCTATGGGTCCTCTCCCTCGAAAAATGTACATACATACTATACAATGTCAGTGTATGCACTGTCCCCTTCTACTCCCCAAATCTACCCACATAATTTATAGATCCACATATCTCAGGTTAAAAGCTCTGAGTTAAATCCCCAGAAGCTAGCTCACTAAATAGTGTAAATTGAGGAAGAAGGAAGCCTGCACAGGACAGGAATGTGATGCTGAAGGTGACTTCTAGTGGTGCCCTGGGGAAGGACATCCAATGAGGAGTATACACTATGCAGTGGGTCTGAGGAAACCACAAAGGTGAAAGGTCAGGACATCTATTAGTCAGGATTCCAGCAGGGAACGAAACCCTTCAGGTCTAAGCAAAGAGGCTTTAATGAAGAGATCACACACTGAAATGCAGGCAGGGTTAAGACAGCAAACCAGAGTAGAGTGTCAGTGCATTCAGAGACTGGCAACAGTGGAAAGGTATAACTGCCTGTAGGGCCAAAGGAGGAAGGAGAATAAATAGTGTCACTAGGCCTAGTAAGAGCTTGGATATCTACCGGGAGGAAGCAGAAGTCACACGGAAATGCAAAACTACCTCCAACTCTTTCTTTCCCTGTCTACTGATCTGCTGGTGACTCCCATTTGCTGAATTTAACTGGAAGTCAGAATACATGGGAGCTGGGGTCAGGGAGGGAGGTGCATTCCATAGGGGCAGCTTCCTGGGACACAGAGCAAGACACAGAAGGGTAGAGAATGAATATAGGATGCAAGCGGAGAATAACCAGAACAAGGGATCAGGCAAAACTGAAGAAATGAACAAGGGAAGGAGTCTGAATGATGCACGTGGGTGTTAAGGAGGCCTGGCAGGGGCTTAGTCAAGGGTACAGATGACTTAGATGTGTATTCAGGACCAAGTCCAGAAGGAGAGTGATTTGAATGTGGAAGAATGAAGACCTAACTGGGCAGGGAATTCAGACTAGAACTCACCAGAGAGGAGTTCTCTAAACTTCTGAGTAGCCAGGTAGAAACCAAGCCCCGGATGGTCAGTTAAGAGCTGTTAACCACAGACCTGAGACCTGCCCCCTGTGCCGTTAGACTGTTTTCCTGTGGAAGGGCCAAGCAGAGCCAAAGCAGTGTCCTCCAAGCCCTCCTGATTGCTTGCTATGAGGCTGTGGAACACCCTACCCTCTAAGGGTTCTAAGTGTTGGTCCTTCTTTTTGGTTTGGAAAGATGGCAGACTGGAAGAAGTGAAGGGAAAGGCCATTGGAAAAGTGATTAGCTGCTCTTGTCGTTAGGAAATAAAAGATTCATAGTTTTGTTTTCCAATTTTAATCTCTAAAGCATGAATGATTTAAAACTACGTCTAAGAGCTGGGTTTCATTTCAGCGACTTAATCACTTTTCTGATTCATTGCTATCATTAGAAGCATGTCTTCTCTAAGCCTTAAACATATACGTGAAATTGCAATTGCAAATGTTGCAAACTAGTACAGTCATGTGCTCCATAATGACATTTTAGTCATTGATGGACCACATGTATGACGGTGGTCCCATAAGATTATAATGGAACAGAAAAATTTCTGTTACCTAGTGATGTGGTAGCCATCCTAACGTTGTGATGCAAGGTATTACTCACGTTTGTGGTGATGCTAGTATAAACAAACATATTATACTGTCAGTCATATAAAAGTCTAGCACATACAATTATGTACAGTACATAATACTTTATAATGCTAATAAATGACTATGTTACCAGTTTACTATAGTATACTTTATTGTTGCTTTAGAGTGCACTCTTATTACCTATTTTTTTAAAAAAGTTAACGGTAAAACAGCCTCAGGCAGGTCCTTCAGGAGGTATTCCAGAAGGCATTGTCATTATAGGAGATGACAGTGCCATGTCTCTTACTGCCCTTGAAGACCTTCCAGTGGGACGAGATGTGGAGGTGGAAGACAGTGATATTGATGATTCTGACACTGTGAGACCTAGGCTAATGTGTGTTTGTGTCTTAGTTTTTAGCTAAAAATTTCAATAGTAAAAAAAATAACAATTTAAAAAACATAAAAAGCTTATAAAATAAGGGTATAAAGAAAGAAAATACTTTTGTACAATTGTATAATGTGTGTTCTAAGCTAAGAGTTATTACAGAAAAGTTAAAAACTATTTGAAAATTTTAAAGTTTATAACATTAAAAAGTTACAGTAAGTGAAGGTTAATTTGTTATTGAAGGAAAAATATTTTAAAATACATTTAGTGTAGCCTACATGTACAGTATTTATAAAGTCTACTTTATAAAGTGAATGTTCTAGGCCTTCACATTCACTCGCCACTCACTCCCTGACTCGTACAGGGCAACTCCCAGCCCTAAAAGCTCCATTCCTGTAAGTGTTCTCTACAGGTGCACCACTTTTTATTTTTTATGCTGTATTTTTAGTGTACCTTTTCTATGTGTAGATATGTTTACATACAAAAATGTGTATTATTGTGTTACAATTGCCTACAGTATTCAGTAGAGTAACATGCCACACAGGTTTGTAGCTTAGAGCAATAAGCTATACCATATAGCTTAGATATGTAGTAGGCTATACCATCTAGGTTTGTGTAAGTACACTCTATGATGCTCATACAATAACAAAATTGCCTATTTCTCAGGACATACCCTGTCATTAAGCAATGCATGACTGTATGCTTAATGCTGGTGGGGAAAGGGGTGTGTATTTTTTGTTTGAGCAGAGCTATCGTATGGAGCTTGAAAGCTCAGCATCCAGAGTCAAGTTGCCCAGGCATATGATACCAGAAAGGTGGTAGAGTGCAACAGTAAAGCACACAGAGCTATCATCATTCTAACATTTTAAAACTGAAACACAATAGGCACTTTGCAGAAAAGTATGTCTAAGAAGTAAACTCTGGCCAACTGCCTGTTTTTGTACATAAAGCTTGATTGGAACATGGAATCACCAATTCATTTACATGTTGTTTATGTATGCCTTCACCCTATAAAGGCAAAGTTGAGTAGTTGCCATAGAGACAATATGCTCCACAAAGCCCAAAATAGTTACTATCTGGCCCTTCACAGAAAATGCCTGCCAACTTTGGCTCTAGACTGGAAGCTAAACAGCTCCTAAATGATATAGCTGGCCATTATATATAATTTAGAGCAGAGAGTAGAGACAAGTTTGTTGGAGCCAGTTGAATTGAAGAGGAATTAGGAGAATGCAAGCCACAGTACAATTTTTTAAAATTATAGTTTCCCTCATGTGTATTTCAAAATGCTATAATTAATTGCCATCTATGTAAACAAAAATGGGAAATTAAACATAGCGTTTAAAGAAAAGTAGAAAAGTAAAACATCAGCATGTGTGTAATTTATTTTCCTAATCTTGTAATCTGAGATTATATGTGTTTCAAAGATAAGAAAAATTAAATCAGAAAGAAAAATCCCTATGCTTAGTTTAAAAGATGATGTGTAAAATACATCATCCATTACCCTTGATAAGACAGCAGTCTGAAAAAGAAAATAAAAGAATGACTCTCCATCTTGACTGAAAATAATGGGTCAGCATAATTAAATGATCTAACTTGATCTTGAACTGACATTTCAAATTTGTCTTCATCAGCCAAGCCTTTGAAGTTCCACAGGGGCATAATTTTAATACTGGGACTTTCAAGAGCTTTCTAAATAGGTCAACATCTTTTATAATCTTCAGGCCGTCACTGGATATTTAGGATATTTGTTGGGAAGAGCAGGTGTTCTTTTGAACCTCCTCCTTTGAAAAACAAAAACAAAAAGCAAACAGTAATTCCACCTGATGGTATATTATGACAAGCCTAGAATTATCAACGGCTTGTGAAGAAAAAGAACCAAATAGAATGCACCCTTGACAGTACATTCAGTCAAGACTTTTCCACTTCTTAAGCCACCCTTAAGCCAATATTAATTTACATGTTGAGATGGTAGCTTCTCTCCAACTGGGACACCCCCTTGTGTTATAAACAGAAGTCCCCTTGCATGTTCCATTTAAATTTGTATGTAATTTTATAATTGTTGGACCATCAGCTAGGATATATATATATATATATATATATATATATATCCATCCCAGATAACTGAAAATAAAATAAAAAAGAAAGCCTTCAAGTGGGTGGGGAGTTGGGCTAGTGTTAAGGAAAAATATATTTGTGTATTTGTGATGCTTACAAAAGACAGTAAGAACGACTTTATTCAAGGGGCTACTATCCTTGTAGGTACAAGGACTACTGCAGTGATGTCTTGCAGTAGGGTAGAGAGATCAGGCTCAACTTTGAATATACCATGGGCAAGTGGGAATTTCTACCCAAGGAGAAGGGTAGGGGTCATTGATGGAACATCTGAGATATGAGGAAATTCTAGCTAAACTGGCCTACCAGGATTCCTGCTGAAGTCAGGCCAGGTGATCAGACATCCCTGGGTTGGGGGGTGGTGTGATGGAGGATGAGAAGCCAGATTAGATATCAAAGGTGATGAGATATAAAGGACGACACATTCAAAAACCAACTTAGCAGAATTCTTGCTAAACAGGTCAATGCAGAGAAGAACATGAAAGTCCGAAAATCAAGGCCTAATTGAAAAGTTTTGGGAAGCCTGAGTAGAGTTTGGACAAGGAGAGAATCCTTGTCACTGGAAATAAGGAACTGAATGGAAAAGTGAGAGTTAGAGTATGGCCAGTGATCTTTGGAATTTTTGCCTGGAGGGGCCTCAGAGAAATGGCCTCTTCTTACAGTGTCAGGAAGATGCCTGGATACTTCAGGCAACCTGAGTTTAGAATTTTTGCCTGGGGAGACATTTGAAAAGGTCTTGCACTTCACCAAGTTCAGAGTACATGAAAGTGGGATTTATTTCGAGTTGGGAATGAAAGAGGAAGAAAGCAAGAAAGGAAAGTGGGCTTCTTAGGGTAGTAGTCAAAGGTACAAATTGAGAAGTAACCACGCTGTATTGGTTCTGGGTGATTGCTTTGGCTGTAGGAAATAGTAGTTACAATCCCAGACCTTGAATCAAGCAACTTGAATTCAAATCCTGGCCTCACACATTCTAGCTGTATAATCTTGAGCAACTTACTTAAGCCTCCCTGCACCTCATTTCCTCATCCATAAACTGGGGACAGTAATAGTACCTACCTGGGTCAGTTGTTCTGAAGATTAAGCCAAATAATGCAAGTAGAGCACCTAGCTAGCATAATGCCCAACACAAAGAAAGTCACCAATAATGTTAGCCATTATTATTTAAGATGCGTTATATATAGCCTGTCCTATGGAATTCCTAAACTATAGTCAATTAATTGTTTGCTCATCAAATAACTAGCTAAGAGCAAGATACCTGATGATTTACAATAAAAGAGGGGAAATGAGGAATTATCAAATATGTTGAGCTTTAAGTATAAAATTTGAGACTATAAAATGAGATCTTAAATGCTTAGATAAGGAAATAGATCATTAGAAGAAATTGACAATTTCCTGTTGAAGGATAGCAATATTTTGTCATATACCTTATAGCAGCCGTCTCCAAACTTTTTGGCACCAGGGACTGGTTTTGTGGAAGACAATTTCTCTTTTTTTTCTTTTTTTCTTTTTCTTTTTCTTTTCTTTTCTTTTCTTTTCTTTTTTGAGATGGAGTTTCGCTCTTGTTGCCCAGGCTAGTGTGCAATGGCATGATCTCGGCTCACCGCAAACTCCACCTCCCAGATTCAAGCGATTCTCTCACCTCAGCCTCCCGAGTAGCTGGGGTTACAGGTGCCCACCACCACGCCCAGCTAATTGTTGTATTTTTAGTAGAGACAGGGTTTCACCATGTTGGCCAGGCTGGTCTCAAACTCCTGACCTCAGGTGATCCACCCGCCTTGACCTCCCAAAGTGCTGGGATTATAGGTGTGAGCCACCGTGCCTAGCTAGAAGACAATTTTTCTACAGATGGGGTGAGGGGGATGGTTTTGGGATAATTCAAGTGCATTACATTTATCATGTACTTTATATTATTATTACATTGGGGAAAAATAAGCTGGGCAGAGGGATAGGAAGTATCAAAGTGCGATTAGGGCTGCAGTTTTAGGAAGGGTAGCCAGGGAAGTCTTCATGAAGGTGATAGTTGAGTAAAGACTTGAGATAAAGGGAGCCATTTATGTTGGTACTTGGAGAAAGAGCATTCCAGGTAGAGGGAACAGGCTGGTGAGTACCTGGCTGGTTCAAAGGACAGCAAAGAAGCCAGTGTGGCTGGTGCAAAGTGAGCGAGAGGGAGAATGTTAGGAGACAAGGGCATTTCTTCCAGGAACCTTGGCATGCCAAGGACTCCAGGGAATGTGGGGCCTTCCTTTCCTCTGAAGGTTAGCAGTTTGGGGAGCAGTTGGTGATAGCACCCTTTGCTGGGGTACCAGAACTTTCAGGGTGGGCACCAACAGTCAGCATCCTCCAGGTGGATGAGAGGAAAAGAGAAAGCACATAGCATGCATGATGTTGCAAAGACTAAATGATGAATTTGTGAGACGACCCCTAGGGTCTCAGGCCAAGCTGTGTGAGGCTAAGCAGGCAGCTCAGTCTCCGCGTAAGCACATGGAAACAAGAGTCTGTGGAGTGTGGGTTACTCAGTTACCCACAGGCTAGGTAGTATTGGAGAACTTGGAGATATGTCAGATTATGCAACTTACTGATAACCCTGCCTAATAATTTTAATAATCAGCTTGCCTTTCCAAGCCTTTTCCCTTTTCTGATCAGTGTACTTTTGGAAGTGATATTGAAAGGGCCAAGCCAAGTCTGGGTTTTTATCTACCATCACAATAAAACCAAGGAGGAAATTTACATTTTGAATGTAAATTGAAAATGTGATCTGCTTTCCCATGTCATACCTTTGTTCCCCACCCCTTTATTTAGTTCTCTCTAAAGGTTAGCCAACATAAAGAGATTTATGGGACAACTCTATATATTGCACGGAAGAATTGGGAAGCACTTTGAAATGAGCCAAAATGATGATTGGGTGTCTTAGTGAACACTGGGGTTGTGGAACACACCCTTTCAGGTCATCTGTAGAAACAGATAGGGTCTCTAGGTTTTTCATCGTCTTTGAGCGATTTAAGATTCAGTGAATTTTTTTCTGGTGCAAATTCAATTTGTATTCCTACCCTACTATGGAAGAAGCAAGTTTTGCATGCATTAACCAAATTTATTTCAGTATTCCTAATGGCTTATATATATGTATGCTCTTTGGATTCTCCTTTAACCTGGCTTTAACATCTTACTGGTTGCCTTATTAATTAATGAGTTGAATAAAGCCTAGCATTTTTTTTATTTGCATGAGAATCATTATTTTACTTTTTAAAAATTATCACCTTTCAGTCATACTTTATAGTTATACCTCTATAAACTAAATGATAGAGGTAATCCCCAACGATAAGAAACGAATGCCAAAATTAAATACAGTAATTTTTCTGCTGTGCTAAGTAATTCATTTCATTTCTTTTGTTTCAGGGCTGAGCTCCTAGATGCTTTCATAATTAAGAACAGGTTATAAATAATAAATTATAAGTCATGCTCATCTTTTCAGCTAAATTCCTATTCATGTCTTTAGAATTTTTTCTTTCCTACTTACTGTTATTTACTACCCTAGTTTCTTGCTGTGAGCCTGGTTTAGCTTTTCTCTTTTTTTGTAAGAAAAAAAATACATTTTTAAAGTGAAATTTATTTAATTGAAAATTTGAAGATTAGAAATGATGTCTCTTTCCAAAGTCCCCAAAGATACCAGGTGGCTCAAGTATCATACATTGTCCTCCAGCTTGGTGCTCAGCTAAATTATACTATGCACATATGAGAAACCTAGAAATGTAATCATGATACACACAAGACAAGAAAGCCAAATGAAACAGCCCAATCAGACATGTAGTGTTCTTCAATACTCTTTGAAATTAAATGATGAATTATTCATTTCTGCACCAGAAAAGGTGATGGCTTGCACAGCAGTTTGAGTTTCCTACTTATTCCCACTTTATGCTTCTGGATTTCTTTTTCTGAAGATTTAATTATTCTATTATTTCAAAAGGCATAATTCTTATTTCAAAAGGCATAATTCTTAGTGCATGCCACTAAGTAGGAGTCCAACTTCCTGTTAAAAAGTCCAATTTAAAAAGTTAATTTTAATAATTTCTGCACAATACAGGTACCAGGTATAATAAACGGTAGTTCAAAATCTGCATATCATTAATGCTTCATCCCCTGATAAGAGGAATGAGCTAAAGCAGGTTTCACTGGGTTTTCCATGGGTATGCAGGAGCCTAGGATGCCTGGATACATTTGAAAATATGTATTTTTCCATCAACAATGAAAATGCATATGAAGGAATTGCTGCAAAGTAACTTGTCTTCTCTCTGTGATCATTAAGAAAATATCGGCTGGGTCCATGTGTCATCATCCTGACTTTCCTTAGGTTATTTGGACTTTCCCTCTGGAAACCAAGTTACAGTTAAAGAAGGAAAAACTATAAAATGGGAATACAGAACCATGACAGAATCAGTTTTGTAGTGTAATGCAGGCTCTAATAAAAGAAATGATCAACTTTCTGTATAATGAGTTTGTGAAGATATAAGGTTGCCACCCCTTGAGGATTTGTTTGGTTTGTCATCCCATTGACTAACATTTTCTTATAGGGAATGTGTAGATTACCTTATAATACCTTATATTATATATACCAATATATAATATGTTATATCCTTATATTATACCTCCAATACCTCATATTACCTTATAATCTTACAGCATCTACAATTTGCAGAAAATTCTAGCTGATTCATTCATTTCTCTTAAACGACATCCAAACTGTTTGAATTCACTCCCCTTGAGTGGGAAAAAGAAAAAGACGATATTTTTTTCCCTACTTAAATATAAAGTCATTAGTCACTTAGGTTCCAGAAGTGGGGTGACACATCTATAGCATGTATATCGTGACTACCCTAAGTTGGGTCTTCCCAATCATGATCTTGTTTTATTCTAGACCTCAGAATCCTTCTAAACACACTAGTTTATATGAATTTATCAAAGTCAGTTTGTGAAATGAAACTTTGAATTTCAAATTCCAAGACTTGAATAAAGATTTAAGTTTCAAATTCCTTGCTTATTGATGTTTTTCTCTGTCTCTTAAAACTTTCTCTGCTGAAATTCTCCAAACCATGATGATAGATGTTTGAAAAGTTCAGATAAAAATATATAAATTCTCAGGATTTTATCCAGCTAAAGATAAATGACCATGGGATTAACTGCAAACTCCTCTTTAGGTATCAACAATATCTCAAATCTTTTTAATCTCTAAAATAAAACCTTTAGGAGCAGTGACTCCATAATAGCAAACAACCTCTCCTACCATCAAGGTAAGAGGTCAAGAAAATTCAAACTAATCCAATATCAATAAATCTAGGTATCACTTCACCCCATGAAAAATTGGCACCTAGTTCTTAAATAAAGTATGCTATAAAAAGTGTTTATTTAACAAACTTTAAACGAAGTCATTTTCATTAAGAAGATATGCCATTTTGTTTCACTGCAATCTAGACGTATTTTCAGGTTCCCTTGGTTAAGTCAAGAGCCCAATGCAGCATCAACATACTTTTAAATAGGTTGTCCAATCTGTTGTTTTAGATAATAACAATAGTCAAACTAGTTCTTTTTTTCTTTCTGAAAACAAAAAGCAGTTGGAGGGGTGAATGTTTTACCTTTCCCCTGGAGTTGTGGCATTATGGAAGCCCAGTGTGGCCTGGGAGTCAAAGGTGACTACAGATTCCTCCATCTTTAGCTACTCTGCTGGGCTTCTTGTGCACAGAGGTTTCAGCTCATTCATTCCCCCTTTGATTTCTGGTCTCATTACATGCAGACTCTCCTTTCTCTCACCCTTCCCCCAGGATAGAGTTCTCCATGTCACTTCTTATGCTCTGGGCCTGCTGTGCATCCAAATTGATTTTCACTTTTCCATGTCAAGGCTGCAATCCATATGGAAATTCTGGAAGCACAGAGGTGTTCAGAAATTTGTTTGAAACAAGATCTAGCCTTAAACCACTTTGTGATTTAAGGAGCATCCAGATGTTTAGACATAAAACACTATTGCTGTGATTAATTGAATGGTTTTTCTGAATACTCAAGTTTTACACATACATGGGGGTAGGGAGAAGGCCTGTTATTATACCTTCACTATTCAACCTCCATTGTACAAAATTCATGATCATTTTAAAAACATACATTAGAACTGCATTTAAGAGTTCACCCTTCTCTCCATTATCAACAAGTAAGTCACATTTCTAGATTACTTCCCACTATAGCAAATGAAAGCTCATTAGATAGAACCAATACAGATTTGTGTTCATTTGGCTATTTGGTACCAAACAAATTGTTGATTGACCACTTAAAAGCAGAACGTATCCACTTGTTTTTGTACCTTATAAGTCCAGCCTCTGCTGTCTTTTATCCTCAGTTTCTTAAAACAGTGATGATTTCTTCAAAATAGTTTCTCAGTAAGATTTTTTGTCTCCCTCTCTTATCTACATCAAGCCCTCTTTTTTTTTTTTTTTTTTTTTTTTTTTGAGACGGAGTCTTGCTCTGTCGCCCAGGCTGGAGTGTAGTGGCACGATCTCGGCTGACTGCAAGCTCCGCCTCCCGGGTTCACACCATTCTCCTGCCTCAGCCTCCGGAGGAGCTGGGACTACAGGTGCCCACCACCACGCCCCGCTAATTTTTTTTGTATTTTTAGTAGAGATGGGATTTCACCATGTTAGCCAGCATGGTCTCCACCTCCTGACCTCATGATCCGCCCACCTCGGCCTCCCAAAGTGCTGGAATTACAGGCTTGAGCCACAGCGCCCGGCCTACATCAAGCTCTCTTTAAACCCAGGTCTCTTAAGACCTTGGTATAGAACGTGGTTCATGGACCAGCAGCATCTGCATAACCAGCAGCAACTGCATAGTTGGTTTGAAATGCAGAATCATATGCCCCACCCTAGAATTTTCATTTTAACAAGATCCCCTGGGGGATCTCATCACATTAAAGTTTGAGAAACACTAGGTTTAGGAAGGCTAGGAATTTTTCAGAGCCTATTAGTAGTTAGAACAAAAAGACAGGATTTGTGTCAAGTGAAGGACAAGAGATATGGTGGTGGAAAGCACCTGGGCTTTGAAGTTAGACACACCTAGATTCAAATCTTGGGTCTTGTTCCTTTAGGTCTGGAAACAAAAGATTTGTGATCTCTGAACTTTGGTTCTAGCATCTGTATATTGTGACTTATCAAACTTTTTTTTTGGTGAAAATTAAACGAGATATGATCACACAAACAGGATATATTCATTGATAGCTGATGCTTAATACATGTTAATATTCGTTTACTCATTCAGTCCCTACTATATGCTTCTTCCTCGTTCTTAATGGTTGTCTTTTCAGCATCCCAAATCATTCAGAGCATGATTATGCACTGTTTTATATATTCAGACATGTCTTGAATGTATCTAAATATATAGGCCCAGAAAAATGATACATAACCAAATTCATAAAATATAAACAGTTGAAAGATTTTGATTAACTACACTGGAGGATTCTGATAGAATTAGAATGAAATTAGTGTTGGAATTAGCATGTGCTCCAATATTTCTGCTTTCCTACAATTTGACTGACAAATATCTTTAGACTCTAGGCCGAATGTTGACATAGATGAAGTACATCTTTGCTGTCTTCTCACTTCTCAGGCCATCTTCTTTGCGTTTTAGAGCCCAGTCCCTGTCTCTGTATCACACCGGAACTGTCGAAAAGCTGTGGGGCTGATAATTACAGCCCTGTGCTACTATTTTTCTCCATGTGATTTTTCTTTTCCAACAAAAGTCACTTGTTCTGAGCTCTGTACTTTCCAGTGTCAAGGTTGGGCACCTGTTACGCCTTAGAGCAGTGGTTTTCAAAATGTGATTTCAGGACCAGCAACAGCACCAGCTGGGAACTTGTTAGAAATGCAAATTCTTATGCCTTACACTAGATCCGATGATTCAGAACCTCCACAGGTGAGGCCCAGAAGTTTGTGTTTTAATTCTGATGTGCTCAAGTTTGGGAACTAACTACATGAGAACTAACTATAGAATGGAATAAACTGTGGGACTCTAAACACAGCAGGATTTTCTAGCTGTAATAGTCCCCCAGACGTCACCTAGTTTAGTGGTTCTCCACCCTGGCTGCATATTGGAATCACCTGGCAGCTTTAAACGACACCAATGCTTAGGTCCCAACCCTGGATGTTAGAATTTAATTGGCCCAGGGTGTAGCCTGGGCATTGGGATTTTTCTTATCTCCCAGGTGATTCTAAAGTACAGCCAGAGCTGAGGACCACTGATCAAGACCAGCCCTAGCAGCATATTTAAATCACCTGCAAACTCTAACAATACCTACCTCTCCTATCTCAGACCAATTGAAACTAAATCTCATGGGGCCTGAGCATCTGTAAGTTGTCAAAAGTCCTCTTCCCTGATACATGGGGAGGTTGAGAGTCACTCATCAAGTGTAGCGCTCTCACTTTATAGATGAAGAAACATGGAAAATTCTTCCCCAAAAGCCCATGATCAGGGCTTAGTTCCTGCTGATGTTCCCCCTCCTCCTGGGCATTCATATTTTAACTGAGGACATTTTAAATAAGAGTAGGGATGGGAGACTCTCAGGCCCTTCCACCACCTTTGGAGATATCTGGGGGCCTGGTGTCTTCCCCTCCCCTGCCACTGTCCCTGCTCTGAGCAAGCTGTCCCAGGGAAGCCCTGGGGAAGTGTGCTCATGATAGTGAGCAGGAGGCCTCCAGCATGATCATTACTGGAGTGTATTTTTCATTGATTTGATAAATTCTGTTTTACTCCATGGGATTTACAAAAGTAGGAGAAAGGATTTCTGCAGCAGGGTCTAATTCTGCTTTAAAATGCCACAACCATCTTTCCTAGGACCACAGAAGTGCTTTTGCTTAGATAAATGTCATTCTAGACCTAGGGCGTCACCGGGATTATAACGTTATTGAATTTTCCGTCTGTACCTCTAATTTGCATGTTGCAAAAATAAACTAAAGATTTTATACAAAAATTAGTTCTGAGGTGACCGGATAGATTTTTCCAATTCACATTAAGCCAGTGTATCCTCTGGTGAGGGAAAGGAAAGATAATACCTCGTCTGGAAGCTGGAAGAGACTTCACCTAAATTTCTTCCTGCCCTGGACAAGGTGAAAGCGAAAGTACTTTAAATTAATGTTTCCTTGCCCTAGCTGCTTCTTTATATTGTCTGCATTTCCCAAGCAATTTTCAATTCTCCTTGCCAACTCCTGCTAGAGTGTTAGTACCCTAGTTAATAAGTTATTATGAACAACTAAAAGCATCCCAGCTTCAACATGTACTAGCTGTGTGACCTTGACTGTGTCAACCCTGCTGAGCTTCTGCTCCTCTATCTCTAAAACAGGAACACTAGGACCTCCATCATAAAGTTATTGAGAATAATGGAGAGTATATATGGGTTTTAAAGCACTCAGTGCCTGACATGCAATAAGCAATATATAAATGTTTGATGTCTTATTACCATTGCACATTTCCTTTTATCATCTTCTCCAAACATAAGGAAAACAACTGACCAGTAGACTCTTCATTAAAAACAAAACAAGAAACATACATTAAAATTATTAACTGTTACTAATAACTTACCCATATCTAAGACCTGATTTTCATTTCATGAATGATCTTAGTGACTCTTTTTTTGAATCATCTCCAAATTTCCATTTGAATTTTAATGGCATAAGCAGAAATGGACACTTCTATCGGGTCTGATTACTGTCTGTTTTAGTGAGAAACTCCATATTTAGCCATCTGAATTTCATTTAGTTGCCCTGAAGTTTATCTTCAGCTAGGATGGCCAACCATTCTGGTTTGCACAGAACTGAGGGACAAATTTTTCTACCCCATCTTCAGCCTGTGGCCAGCTGGGCCCTTATGTCTTGGCAGAGGCAGCCTGATATGGCAGCCTGCTCCACTAAAAATTCCTTAATCCTGAGATACCCAAATACCTGGCAATGGCAGTCTGCACAGCTGGAGAGGGTCAAATTTACCCCAACAGAATTACAAGAACTGAATGGGTAAAGACTGGCTTCAGAAAGTAAATATTGGGAAGACCAGAATATTCTCTCTACTTAATGATCCACCTGTTGAACTTGATAGGTCCTTTAGCCCCCTTGGAACTTCGCTTTTCTTATTTGGTAGAATGGGTATAATATAATGTTCATCTGACAGGGCAGTTGACTGATCTGAAGAAGCAATATCTGTGTTCCTCCGTAAGTGTTCATTGCATACAGGCCCTGAGTTAGACTCTCATTTCTCCCACTTCCTCATTCTTTGACCTTTGGCAAGTTTCCTTCGTTCTCTGAGCCTCCCATTTCTCATCAATGAAATTGGGCATCACAGCACCTCCCTTACAGGGCTTTTCCAGCCCACCTGAGGCACGAACCTGTGCACGTTCACATCCATCCAAGCCTCTGCCCTGACCACACCAGTTGCATCCATATCTGAAAGGAGTGATTTCCCCCAGGAGGTTTCTAATTGGCTGAAAAAGAGGTTCTCAGCCTTGGATGCACATTAGAATCATTTGAGGACACGTAGGAAAAAAAAATGCCACCCTCCAGGTTTCCCTCCAGACCAATAAGTCCAAATCTCAGAGGGTAGCTCAGAGGGTTTAAACATCACTTTCTAAGTTTTCACTGGGCTTGAGGGAGGGCACAGAGCTCCCCACAAAGAGCAGGTATCAAGAGAGGCCCATCACTGACCCCAGACTTGTCCATGAATATCAGAGAAGGAATTCGAATCAAGCCCTGGCCTTTGATATGTGTCAGTTCAGCTTACTGATCCGGGCAGGTTTGTGAATAGGAGCCTATAGACTGTTCCCTCTTTTCCAGGCGTTCCACTTCTTCAGTTGGTCTCCAATTTACTGGCCCTGTTTCCATAAGCACCTTGTAAAGTAAGTTCACCACATGAGTCTTTTCTTGTCCTTAGGAGGGCTCATGTCTGTGTCTGTGTCTGTGTCTTTACAAACAGATGCTCTAAAGTCACTCTGTATCCTCCCCCTTGCTGAGCAAGCCCTTCGGAGGCAGCAGGATGGGGTGCTCCAGCCAGCTGGGTTAGTAGAGAAGGCATCAGCCAGCCCAAGTGGAGCAGCATGAGGTTCCTTAGCCACACAGGCCAGGCCTGGAAATATCCCCATTATTTCCTCACTTCGATTTTCAAGCAGTTTAACCAGAGGACTTTCTTAGGGTGGATCTACCTCAGGAGATAAGACCAAACTTTATCTGAGTCACAAGTTTTTGTTCTACACCATTTCATTCTCTGCCTTCTTTGGCACTCTTGAAACTGGCTAGTTTCTTAGGTAACCCAGCAAACAATGGAAATAACAAAACTGAAGATTTCCCAAAGTTCCATTAAAGACTGGCCACTTTGTGACACTGAGATTTGGGTGATATATTGCCTAGTTGGAGCATCAGTGTTTTTCAAAGCATTTTAAGCTGTAGGGTCTGAGCTGAGTGGGTCTGGGTTTAAACATGACCTCCTAGAGGGAGAACGGACATAGACATTATCACAAACATCTTAACTTATAGAAGAAGATGTCAAGGGCTGGCACTGGAAGACACTAGCCCAGGTGGCAGGCTTCCTTGACCAGTCGAGCTGGAGCCTCATTCCCAGCCTCCTGTTCAGAGTGGCTTCTGATAAACACTGGAGCCCCTATTAAGGGGCTTCTAGAACTTACTAGTGATCCATGAGCCACTTGTTTCTGCATCTTCCTATGGGGGAAGAGACTCCATAGTTTCCATCATGTTCACAAAGTGGCCTGTGATCCAAAATAGCTAGTTTTCTAGCCCTTTTCATTATAAGAAGTTTACTTTAAAAATTCATTCATAATGATTAGTATACATATTTGGGGGGTATTAAAAAGACAGTAATTATATTACCATGCCAGTTCTACCAGTCACAAGTATGAACAGGTTGAGTGATTGATGAAGGCTTTATGCCATAGCTTGTTGTATTTCCACTACTATGAACAATTGCTAGGAAATTCTTAGGGTTAGCTAATGTCCATTCCAATACAACCTAGGAATTATTTACAAATTTAATGTGGCATTCTGCCTAACACACACACACACACACACACACACACACACACACACACACACACACATATATAATCTTTTTCCTGAGAAGTCTCTGCAGGTTTTCTAGAAGATTAGAAAGCTCATAATAAATATTTTGTTCAATAATTGAAATGTGCTTTATTGCCATTAACATGGCAAGCCATCTGTGAGAAGATTGTAAAACATTTAAACATTGGGTGCTAGTTGGACAACGTTGTGAGATTTTAAAGCACTTAAACATTGGGTGGCAAGATCAGTGACTACATTGGCCTCACTTTGCTATCACCTGGGAGCTTTAAAAGAGACTGATTCTGGCATCCTACTTCTAGAGATTCTGACTTAATTGGTCCAGAGTATGATCTGTGCATCAATATTTTTTTAACTTCTCATTTTGAAATAATTACAGACTCAGGAAGTTGCAAAGGCAATACAGAGAGGTTCCTTGTACCCTCCATTCAGCTTTCTCCAGTGGTAACATCTCTCATAACTCCAGTCCAGCATCAGAGTCAAGAAACTGACATGGGAATAATTGTGTTAAATAGAAGACCACAGAACTTATTTAGATTTCACTAGTTTGAGTGTCAGGACACGTCACAGCTCCCCAGGTGATTCTACTAAATAGTCAGAGTTGAAAACTTCTGCCGAAAGTGCTGTTTAGGGTTTCTTCTAACCATGAGTCAGGGATTCTACACACACACACACACACACACACACACACACACACACACACACACACACAGTAAAATAACACACCATACACATGTACATGTGTGCAAGTGCAGACCACATCATGCATAGGCATCCTGAAAACTTGAGACTTTTAATAACATTGCAGGATTAAAGTGACTGACATTTAAAAGGAAACTTAACTCCTGGAAAACTGTACTTCAAAATTGTACAAAATATATTCTGGTTTGTATCCCATGTCAAACAAAAGATGTCTGCCATACCCGAGAAAGTAAACCAGGGCTTATGACTCCCAGAATTAAAGTCCATATTAGTAATGAGAAGAAAAATCCATGGGTTTTAAAATGTCATTTATGCATGCAATTTAGGTCTTAAAGCCTGATAACATGGTAAGATACTTCTTGCATGCATAATTATGTTTATAAAATTGCCATTTATCATGCTCCAAATGCATGTAAGCAACTGCTGTTCTCTGTAAATAAATCAGTGTTTCCTTCTCTGCCGCCTGGGAAATTAAACACTGTCCTGGGCAAGTTTCCATACTTTTTCCTCTTTAAAAAGAGTTGAAATAGGTATTAATCAGTGAAGCAGTGGGAGTAATGAATAACCCTCACATCTCATCCTAGCGTCTACTCTCCGGTATTAACTGCAAGGTTAAATAGGGACATTTGTAACCATAACAAGCCCCAAGCTGAACTTAAGTCAGGGTACAAGAACTTAACCCCCATCTTACACAAAGAGTAGATTTCTTCTTATCTGGGATAAAATTTTCATCAAGATACTTTTGGAATTTATTTACTAAGGATTGTCTGTGCAGGATCTGTCAGATTCCAGTTGCTCCCACCTGCACCTGCACTGTCTCTAGATACTGGTATCTCAAGTTCTTTCAAATTCTCTCCTCCCCCACACCCAAAAAGCAAAACCCATTGTCCCTGGGTTTTCAGGTACACGATGAGAAAGTACCCATTTGCAATTGTTGTACCTTGAGTGCTTGTCTCAAAAACTACCAGGAAGAAGCTCAGGCCCAGAAAAACAAAAACTGGTTGGATCCAGAGATGCCTGAGCTGGAGATGAACTTTGGCAAACTCCCCTCATTACCATACTAAAAACCCACCCAGGGAGGAGCTTATTTGCCATTTTCTACACATGTGACACATGATTGGCAGCTGCGCCTGCACTGCCTTTACTCCACCTCTACATGGAATGACTCAGCTAACTAACCCAATAAAAGCCCTGTTTCACCTTTATTTGGGGAAGCACTGCCCTGGGAGCTATGCCTGGTGTCCTCCTCACTTGGCAAGTAATAAAATCATCTTGTTAAATCCTCCTTGTCTGTGGTCATTGGACTGCCACCCACCAGGCCATCCAACCTGCCCATCGTGTGGGTTACAGTTTCAGATGAGAAATGGCTGACTCTTGTCTTCAGAGACCTCCCTGGACTCCTTATCTGTGTATCTTCTTCCTTTACAGTGACAGGACCTTTTTTTCCCCTGATTCCTCCAGGGTACTCAGTGTCCTCATGTTCCCCTGACAACTTCCTGTTTCTGGCCTGGATCCTGGGTCTCCCAGGGGAATTTTACTTAGATGAGTTCCATAAAGTTCTAGAGCACAGTGAATGTTTCAGTCAGTTTTGAAAATATTCTTTCTACCTAATATTTTGAGGAGAGGTTCAGGTCTGGAATGGCATTTACAGGAGCCCAGCAAGGCTCCTGGTGACCTGGAAGTGACTGTGATGGAACCTCGTGTACATCAGCCAAGGGGAGAGGCCGATGAAGCCTCCTGATTCTGATTATATAACTTTCCTGCTCTGGTCTCAGGCCCCAAAACTCAGTCCTCAGAGGGGAAGGAGGACGGGGTGGGATGGAGGGAAATGGACCATTCTCAGAGATTTGGGTACAAATCATCATTTCCTCCTCTTTGCTACACTTATTGATCCATCTTTTTATTTTCTTACTTAATTAGCTGTGAATTTGTAGCATCCTGAGTAAATTCATTTGAACATGTTGATTATCGTAGATCAACTGGATTAAGACAACAATATTTTGGATATTACCAGATTAAGCCTTTCCTGTGAACAGAGAAGGTGCTTGACTAATTATCATGATTTCAGACATCCCAGGAGAGGCCTCCTTAGAATGTCCTTAGCCCACTGGGGAATACCTTAATGTATACTCTTATGTTCATGGCTTATGTTTGTGGGGGTAGTGGGTGGCTGTTGAAATCAAACTATATTCTTAGACAGGTTACATTATTTTAAAGGTGCGTGTCTTTGATTTACATCTTAATGGAAGGTATCTGACCTTTTCTAGAGGCAAGCATTGAACAGAGGGAAGAGGTAAAGATCAAAGAACACTCTAAGTAAACTACACTGAGTTCCTGGGGACACAAAAGGGAATTCTAGAGGGCTGGGAGCCACAGAAAAATGTCACCTTCCTCTCAATTTCCTCGCTTCCCAACTGCCACACCATGGTCATAAAAATAAACAAAACCAGTCTGTGCCATCAGCTTCCTGGACCATCTAGGACTGCATGCAGATGCATTTTGTTTTGTTCATCCATCCTTGCCAGTGGTATTTATTATCTGGATCCATTGAATCACTTATTTTCCTGTCTGTGAGCTGGCCTATTTTGCCAGTTTGATGATGTGTGCTGTTTACTAGAGGAGCTATTAAATTTCTCACCTGTGTATCTTGTGAGAGCTGCAGCTAGAAGATAAAGCTTCTTGGAGTGTGGAGCATTGGTATGTGAGAGATTTTCAAGGACATGGCTTCCTTCAAATCCCTGCTACACAATCTAGATTAGAATCTAAATAAAACATCCACACTAGCTATCCTTATAGGTTTCAGCAGTCCATCATAACAAGATTAATTCCAGGCTGGAAACATTTTGACTAGGATGCTAGATCATTAACAGGTTTTATATGCTGAATTAAAACTCAGATATCACAAAGAATTGCCTAAAAGGGAACAGGAAGCCTTGGTTGTGAAGTGTCAAATGCTGGAAGGATTCTGTCAATACTTGACAATAGCTAGCAAAGGTGTAAGAACATGAACTTTGGGGCTAAACATGGCTGGGTTGAAATCCTGGCCTCATTTACCAGCTTGGTGACTCTAGGAAAGTTATTTGACCTCTGCATTTTATCCAATAATGCCACTGCAAGGTATTGATCATATAGATATAATGATAATAGCTAGACTATATACCCTTTTTTGTCACTTTATATGTTAATTTGTTAAGCCTCCCAACAACCCAAGAAGGTGATACTATTATCATCCAGAGGAGACAGAAACACAGACAGGATGACTAGCCCAAGGTCAAGTTAGTCAGCACTCTCATGAGAGGCAGTTTGGGGCACGGTTAAGTGGGTGGGCTCCAGGCCAGACTTTTGGGGTTTGACTCCCAGTTCTACTGTTCACTAGCAGTGTAAAGGGATTAGAATAGTGCTTGCTACATAAAAACTACCAGGTAGTATTTTACTCTGAGGGAAATAGGATCCTTCCTCAAGCTATTAAGGTAGGCAGCATCTGCTGATTTCAAAGTACTTTCTAATTGTAGAAACAAGAGCCGTTTCAAGTCAATTCCTTAAGCAGCAGTGACTCCTGTATATCCTTTGCAGTGGCTTTATTCAGCTCATAGCTTGCCTCAGCATGTAAAGAAGCAGATCAGTTTTACCATTTCTATTCTCGGCACATAGAGCCAAATGCCCAGAAATAATGTGATTTATACCAAGTGACTCTCCTCAATTGCTCTGTCTCCAGGACACTCACTTCCCTCCCATGATGCAGTTATTGGGGTTGCCTGCCCCTGACCCAGGAGAACCTGCCTTCGTGATAAAGCAACACTGCCCCCATCTAAGCTACTCTCTGGACACCTCTATCCAGCCTGCTCACCTGCTCGTAAACCATGCAAATTCTTCTTAACATCAACCATTGCCCTGGAAGAGTCTAGAAGTAGGGATATACACTGCAACACAATATTCCTAGATGTTGTTCAATATGAGATTTTTACTCCAATTTCTAGCTGTCCCCTGCTCCATTCATGCATTAAATATTTATTGAGGAGCTGCTTTGAGCCATAATTTTTTGTAGTTGCTGGGGATGCTGCACTGACAGTAACCATCATTGTTCCTGCCCTCGTGGATCTTACATTTGAAGAGAGAAAACCAATTAAAAAAGTAAACAAATAAAACTATGATGTGATAGGTGGTAATAAATGCTACTGAGAAAAATAAGGCAGGTTGTTAGAGGTGGGCCAGTGATGTCAAGTGGGGGCCAGGGACAGATGAGGTAGGTTTTTAAAGACCAGAGTGAACATTTTGAATCTTATTGTCAGTGTAATAGGAAGCCACGGTGAGGGTGAGAGCAGGGAATGATATGAATTGATTGGCTTTTGAAAAGGTGGATCATCCTGGCTTCTGTGTGGAATTAGACTGTATTAGAACTAGAAGAGAAGCTGGGAGACCAGTCAGGAGGCTCTGGCATTAGTCCAGGTGAGAGAAAATGATGGTTTGAACCACAGTGGTAGAGGTAAGAATGGTCAGAATCTGAGATTTTCTTTGATGGTTCAGTCAACAGATTTGTACATGGGTTGGATGTAAGTGAGTGAAAAGAGAAGATTAAAGGAAGACTCCGGAGTAGAACAGTTCTGCCTTTCCCTGAGGGCAGATTTTTTTTTTTTTCTAATTTTACTTTAAGTTCTGGGATACATGTGCAGAACATGCAGGTTTGTTACATAGAAATACGTGTGGAATGGTGGTTTGCTGCACCTATCAACCTGTCATTTAGGTTTCAAACCCTGAATGCATTAGCGATTTTTCCTAATACTGTCCCTCCCTTTGCCCCTCCCAACTCCTGCAACAGGCCATTGTGTGTGTTGTTCCCCTCTCTGTGTCCATGTGTTCTCATTGTTCACCTCCCACTTAAGAGTGAGAACATGCGGTGGTTTTCTGAGACAGATGTTTCTTTACTTGTGTTATCTGTGAATGTCTTTCTCTCCTCTAGATTTAAAATTGCTTCAGGACCCAGAATTCTTAGATATTCTGGTTTCCTCTTATCTTTTCCTTCTCTTATTAGTGACTCATAGTACTTTACACCTAGTAAATGCACAATAAAAGCTGTGAAACAAGTAAGTTATAATGCATAAGATGTTTATTAGTAAGTAAATGTCCGTAAATTTTAATATTTGTTCTGAATTTGCTGTATGGTTTTGGAAAAATGGCTCACTTTCTGACTCAACTGTCCTATTATGAAATAGCGTTCTTCATGTTTGCCTTTGTAATGTAGATGTAGTATCGATATACTTAATGGTAGGTGGCAGACAATTTGGGGATATGGGATAAAGAGTCCTCTATTATCTGCAGTAATGGAAAAAGCAGAGGGGGAATAATTGGGGGAATATGTCTTACGGAGGCATCATTTAATATGCATTTTAAACTTGCAAGGTGCATTGTCATCACTCCCCTCCATGCCACTGGCAGACGTTGCTGATTGTCCTTCCCTGAGAGGTCTGGAAATGGCCTTAGAATCTTTCTCAATATAACATGCCGAGGTACCATTCTTTCCTGACACAATCCTTTCATCTAATAGTGGAGGAAATTAGAACCCAGATATAGTAAATGACTTTTACCAACTCACAAAGTTCACCAAGCAGTGGGAACAAAATTGGAGCCTGAGCCTGAACCCTGATTCCCATAGACAGAATGATCAGGGCTCCAGCACCAAGGTCTAATGGAAGGGGAGGAAGCTCTTGGGGAATGGGAAGATTGGGCAGGGAGTGGGGCCCTAGAGTCAGCAGTGAGGTACAGAAGCTCCTCAAAATGTGCTTGGAAGAGAAAGGGGTTCTAGAGTCCATTGCTCTGTAGATGTTTTCAGTACCACAGACGGACGGCTGGCTGTTGTCTAGGATTCTTATTTCCCTTTACAACTCTTTAAGAACAGAGGACATGTATAATTAAATCACAGAGGTTGTGATCTGACATGCTAATACTGCCCTTGAATGTGGATATTTTTCTTGTTTATTAAATACTTGCAGAATTAAAAAGCAACCTCTCATTGCCTATTGAATCTGAGTTCACTCACCTTAGACACACCACAAAATGGTTATTTAATTTCCTTAACATAAAAAGAGACACAAACATGATTTCAATTGGGTTACTAGATATGCCATCGATGGAAATCTAGTCTTTATGATTGAAATGATGGCTGCTTCCATTTAAATCACAATGTAGTATTCTGCTCAGGTCCTGTACTCGGCCACGCTGTCCTCCCCAGACTTTGAACAATAAAAGGTCTTACTTATTTATTCTCACACAGGCTTGATTTACTCATTACTATGCCAAGAAAGAAAAATGGCTTTTGTTCTCTCTGAAAAAGTTTCTGTTAAACAGATATCTCTTAGTGAGTCAACCCAAATACCGGATGTGAGAATAATCTTTAAGCTGAACTTTCCCCTGGGTGAAACCTGAGCACTTTGAACAATGACTGTTTTTTGTTTGTTTGTTTGTTTTTGTTTTTGTTTCTGTTTTGGCAGAAATCTTTGATAGATCATTAAACATTTTTATGTAGTTGATAATTCTACTTGTAGTGGGTTGTTTTGAGATTTTAGTGAATTGGAATATTTTAAAAAACAAGGTAACTATTATTAAAGCTAAGATAGGAAATATGTTATCTCCTTATAAAATACATATAAGATACTTTTTACATTTTGGTTGAGATTAAGATTATATTTTTAAGTATACCTTTAAATACTTTTCCCTTGAATGTAAGGTGTAACCCTGAGAGTAGTTATTAAATCTGAAGAATTTTCTTATACCTAACACCAATGCCATTTTCTACACATTGTGTCCTAATGTAAAGGGCATGGTATTGGGAGGAGGAAGATCTAGGTTCTAGACTTCATTTTATCACTAACTTGATGCATGACCTGATGTACATTACATGTGTCCACCCAGGAGGGAGAGCTCCATTTCCCTATCTATAAAATGCAGGCATAGGACTGATTAATTTGAAAGCTTCTCCAGAGAAATATCATTGTATAAACTGTGGTGTTGCATTATCCAAATTTTTCTCTAAACAACTGGTTGGTTGGCCAGGCGCGGTGGATCATGCCTGTAATCCCAGCACTTTGGGAGGCCGAGGCAGGTGGATCACAAGGTCAGGTGATTGAGACTATCCTGGCTAACATGGTGAAACCCTATCTCTACTAAAAATACAAAAAATTAGCCAGGCGTGGTGGCGGGTGCCTGTAGTCCCAGCTACTCGGGAGGCTGAGGCAGGAGAATGGCATGAACCTGGGAGGCGGAGCTTGCAGTGAGCGGAGATCACGCCACTGCACTCCAGCCTGGGTGACAGAGCGAGATTCCCTCTCAAAATAAATAAATAAATTAATTAAAATAAATAAATAAATAAAAATTTAAAAACTGGTTAGATTTTTCTCCCTACTGTTATTATAGGGACAAAATTATATTGCAGATGATTTAGAAAATACAAAAGAAAAGAAGAAAACCGAAATTATTGGTAATTGCTTCAATCCAGAGTTAAGTACTATTAATATTTTGATGCATTTTTTCAGGCTTTTTATATGTATGTGTGTTACATATAACAGGATCTGACTATATAAATATTTTACTAAACTTTGTATCTTTTCCCATGACACTAATTCCTTTAAGAACCTACTTTTAATGGTTGCATAATATCTCATCCCATAGATTTCTCATAATTTAGTTATTTCCTAATGGTTAGACATATATTTTATTAGCATTTTTGCTATTATCATTCTTGCACATAAATATTTATACTGATATTGATTTATTTGAAGAGATTTCCAAGCATAATATTACCAGTAAAAGATGATGCATGTTTTTATCAAATTTTGGCATCAGGATTATGCTGCCCTTATAAAATGAGTTGGGAAGTGCTCCTTCTTTCTTTGTTTCCTGAGTCTATAAAATTGTTGCATAATTCATTGATTTTACATTCTTTTCCTTTTCACTATAGAGATTTGAAGCTATAAATTTCCCTCTGAGCACTGCTTTACCTGTATGCCATAGATTTTGATATATTGTTTCATTATAATTTGATTTAAAATATTTTTAAAATTTCCTTTTAGATTTCTTCTTTGACCAAAGGGTTATTCAGAGGAATATATTTTTATTTTCAAATTGATTTCTAATTTAATTCCTTTGTGATCAGAAAGCATATTCTGTATCAGCAGTTATTCAAATTTTTGGTCTTACCATCTTTACACAAGTAAAAATTATTGAAGACTCCAAAGAGCTTTTGTTTATATTTATATTTACCATATTAGGATTTACAACTGAGAGGTTTTTAAAATAAATATTTGTTCATTTACTTTAAAAGAGCATGTTAACACAAATAACATTATTATGAAAGACAACTATATTTTCCAGAACAAAAAATAGTGAAAAAAGTAACATTGATTTGTATTTTCACGGATTTCACAACTTGTCTTTAAGGTCTGGCTCAATTTGGAAAGAACTTGATTTTTATATTTGTTTCTTCATTAAATCTGTTGTGACATCACATGTTATCCAGCCTGTAGACAATTCCACTGTACACCTATGAGAAAATGGGAGTAAAAAAGGCAAATAATGTCTCATTATTTTGAAAATAGTTTTGACCTTGTGGACTTCCTAAAAGGGTTTCAGGAACCCCCATGTGTTCCCTGTATTATATGACGAGAACTGCTTATTTACATTATTTTTGATCCTTTTCAATCTTCTGAGACTCGTTTTATAGTCCAACATGTGGTCTACCATGGCAAATGTTCTGTATACACCTGTGTACATCTGAAAAGAATGTATGTTCTGCAGTTGTTGGATACCGTGTTCTATAATTATCAATTAGGTCAAGTTTGTTTTCGGAGTTGTTCAAATCTTCATCTTTTCTGATTTTTATTTTTTTTCTATCAATTTCTGAGAAAGGTGTTAAAATATCCAACAGTGATTGTAGATCTGTACTTTTCTCTTTAGTTCTGTCAAATTCTGTTTCATGTATTTTGAATACTCGTTATTAAGTGCATTCACTTCTAGGTTTGTTACATTTTCTTGATATGAAAATTATAAAATATCTACATCCTAATTTCTAATAATTCTTTTTGTCTTGAAGTCTACTTTGATAATGTAGACCTACTGTTTCTTATGCTTACTATTTGTAAGGTTTATATTTTTCTAATTTTTACTTTCAACCAGTCTGTGTCTTTAGATTTAAAATATGTTTATGTATATTTAAATAGATATCACATGTATTTATAAAGTATTATAGTTTTGCATATACATAAAGAGAGAAAAAGGGAGATTTTTTATTTTAATCTAGTCTGTTCATTTCCACATTTTAATTAAAATGTTTATAATTCATTTACATTTAAATAATTATTAATGTGATTGAGTTTAATCTGTCATCTTGGCATTTGTTTTCTATTGGTTCTATCTGGCCTATATTCCTTTGTTGTTCCTTTTCTGCCTTCTCTTGGGTAAACACATTTTTTTTAGTATTCCATTTGATCCCTCTTGTGAACTTTTCATCTAGCCCTCCTTTTGTTATTTTTTAATGGTTGCTCTAGTCTAGAGACTACAGTACACATCTTTAACATATTATAGTATGCCTTAAACTAATATTACATTACTTCACAAAGGAAGAATGTCACAACAGTATAATTCCATTCAAACCACCTCCCCTCAATATTTGTGTTTTGTCATATATTTTATTTCTACATATGCTGTAAACTTCATAATTCATTTTTTTGCTTTTAATAATCAATAGTATTTTTAATAATTTTTAAAATAAATATAATAAGAAGGTCTTGTCTATTTACCCACAAATTTATGCCTTCCAGTCCTCTTCTTCCCTTCCTTACCAATCTTGGTGCCCATTGGGTATTATTCTCTTCAGTAAAGAATACTTTTTGTGAAAAAAATCATTTCTAGAGGGTCAGATGTGCAGTAGGTAAATACTCTGAGCCTGTTTTTCTTTTTTCTGTTGAAAATGATTTTCATTTTGTCTTGACATTGTTTAATAAATTTATTGAGGCATAAATTAACTATCATAAAATCCGCACATTTTATGTGTATAACTCAATGATTACTAGCAAATTTACAGAATTATACAACCATCATCACAATAGTTTTAGAATAGTTCTATCTTCCAGAAAAACTCCTCATGCCCTTTTGCAGGCAGTTCTTTCTCTTTTTCACTCCCAGTTCCAGGCAACCATTATTTTACTTTTATGGACATTTCATATGAATGGAATAATGTAATATGTGGTGCCTTGCTTCTTTTAATTTAGCATAATATTCTTGAGGTTCATTCTTGTTGTAGCATGTCAGTAGTTTATTCCTTTTAATTGATGAATAAACTGCATTTTGATTATCTGCTCACCAGTTGGAGAGCATTCATATTATTTTCATTTTTTGGCCATTATAATAATGCTGCTATAAACATTTAAAAACAAGCTTTTGTATCAACATATGTCTTTGTTTTTTCTTCAGTAGATACCTAATAGTGGAATTCCTGGGTCATATGTTAAATTTATATTTAACTTTTAAAGATACTATCAAATTGTTTTCCTGGCTAGGTGTGGTGGCTCATGCCTGTAATTCCAGCACTTTGGGAGGCTGAGGCAGGCAGATCACGAGGTCAGGAGATCGAGATCATCCTGGCTAACACAGTGAAACCCCGTCTCTACTAAAAATACAAAAAATTAGCTGGGCGTGGTGACGGGCACCTGTAGTCCCAGCTACTCAGGAGGCTGAGGCAGGAGAATGGCATGAACCCGGGAGGCGGAGCTTGCAGTGAGCTGAGATTGCGCCACTGCACTCCAGCCTGGGCGACAGAGCGAGACTCTGTCTCAAAAAAAAAAAAAAAAAATTGTTTTCCCAAGTGGCTATACCATTTTACATTCTCACGTGAAATACATAAGGGTTTACCTTCATGTTTGAAGGTCATCTTTTGCTGAATATAGAAATATAGTTGATAGTTTATCTTTTTTTCCTTGACTTAAAAATATGTTGTTCCCTTGTATTCTGGCCACCATTGTTTCCCATAAGAAGTCAATAGTAATTCCTGTTGTTGTTCTCCTGTATATAATGTCTTTTTCTTCTTCCTGCTTGATATTTTCTGTTTAATTTAGAATTTTAGGAGTTTATGACACATCTAGGTGTGGTTATCATGAAGTTTGATGAGTTTTCTGGATTTATGCATTAATATCTTTAATCGATTTGAGGAAAATCTTGGCTATTATTTCTTCAAATGTCTCTGCATCATTCTCTCTCTCTCTTCTGCTTTTAAGACTCTAATTATACATATTTAGAATACTTTATATTGTCCCACAGATCTCTTTTTCCCTATTTTAAATCTAGTCTAGATAAAGTATTAGTTTTACAGACTTACTCTTTGGCTGTGACTCTTTGGGATTCTGATCCATTATTCTAGCCCACATCAAACCATAAAAGTTTTCTGTGAGTTCATCTGGTTTCTCCTTATGCCTCTCTATGGCAAATTCTTTCTCCCACAACTACACCAAGGATGAAAGCAAACATGTACTTTTGCTCCCATGGGAAGGGCTTACCGCTTTATGGAATTTGGTTCATTTAGGCTTTCCTTTCATCAGATCTCTGGGTTTGAAAGAAAAGCTATGTTCTATATGTAGGTCGTGTTCTTCTGGCTTATTCTTTCTTTCTTTCTTTTTTTAAGAGACAGGGTCTCACCCTATCACTCAGGCTGGAGTATAGTGACACAATCATAGCTCACTGCAGCCTTGGACTACTGGATTCAAGTGATCCTCTCACCTCAACCTCCTGAGTAGCTGGGACTACAGGCATGAGCCACCAGTCCTGGCTAAAACTTCCTTCTTGATAAGGTGATTTATGTTTCCACCACTGGCATTCTACATCTTTCTCCACTTCACCTTCTATACCAGATGTCTCAGAGACACAGCACAAAGAAAACTCCAGCCAAATGCACAATAACTATTCTTTAATAGAGCATTTGCCCTGATACTCTTTTTCCTTACTTATTCCTATTCCAGGGCTGGTTGACTTTGAAAGTAACCTAAAAGTCTTTGTCCCTTTTCCTTGAGCCTAGAGCCAGTCTTTCATAGCCAGGTTCTTGTTTCTCTACTCTTGACACTCTAACACTACACTCAAAAGACATATCTCAGTCAAAGAGGAATGTGATTTCTCAAAGCTCCAGTATTTCCAAAGGTGCCCTCCATAACCAAAGGCACCCCAACCCAAATCCCAATCTAAGCAGTTGTGAATATGTATAATCAACCTGCCATTTTATAACAGAAACAGCCTTCTTGTGCATTTCCCTGTGGCTTCTTACATTTCCTTCCTTACCTTCCTCTGTCCTAGCTTTTTGATTTACCACAACCCTTACCTGAAAAGGAAGAGTAAATAAAAAAAGATATAGGACTGACATTTACTTTTCTAAATACCTTTTTTTGGGACAGAGTCTTGCTCTGTCACCCAGGCTGGAGTGAAATGGCATGATCTCAGCTCACTGCAACCTCCACCTCCCAGGTGCAAGCGATTCTCCTGCCTCAGCCTCCTGAGTAGCTGGGATTACAGGTGCCTGCCACCATGCCTGGCTATTTTTTGTATTTTTAGTAGAGATGGGGGTCTCACCATGTTGGCCAGGCTGGTCTCAAACTCCTGAACTCATGATCCACCCACCTCAGGCTCCCAAAGTGGTGGGATTACAGGCAGGAGCCACCGCCCCCGGCCAGTGCCTTTCTTTTAAGCAAGCTTGTCCAACCTATGGCCCAGGACAGCTTTGAATTTGGCCCAACACAAATTCGTAAACTTTCTTAAAACATGATTTTTTTATGATTTTTATTTTTTAGTTCATCAGCTATCATTAGTGCTAGTGTATTTTATGTGTGGCCCAAGACAATTCTTCTTCTTCAAATGTGGCCCAGGGAAGCCAAAAGATTTGACCCCCCTGCTTTTAAGGATGACCTTCAAGTGCTTAGAAATACAGAGCAAGTCATTTGATGGCTCTGCCTGCCATTTTTATGCAGGTATAATCTTTTTAAAGTATAGGGCATTGGCAGCCTGCAGCTTGACAAGATTCAGAGATATAATCATAATGTATTTCCAATTATTTCTTACTTATTTGAAATTTTATCAATGATAAATGTCTATTACTAATTAAGATTTTTTAAAACTAGTAACTTTACTAGAAAATTTTTTCTGACCTCATTCATTTTACCAGTTTTGCTTTCATGCTCATTTCTTAAGCTCAGTTTTCTCCCTTGGTCTCTGTCTTGACACATGCTATCCATCAAATAATGATATGGCTACCTGCTAATTTGCTAATTTAAGACATTCAAATTAACTTTAAAAGAAAAGTTTTCCTTCAAGGATTCATTCAAGGATTAAATCCTCTTGCTTCTGTTTCTATCCCCATTTGGCTTTTGATTCTGTATAAAATTAGATTTTGCATTTACAGCAATACACTTCAACACACACACATGTACATACATCTGCTGTATTAGTTAAGGTAATGATTTCTATTTTACCAGATACACTCTAAAATTTCGAGGGCTTACCAGAAGAGAGACTTATTTCCCACTCCTGTAATACCCCATCACAATGTGATAGAAGAGGGGGTTGAAGGAAATAGGAGTGTGCTCCATGGAGTCCTTCAAAGATCTAGAATGATAGAGGCTCTGCCATCTTCAACACTTCGCTCCCAAGGTCAGCTTGAAGAGGAGAAATGAAGGTTCTAAAGGAAGTTCTTATGGCTGAAAGTAGCATGAATTGTTTTCTGCTCCCACTCCATTGGCCAGAACTCAGTCACGTGATCACACCAGAGCTGGGCCCTGATTGGGAAACAACTTTTCAGAAACAACTCTGTACTATACAGGGGGAGCACAAACCTTGGGTGGATTTTCAGTTATCTCTCTTATATGCATAAATACATCTAAGACTTCATGGCTAAGTCCCTAAATTCCAGTATAAATCTCTAAAATTCTCAAAGCTTGAGGAATTAAGGAGTTGGATAGTGGAGTAGGAGACTTTATGGCAAGCACCGAAGACTGTCTTGGTAGTAGTAGTAGCAAGTGGAGCTGCAACTAGGGTAGAAGATCTCAGAAATAATCTGTCCATGAAAGGAAGCAAAGATGTGATTAGCTTATCTTATCATTCACTCATGCATTATTTCATTCATTTATCAGACATTATCTTGAATAGTTGCTTTATGGCAGGCAATGTGCTAAGGGCTGAGGATACAAGGATAAATAAATTATTTATACCATCTAGTGGGGCAGCAGCTGTAATGGATTCATGTACATTATGTATGTGAAAGTCATATACATTATTTTAGTGGAGGAGAATGGCTTTCCACTGAGGTAGCCTAATAAATTCCCAGTGTAGTCTCAGAAACCTATTTTCCTATTGGATTCTAACATTTCCCTCCTTTGTATATATACAGGCCCTGGTTCCAACTTTGCATTCTATTTTCACGGACAATAGTATGATAATATTTACTTAGTACAAAGATCCCTCGGCCACATATTATTTGCAGAATGGATTTAAAAGGGGTGAAATTGAATGCAGGGATGGTCAAGAAGCTACTGTCGTAGCTTTTACTGGTTCTCTCTTCTATTAGGAAGAAAATTTAAAATCCTACCCATAACGCACAAAGCTGTTCATGTCAAGCCACTGTTTAATAGTCTAGCTGCTTCCCCATAGCTTCCCACCCCTGATCCCTAACTCCACTTTGGGCAGCCCAACAATATTGGGCTACTCATAGTTTCTCACACTTTGACACCTCATTCTATGCCCCCGTTTATATATAAAAGTCACTCTCTGCTTGGCTGCCCATTTAGAAAACTAAAAAACCACTTACCTCTCAAAATCCAGCGAAATGTGGCTTCCTTAGAGAAATCTTCTCTAACTCTCCTTCCTGCACCAAACTTAAATACTTCTCCTATGCTCCTACTGTATTTTGTATTCATATCATTTATGACAATATAATTTATAGTATATTACATAATACCACATCATATTATAATTTTTCATTTCTTTCTACCAAGACCTCTTTAAAGGAATAGTGACTTGTCATCTTTCTATGGCCTGTGCCTAGGTTGATACTGGGAACATAGTATATTCAATAAGTAGTCATTGGATGGGTGGGTGGTGGATGGATGGACTGATAGTGGGTTGATATCATCATATGAAGAAACCCCCTTTAATTCTTTTTTTTTTTTTTTTTTTTTTTTTGAGACAGGGTCTCGCTTTGTCACCCAGGCTGGAGTCTAGTGGCATGAGCTTGGCTCACTGCAACCTCCACCTCCTGGGTTCAAGCAATTCTCCTGCCTCAGCTTCCTGAGTAGCTGGTATTACAGGCATGCATCACCATACCCGGCTATTTTTTTTGTATGTTTTTTAGAGACTGGGCTTCACCACTTTGGCCAGACTGGCCTCAAACTCCTGGCCTCAAGTGATCCACCCACCTTGGCCTCCCAAAGTGCTGGGATTATAAGCGTGAGCCACCATGTCTGGCCTAACAGCAATGGAAAAGCAGTGAAGGTATTTGAACCAGGGGAGTGGTATAATTCACAGAACTAGTTCACACAAAGCCAAATCTGGTGGTACTGAATAAGAAGGTGGGATCAGCAGGGAAGCAGAGTGAGTCGGAGGCTGATAACAGACTTTTGTTATTTTTGAGTTGCTCAGCATTCTAATGCACTTTCTATACTGGGGAAATTCACTCCCCATTGCCTATGGTGGGGTTGTTACATGCCACAAAGAGGCCATGAAGATTAAGATTACCCTAGCCAGGCTTCCTGGCAGTTGGGGTTGGGGTGTGTGACTCGGGCTTGACCAATGAGACACCACACCCGAACTTTTGACTCTAGAGGGTGTGACACAATGTCACAGGGACAGTTAGTGATCACTTATAGCAGCACAGGAGCAGTGATGAGGACAGCATTGGGAGGGTTCCAGTGGTGGTATCCTAGCTACACTGGTTTCTGTATCATTTTGGCTGTGGTCTTCTGCATCTTAGACCTTCTTGGTTTCTACCTAGTTTCTGAAGCTGTTTCTCAAGATTCTTGTTAACTCTGTAAGAGCCACCTGCTCATCCCCTATATGTTACTGTTTTGCTACTTAGCCAAAGATATTTCCTATCATTTGCATCCAAGTGCTCTGTCAGGTATAGGAATTGGAGCAGTGGTGACACTGGTGGGTGCTGCCCAGCATCCCTCTACTCCTAATCTAGATTTTTACTTGCATATCCTTCCATTCCCATGCAGCCCACACTTCAGGGAAAACTGATACCACTCCTCACTCTAGGGGTGAGTCTAAATTGGCTTTTTCACCAGAATGTTAAATCAGCACATTCCCTAGCCCAGCCACAGTCATGTTCAGAGGTGAACAGGTGACCCAAGTGTCCCTGTTGTGGAATAAAATAAAGGCAGAGGGCACTACCGGCAGCTGTCCTGGGAATCAGCTTTAGAATGACACTGACCTTCAGAAGACGGAGCTAGAGAGACAGCACCTTGCGATAACTTCACTGAGCCTCTGGCTTAACCAGCCCTGAACCAAAATCAAGCTATGGATTGCCAATGGAAGAATTCAAAGATGACTAAAGTTACGATGAAAGGTGAGTGGGGTGGAAGGTGGTGTCACAGTTAAAACAGGAAATACAGAAAGAGGATCAGGTTTGGTGAGAAGATTAGATGTTCAGGTCCAAATATGGTACGTTTGCTTTTCTAGAAGTCTTTTTGCACTTTAAAATCCTTTAAATGCAAATAAAGAGTAAGGCTTATCAAATACTTTCACATGTTTACACCTCAAACTAAAGTCTAGGCATTTTTGAAAGATTAAAAATAGCTGCATAGAAGGACCACAATTCACAGATTTCTGTGTTGCTTTTCTCATGCTGTAGGTTTTAGCACAAGAAGAAAAGCAGTGAAAAGGAATCTGCTTCTAGAGTTTTGACTACTCAGAACTATAACAGTACTGCAATAATATTCTTCCTTAATTAGTGCCAATAAAAACGAGTATCTCTTACCATTGTAAGAAGTAATCTCATTTTTTATCCTTCCCCTTCTTTTTTTAATTTTTTTTGCTTTTTTTTAACATGGAGATAAATGATATTAGCTACAGATTGAAATGAGCAAATGTGTATGTGTGTCTCATTGTCATGTATGTATGTCACAAATGTACTCTTGTCATCTGTATAACTAAGCTATTTCAGTTACAGTTACCATGATCTACCCAGACTGAAACCCTTAGAATCTCCTTTGAACACTTCTCCCTGTGCTTTTTTTTTTTTTTGGTACTTCCAATATGTTTTTCTCCTCACTTTATCCCCCATCCCCAGATCATTACCTTGACAGCCAATTAATTGTTAAACTCTAAACACTTTATCTCCGTGGTGTTTCCCACATTCATTTCCTTTCTTATATTACTACTGCATCTCCGTAATCCAACCCCTATTGCCTCTGGCAAGAGTTTTGGAGTCACCAACATTTACAATCCTTCCCCACTTCAATTTAACCTCTTGCACCACTCTTTTCAAGAACTTTTGATAGATTCACATACCTTACTGGATGCAATATGCCCACTCTTAACCCTGGCACTCAAAGTCCTCAGCTATGCGGCCATGACCCTCCTTTCCAATCTTATTGTAACCCATCATGCCCTGCTCAGGCTTTCCATTCCAATTAAATAAGCTGTTCACTGGTCTTTAAACACATCCCTATCCTTGCCTACAAGGCTTTGATTCACCTTAGCTCTATCCAGCATCCACATCACATGCCCTTCTTTTTCCTTGAAGCCTTTCTTGATCTTTTTCAGTGGGTGAGACCTTTCATATCTTTAAGGAACTTTCCCTTGTCCTTGGCACCATCTTCCCCTTAGAGATAAGACTTTGAAACCTTGACCCTTTAGCACCTGCCTTGCTGTCTCTGAAAACCACCCCATCTAGTCTAGTCACTGAGTTCTCTTATATTTCTACAATGTCACCAGCAGTGCTCATTGCTACTTACAGATTTCAACCAAGAAATTCAGCCAAGTTGATTTCTGTTCTTCTAAAGTTACTTCGAGATGCCAATTTCTTTCCCTCCTACTTTTGCTGCTTTCCAACTGTGTCTTCACATCACCACTGTAATTCTTTCCAAAGTGCAGATGTGTTCATCATCCCTCCTCTAGAATGTACAAGTTTGTATAGCAGAAATGTTGAGAAGTTAAGAGTTCACACTTTGAAGACAAGGCATTTGGATATAATTTAGCTCACCCACTGTCCAGCTAGTTGTCCTTGGGCAAATTACATCATCTCTAAATGGGGCCTATGGTGAAGTTTAAATACATTAACTCCTATGAATGTTTACAGAGTTCCTTCACAAAGTTAGCCCTAAGGAAATGATAGTATGATAGGATGATAAATTCCAAATTTCAACTGAGATAACATAAGTTAATAAATATGACATTCTAAACAGAGGTAGGTATCACACCAAAATGCAGATTTTCTAAGCAGGTGGCCCAAAAACTAGATAGATAGCACTATATCCTGAAAGGGAGATTAGTAAGATAAAGGGAGTGGAGATAAAAAGATCCCTACCAAGGTTGTCTTTGTAGAAATCCATGCTGAGACTCCTGTTGGGACCTCAAGAGGAAGGTTTAGGATGATGCCTGCCCCCTCATCTCAAGACTGCTTGGGAGAAGGAGGAGCGTCCTTTCCATGGAATCATTTGAAAACGTGAATATCTAGTTCCCAATGATTGACTCCCACTTTATTGTCCTTTGTTATTTAATCTAGGTTTGTCCTTGTGTGTGTATTGAACAGGACTTTTTTAGTTGTTAGTGACAGAAACAATACCTGAATTGGGTTGAGGAAAAAGAGAGGCATTGGTTGGGATAATGCTAGCATATTAAAATAACCAAAGGAAGAGTTGAATAATGAGACTCATGGCAGGACAGGGCATCACTGGGCCTCCAAAGTGACTGAAAATGAGGACTCCGATGCTTCCAGAATTTGATGTCCTTTCTCCACTTTTTCTTTCTGTTTCTAATTTGACTTAATTCAAAGGCACAAGAGAAAAACACAGCAGCAACAGTCCCAAGCTTCTGACATCACAGGGGACTGGTGCTTTTGACCCAGTTTAGGTTTGGAAAATCCTCATGAGAAGTCTGACCAGCCAGCTAAGGGCCTCCTTCAGACACATCCAATATGGGAGGAGAAGGAGAAGTTTCCAGAGAATGCAATGCCTAGAAGACAGGGATGCTGAGCAAACACCCTTTTTATTTTCATCCCTGTAATTTTTTCGAGTGTGTCAGCTTCTTAAACATGGTACTGCCCAGATGAATGCACTTGGTTCTGATATTGAGGATGGAAAGGGGAAAATATGTCTTCCTAAAGAACGAATTAAGGCAGGGATAAAACTCTTGGACCCGGGGAGGAAGGTACGGCAAAGAAGAAATGACAGTGGCTTCTTAGGAGTGCCACTCAGTGATTAGCTGTAAGGTATCTGTGGGGCCTCAGCAGCAGTAAGGTGCTAACTGGGCAGTGGTGGAATGAACACTGTCCCTGAGTCTGCCTGAGGGCACTGCAGCTGCCACTTAGCATGGACCTTCTACACAATGCGGAGAATGTGGATTGCATTTTGTGCCCCTCTTCCTGTTTTCATTGTCCCTATGACTTCTCATGGACCTCTCCTGCCCCCACCCCACCATCCCTATTGTCCAGTGACCTGAGTCATCTTCATTTACCTCAGCCTCCCTTCTCAGGTTCACTCTCCTTTATAGGGACCTAGGTTGTAGATTTATTTCTTGTCTGTGTGACAGTACCTGTTCTCTGCTGGCTTTCCAAGCAAAAGAATTCCATTCATTCATTCATGTATTCATTCATCCAACACACTCACTGAGCTCTCACTGCATGGCAGGCCTTGTTGTTTGGGGGCACTTGGAGATATAGCTGTGGGCAAGGTAGAGGAGCCCGCTTCTCAAGGAGCTGGCTTTCCATGGAGGGAGGGAGATAACAACTATGCAGATAAATATACAGTGTCCATTAGTGGTCAGTGCTTGGAAGAAAAATAATGCAGGCTAAGGAGATAGTGAAAGGAGTGCTACCTAGATAGGCTGATTAAGACAGGCCTTTTGAGGAGGGACATTTAAGCAGAGACATGAATGCTGTGGAAAGATGAACCCTGCCACAATGATGGGAATAGTGTTCTAGACAGAGGGATGGCCAAGCGCAAAGGCCCTGAGGTGAGAATGTGTTTTTGCATGTGATGGACAGACTCAAGTGAGGTATCATAATGGAAGAAACACAGGTGACTCTTTACCATAGGAACAAACCTTAACACCTTGCTCATAATAAGAGAAATATAAACTAGAAAACTCATTGAGGTCTCTAGTGTGTGTTTAGGATATCTTGATTGCTAGTGTCAGTAACAGAATCTGAATTAGCTGGAGAAAAGATTGGAAGGCATTGATTCAGACAATGCTGGCTGAGTTCACTTGTAGAAATATGTGCGCCTACAGAAAGAGAAATGCAAATCAAAGCTTCACTGAGATAATCACATCTTACCCACCAGATGGGAAAATGTCCAATGCATTCTGAAACACATACTGTGGAGAAACAAACTTTCTCATAAATTGCTGGTGGGGAAGAAAAATAGTACAATTCCTGTGGAGAAAAATTTGGCAAGAGCTAGCAAAATTACATAGGCATTTGCCTTTTAACCCAGTGTTTCCACTCTAAAATGTGTCCCAAAGATACAGTAACAAAATATGAAAATTCAAAGTCTATCCATTGCTGCATTATTTAATAGCGAAAGGCTGGAAACAATCCAAATGGGGACTAATTGCAGAAACGTTGGTAAATCCAAATAGTTGAATACTATACAGGTGTAAAAAGGAAAAGGCCTATTTCTACATATTACTATGGTGTGATCGCCAGCATCACATTTTATGGTGATTAAGACCAAGACAGAAAATAGTGAGCAAAGTGTGCTATCATTTATGGGATAAAGGTTGGGAAAATAATATACACATATACTTGTTACTCATCTGACAAAGGGCTAATATCCAGAATCTACAATGAACTTAAACAAATTTACAAGAAAAAAAAACAACCCCATCAAAAAGTGGGCACAGGACATGAACAGACACTTCTCAAAAGAAGACATTTAGGCAGCCAAAAAACACATGAAAAAATGCTCATCATCACTGGCCATCAGAGAAATGGAAATCAAAACCACAATGAGATACCATCTCACACCAGTTAGAATGGCAATCATTAAAAAGTCAGGAAACAACGTGTGCTGGAGAGTATGTGGAGAAATAGGAACACTTTTACACTGTTGTTGGAACTGTAAACTAGTTCAATCATTGTGGAAGTCAGTGTGGCAATTCCTCAGGGATCTAGAACTAGAAATACCATTTGATCCAGCCATCCCATTACTGGGTATATACCCAAAGGACTATAAATCATGCTGCTATAAAGACACATGCACACATATGTTTATTGCAGCACTATTCACAATAGCAAAGACTTGGAACCAACCCAAATGTCCAACAATGATAGACTGGATTAAGGAAATGTGGCACATATACACCATGGAATACTATACAGCCATAAAAATGATGAGTTCATGTCCTTTGTAATGACATGGATGAAATTGGAAATCATCATTCTCAGTAAACTATCACAAGAACAAAAAACCAAACACTGCATATTCTCACTCATAGGTGGGAATTGAACAATGAGAACACATGGACACAGGAAGGGGAACATCACACTCTGGGGACTGTTGTGGGGTGGGGGGAGGGGGGAGGGATAACTTTAGGAGATATACCTAATGCTAAATGATGAGTTAATGGGTGCAGCACACCCGCATGGCACATGTATATATATGTAACTAACCTGCACATTGTGCACATGTACCCTAAAACTTAAAGTATAATAAAAAAAATCAGATTAAAAAAAGAATTTTTAAAATGAGAGAGGCTAAACAATAAGGATGTATGAGAAGGAAAGAAAGAATATTTTGATCACAGGGATAGAAGCTGGATTTCTTTATAGATCTGTAGTTTTGATTTTTGAGCCATGGAAATATTTTATATAATTATAACACAAAATTAAAGAGAAAAACAATCATTAGGCATCAAAAACAGATGAACCTAACTTAGTCTTTAGTTGGTGGAATAGATGTGCTATTCTAAATGACTGTAAGACATAATTTGTATATGCTTTATGGGATATACTCTAAGGACAAAAATAACTAGAAAAAAATCTTAAACTCTTTCTGGTTGCATTAATATTGTGATTCCAAGGCTGTTGTGCCTATAGTGTGGGATAAGGCAACTAGCCAATTATGTTGCTGGTAAGAACGAAGATATCTGGTGTGAAAGAAAGGGATACAAATGTAAGACTTATGTGTTTTAGCAGAATCTCTGTAGTCCTGGATCTGAAATGGAATGATCAATCTGAACTCATGGCATATGTTATCTTTAAAATATTTACATATTTTCTAGCTCTGTTCACTGAAAAGGCTTATAAACAATACCCAACCCAGTACAAAGAGCTCCTGTAAGCCTCTAGATTGATATCTTAAAATATGTTGAAATATTTACCAAGTGGAACTGGGGTTCCTTGGAGAAATGCCTGACTCCTTATCTAAGGCAGGAAATGAACAAGATGAGTCTGGAACATCTTGTCATACCATAAGGTAAGTGCCCTTTGAAGATTTGTCAGAGGACTCAGGAACCAACCTGATTAAACTCCCACTAGCTAAAGATGGGCAATTTGAGCATTAATAAGATTAAACCTCAATGTATTGTAGTTTTATACGTTTAATATGGTTAACCATCACATATGTTTAATCCATGAATTCCTAATGATACTTTAAAAATAAAAATGAAAAAACCCTCAGTGATCTTTGCAGGATAATAGGGAAGTAAATCATGAAAAAAAAAAACTGAGTGCAGTGTCTCAAGCCTGTAATCCCAGTGACTCTGGAGGCTGAGGCAGGAGGATCACTTGAGGCCAGGAATTGGAGACCAGCCTGGGCAACATATCTCATAAAAAGTTTTTAATTAATAAAGGAAAAGAAGCAAATATTTATTTTTGCCTTTATTACAAAAACCATGGCTCAAAGTAACTAAATAGTAGATGAGAAGTAGTTCCTCTTAATGGAAGTGTTCCATGAATAAATGAAGGAGGAATATCATCATTGTGTAAATCCTAATAAATGAACGCACCTAGGCATTGAGCATGAAGGCACTAATACCACAAAAGAGAGACAGCCAGACTCTATGTACCCACTGATAGAAGTACACATAGCACCATCTAGGAAGGAGTCTTGCCAGACCTGAATCCCTTAAGCATCTGGATCTAAACAACAGAACCTACAGGCAACAGAAAAATCTGTTAAACTACACTGTGTCGAGTTTCTAAATTTCCACTATATGTAAATTCTAAAAGACAAATAACATGGCTTCATCACCACCAACAAACTGCAAGGAATTAGAAAAAGAAATGGAGGAGAACTCTATAGATTAAAAGAAACATGAGAGACACAGTAGTTTGGATCCCAATTTAAATAAGCAAACTATTAAAGAGGAAAGAAGGAAGAGAAGGAACACCAGGATGCGATCAAGGAGAGGGGGAGAAAGGATGGGAAGTGAGAGGACATCATAGTACAGCTGGAGAAATTTGAACCCTGGCAGGACGTTTGGTGATACTAAGGAAATATTCTTGCTTTTCGAATTGTGTGATGGTACGTATTGTGATTTCAAAAGAGGAATCCTTTGTCTTTTAGGGATATATACTGAAATATTTATAAATGAAATGATATGATGCCAGGCACCTGCTGCAAAATAATCTGGAGTGAGTATGGAAGTGGGTGAAGACGTGGAGCTGTGGTTTTCAGGCTTGAGCTTGCATCAGAATCACCTGGAGGGCTTATTAAAATACAGATACTGGTCTTCCCTCCAGAGTGTCTGATTCAGTCTTGGGTGGGGCCCGAGAATCTGCCCTTCTAATAAGCTCACTAGTGATGTTGATGCTGTTGGTCTGGGGACCACACTCTGAGAGTGACTAGCAGAGAGGAAGCAAGATTGGCCCCTTGTTAATTATTCTTGCACCTGGGTGGTGGATACATGAAGGCTCATTATTATATTCTGTCTTCTGCTGAATATATTTGAAATTCTCCATAATAAACATTTAAAAAACAGATGATCCAGAAGGCCATACAGAAGGAGCAGAGCCTTTGACAACCCATAGCTGTAATGGGAACTTCTATGCTCATTAGCCAAACAGGCTTGGCTGCTGCTACCACAGCTTCCTCTGGGATTGGAAGGTGTGCATCTCCTCCTGCTGAGATGGAGGTGAGTGTATCAGCTCAGCTGTCCATCCTTTTAGAGAATTGCCTGAACTGAAGGGAGGGCAATGGCCTCTGTCCAAGGGGTCTGTGCATAATGCATCCTTTCCTCAGTGTGATCGGTCATTGCAAGAGCAGTGGTTTGGATGAATCCCAAGGTTTTCTGGCCACTTCAGCTGGAAAGGACACTCCTGAACAGAGCTAAGCCAGGACTCAGCTCTCAGAGATGAGAGGTTATCACCGAACTCACCATGCCTTTGCAGCCCTTCTGCAAAAGCCTCCCTGCAACTCCTGGATCTAGGAGGCACCTCTATTGGTTTGAGTCTCTCTACTTGCCTTTTTAGATTCATTTGTGTATTTATCCATTCATCTTTCAGATGTTTATTAGAGTAACTCCTAAGTGTCAGGCATCCTTCTAGCCCCTGGGAATAAGCAGGGAGCAGAATAGGCAAAAATCTCTGCTTTTATGGAGATTAAATTCTAGTTGTGAGGACAAGCAGTGGACACATAAAGAAATAAATGAACAGAATAATTTCAGGTAGTGAAAAGTGCTGTGAAGAAAGTTAAAATGAAGATGCCAGGATAGTGATTGACTCTGTGTGTGTAAAAATGTGCACACAATTTTTATTTTAGCTGATTGGGGAATACTTTTCCAAAGAGATGTGATCTGAGCGGAGATCCAGATGATAAGAAGGAGCAAGCCATGAAGAGATCTGAATATTTTCAGAGAGAGGGAATAGCAAGTGCAAAGGGCCTGAGATGGGAATGAGCTTGGAAGTTTTTCCTTTGTTTCTTTCTTTTTTTTTGGAACACCAATAAGGCCAATTGGGCTGGAACAAGAGGAGTGAAGAAAGGTGAGAATGATATGAGATGAAGTGGGAGAATAATCCAAGTCTAGTGTTTACAAGGCCTTGTAGCCATTGGCCAAAGTGTATCTATATTCTAGACACCTCCAAGGCTGCAAGTCAGCCCCTAGCTATAAAAAAACACATTCTCGGCTAGGGGTGGTGGTTCAAGCCTGGAATCCCAGCACTTTGGGAGGCCAGCGTGGGCGGATCATGAGGTCAAGAGATTGAGACCCTCCTGGCCAACATGGTGAAACCCCATCTCTTCTAAAAATACAAAAATTAGCTGGGCGTGGTGGCCCGTGCCTGTAGTCCCAGCTACTAGGGAAGCTGAGGCAGGAGAATCATTTGAACCCAGGAGGTGGTGGTTGCAGTGAGCTGAGATCGTGCCACTGCACTCCAGCCTGGTGATAGAATGAGACTGTATCTCAAACAAACAAACAAACAAACAAAACTCTAGAGAAACAGGACACTGTTATAACAGGAGAGCCTCCTGGGCTCTCTAGCCAATAGGAAAATGACCATATTGTATAGACGAATGACTATTAAAAACCCAATAAGTTGGGGGTTTAAAACCCACTAATTTTAGTTCAGAGTTACTGGAAAGTTCCTTTGCCCCACAAATCATCTGCTCTTGATGCCTAGAACTCTGCCCTAAAAACACAATTTGCCCAACTTAAGACTCTGTCTCTTATTAAAATATGTATTCCTCTGGGAGGGATAATACTATGAGTTATCAGTCATTTAATGCTTATACAGATGAGTTGACAACTGTCCTTGAAAAGATATTTTAAAAGAGGAAAGCATAAAGTTAGTGGGTGCTTGGATAGCAGGAAGGAATCTGTAGGGCAGAATCAAATTAGAAAGGGAAAGCTGAGGATACATCAGAAAAAAAAAACTGCCTATTTTACAACTTCAAGTAGGGCTTTGCTTCCTGGATAATGTCCTCTGGTCAGGGCATATCACAGCAATGTTTATCTTTTATAGCTCTTTCCTAAACATAAAGTGTGAAATAATTCATACAGCCCCTTATGTAAACAGAGCAATGATTAGAATGTGTTGCTTCTACTTTGCTGTTGTTTCTTGATGGGCTCTGGGCACACGTGGACTTTGCCTCTATGGATGAACTGTCACTGATATGGCATAACGTTTTCATGAGTATGAAACAGTGATGTGCTGGAACAGCCCGTGTGAGCAGATTACATGCATGTCTTCCCAACTTTGTATTCAGTTTGACTTCACACTGACTGCTGGAAATCAGCCATGATGAGCATATTTACACCATAGAAATTGACGAATGCTAAAAATTGAAATGTTTCTTTTCAGAGAGCTGATTGTTAAACATTTACCAGTATGCTGTGAAATGTAAAAAATAAATTTTAGGATATGCCATGGCATATGAAAAAATATTCATTTCTTTGTTTTGCCTCTTGAACAGATGCCAGTGATATTCAAAATCACATTCATCTTTGTATTACTTTACATTTTAGCTACACTTGTACAGGTAGATCCCCCATTTACCTTTTCAAAAGCTGCCTGGTACTTCATGTTGGCCAGGTTTTGCATCATCTGGCTCCGGCTGCCTTGTATACTTCAGGCTCCAGCCAGATTTAACCCTGAGTGAGTTTTGCATCCAAATGCCTTATTCTTTCCTTTGGACATTTCTAGTCTGTTTTTACCTAGCTGAAGGGCACCCCTCACTTCTCTGTCTGCCAGTATCTTTCCCGTATTTCAAGGTCAGAGCAGAAATTTCCTCCCCTTCTTTGATGCTCACCTGCCATCCTAACATGGGATCCAGCATTCAGCATTCATTGCTCTTTCTCCAGTGCTCCCACTGAACACTTCCTATACCTATTCAGCCATCACCATCCCTGCCTTGTGAAATGTTGGTCTCCATGTCTTATCTCCTCCCCTGGATTTTAAGCCCATTGATGATAGTGACATTTGCTTTTTCATCATTTTATCCTTGAGAGTATCAGATGCAGAGCTTTGCATAGTCATTACTTGATATTAGTTGGATTATATGCATATATGACTTAATATTTCCCACAGTGTCCTGGACAGCGAAATAAATGCCACTTGAACAAATGCACAAAGACACACACACACAGTTTCATCAGTCTAAATATCCATATTTGTGGCCTGATTACCTTTAGCATAGAAAATGCCTTGTTGAAGGGGAACATTGGACTCAAGTGTACACCAATGAGGACAAATGAGAAAGCTTCTACTCTCAGTCTGAAATGTCACCTTTCTCATCTGCATGTAAAATTGGGAGGCTTTTGTCCAGTCATATGTTAGAAAAGTACCAATCTGTTATAAATCAGGATGTTCCAGTGGCCACTGAAGATACAACTGAACTCTTAAGGATAGATACTGCTACAATGTTAGTGAGTTCTACTGGGACTTGTATAACTAATGATAAAATAAAAAACAATTGGAAATTTTTCCTTTGGTCACTCCTGTGAAAGGAGGCTATTCCTGTTTGATTGATTTATTTATTAAACAAGTATCATCTTCTTGTGCCAGGCAATCTGTGAAAGACTGAAGATATAAAGGTAAATCATCTGTGGCCTTGCCCCTCAGGGATTTATAATCAGGAAAAAAGCCTGAGAAAGCAAAAGGATGTGTTCAAAGTCTCAGGTGAAGTCAAGCCCCGAGGATCTGACAAGCTCTGAGACACATCAGTGAGTTTGCCCGTTAGACCCTGCCATCTGTCCCCGTGTGAAATATTTGCTGTAACTCCTTTCCATGAACTGCTTTTGGTTTGAATGACCTTGGAGACAGCCTGAAATCCTGAGCTTGGAAGGGTGCTCTTAGCGTTACTGGTCTGCACTTATAGCCTTCAAATAGAATTTCCACAAACCTCTAATTATCTCCTCTTACCATGCTCCCTAAATGACAGACGACCAGCTCTTTAGTCACTCCAAGAACGGATTTCTATTCAGCCCATGCCCGGGATGCATTAGGATGCCCAGAACATGTGTGGCTGCTCTGAGTGGCACAGAGCAATTAACAGAAGCCAAGCAATTTGCAAAATGCCTCAACTTCCTGCTCATCTCGAAGGCAGAAAATTGTCAAACCTTAACCTCAGGAGGCTCATCTGCAGAATTACACCTCCCCCACCTCAAAGAAGAAACTCTGGTGTCAGATTCACCCCCTCCTGCTTTTTGCAAACATAAGCACTCGGCTGCAACAACAGCTATGACTCAGTTCCTAGCTAACGCTGCTTGAATTGATTTAGTCTGAGTTCAGATTTAGCACATAATCATGTTCAATTTGCTCCACTGCACTGCCTAGAGATAAAAGGCTTGGAGAAAAAAAAATAGCTTCAGCTTGTGTCAGTCTTTGTGGTGATGTCATTGCCATGAGCGAGCCGGGCCGTTCGTTACTCTGCTGTGCTGCCTCAGACGCGGAGGGCTGCGTGCAGTGGGAGCGGGCTCCAGGAGCCCGAGCCTCCAGCCGTCCCCAGAGCAAGGCAGCACCGAGGCCTGGCCACAGCAATATCCATCTGGAAGCTCTTCCCTTCACTCCCAACTCTGAGGTTGCCTAACTCTTTATTAAAAATTCAGAAGGGGGAATGCCAGCCCCTAGCATGGACTGTGATGTTTCCACTCTGGTTGCCTGTGTGGTGGATGTCGAGGTCTTTACCAATCAGGAGGTTAAGGTATGCACCTGCAATCTTATTTTTCATTGTTGCTGTTACTGACGCTGCTTGGCAGAGCCTTTTTAGCATGAAGAAATAAGACTTTGGTTAATAGTTTTCAGCTCATAGTCTGCGCTAGAAATGCATGTAGTGAGTGCATGGCTGCATTAAGTAGAATAAGTTGGAAGAGGGACCAGCATATTATTTTTAAATATGACAAGGTCTGCCATTGTTTCTTCTTGTCTTTTTTATTAGGTAATCCCTGGTCAGTCCTTTCTGAGTAGACACATTTTCATATTCTCATATTGTATCTTTGTCAATAAGGAGAATTTTCCAGCCCTCAATGTCAAGAGGGATTTTGAATCAATGATTACATGAAGAAAGCACACATAATAAACCCAGCATCCAGGCCAGCCTGACAGTGGGGCAATAACCCTTTCTGGCATGTCACTTAAATATCCTGTGATGTGGTCTTCAAATTAAACAATAGCTGTTCTACAGATGGCAGTTTCAGTCCCCAGCTTTCTGGAAATCAAAGTTGGAGAACAGCTGCCTAAATTTTCTTTGTCAGGCAAAGAAAGCAAGTCATTTTCCTTGAGCAGTTGTTCATAAAGTTTAGGCATAAATATTTCGCATCTTAAGGCTTAGTATTATACATGCTGGTCCTCACTGATTGCCGGCAGCAGTTGTTGACTTGTCATAGGTAATCGTCCTCTGATGATATTCATTCCCTTTTATTTTCCATTTGGCTTTATATTATGGAGAAGATGCCAGGCTTGCAAAATGGAAATGTTTATTTTTTCTCTCATATTTAATAGAAGAACTAGCTGAAGCTTCTTATTTAAACAGTTCACTCACACATATACACGCACAGAAGGTCAGTTGTTCATTGTGTGGTGGGAGGAATAAAAGGTGAATTACATTGCATAATCATTTACCATCCTTGCTTTAGTCTTAACTTAAGGAAAAACCCTGAATTCTTTATTGTTGGGTGTGCAGGTGACACCCTGGTGCTTTACAGGTGGGGATTTATGTGTTCTTGGCATAGCACATGGCTATGTCATTCAAGATTGCAGCTTTAACAATCTTTTGAAATAGATTTGATAATCTGGCATTTTGTTCCTGAATATTTTAAACATGTAGCCCTGTATTTACTAATTTTTGTGTCAGTGCCATGGAAATGTCTACCACCTGTCATATGAAGGTTCAGAAAATAAGGACATAAAGGTTTGGCACTGTCTGTGATTGCATTGAGAATGGAAACATGCATGCAGAGACCCACAGTCCTGCCAGTCGTACTTCCATAGCACTTGAGAAGGGAGAGCAGTCATTTAAAGCCAGCGTCAAGTCCAGTGTGGGTAACCAGGTAGAGAGACATCTTCCAGTAACCACTGGAACATAATTCCATCTATGGAGAATAAAACTTCACAGCTCCCTTCTGTCCTCAACAGTTATCTGTTGTTTACACACTTGCCCTGAGAATGTCATAAAATATTCTAAACTTTATTCGTTTCAGAAAAGATAATGAGAAAATATTTATTGGAGATCTGCAACATGCCAGGCATTGTGCTTATATAGGAAAAAGTTTAAAATATGCTTATATGGCATATGTATCTATGATATAGCTATAAAAATAACCAACTGCCGAAGGTTTCTTTAAAGACAAAGAATATTTTGTGGAATTAAGAGGATACAAAGTTGTTACAGCTGGTTGTATGTGAGTGGTTGGGGTGGTTTTATGGAAAAATGATACTTAAAGATGGGTAGATTTTATACAGAAAGAGAGAAGGCACAGCATTTTGCAGTCTAGTGAGTCAATTCTTTTGACTGCAGTAGGTTCTCTATGAGAGATTAGAGGCAAACGGGAAAGGAGGTGAGTCAGGGCTAGATGGTGAACAGCTGATGCTGTTCTTCATAAATTTATGAGGTTTTTCGAGGAAGACTGTTACCAGAAATATGTGCTACATGTATTTACTGCCAATAGCTCTGAATCATCATGGGCTTTTTTCTTTTCTTTTTTTTTTTTTTAGAAAGGTTACCTAATCTTTCTGGGCCTTAGTCTTCTCATATAATGTGAGAATAGTAGTAATTTCTACCTTATTAGCTTAGAGACAAGAGAATTTTACATGTAGAATAATTAACACAGTGCCTGACTCCTATTTAATGCTCAATAAATGTTAGCTATCACCATCGTCATCATTGTCATCTTTGTAGGCACTCTCTGAAAGTGATAGGTAACTTTTACCAGTTTATCAGAATGTCCTAAATCCAGCTGAGTTTACAATGACAGTCTAGCACACAGAAAATGTTTTCCCTCCCACCCCACTCCCAATACACACAAACACTCTAGCCACTTAGAAAACATGGCTTTCCATTTTTGATATTTAATCATCTAATGTAAAGCAGTAACATTATTAAAAAGCAAAGATCTACGTTGTGCTTATTAAAAAGGGGGAAAATGAACAAATTAAGGTGGGCCAAATGTTATGTGTTAAGAAAACCTGCGCTCCTTGTTCAAAACTGACCATTACTCTTATCACGAAGAAAGGTTCAAACGTAAAATTCTAGGCACCAAACAAAGCTTCCCCAAAGGTATCTGTCTTCTTCATTCATTACTAATAACTGGTGGAGCCAAGAGTTCCTTCTTCAAAATCTTTAAGGTTTATTGTCAGAGAAAAGGGAGGCACATGGAAAGGGTCTGTCTCACCTGCTTACATCCATCTTGCTTAATCTCAGTCTTGTTTGTTTAATAGGCATCCCCACTTTCTACATGTAGCCCCCATGGGCAAGCAGCCATACTAGGGGGATGCAACCAGCAGGCCTCCTTCATAAGTATGGGAGTTTATTTGAAATGGGTAGAAGCATCCACAAATCTAGTTTCCCATAGTGACACAGAAAGCCTCATCCTCCAGTGTGGCTCTCAGCTGATTGTATTAGGGGCCCTTCTGACTCCAGTTTCCTAAATTTCATCAAAGCTGCTCAAGCAATAATACTAAAAAGAGGAGGAAATCAGACAAATGGAATTCTGCCATATTTGGCTTTCTCTGGAAATTCCATTGGTGGTGTTGTGAACTTAGCCGTCTGTTCTGCAATGTGAGAGTTCTCAGAAAGATCTAGAAGTTGAGAGCCCTCAATAGAAAATGCTATAGGGGAACTGCAGAATTTCTGTGTGTGTGAATGTGCAGGGTTGATGTTCTCCAGTATTCTCATATTTCTGAAAATAGTCTACCCACTCCACAAAGAGCCAAACCCTTGGGAAAATGAAAGAGATCCAAGAGATTGGTAACGAAATTTACATTTCACTTTAGTCCAGTGGTTCTTAAACCTGATTGCACATCGGTGTCCCCTGGAGATCTTTTAAAAATATTAATGTGCCCAGGCCCCACCCCCAGAACTTTTACCTGGCTGGTCTGAATGGAGCCCAGGCATAGGTAATCATATAAAGCCAGTGTCTTGTCTCTTTCAGGCACAAGTAGGTACAGGTGAGGTCAGCCAAGAATTGTCTAGAGTAAGCTCTGCTTAAGCACTTGGATCCTTATCTCCCCAGCTAAGACTTGATGTATGCAGTTTTAAAAACGGTATCTCTGAGCTGTCAGAAATGTTGACGCTCACCCAACACTTCAGTTCTCCACACCTGCAGTTCCTTCACCTGATTCTGAGCCAACAGCAAATGCTCTTCTTTACTGCTGGCCACTGTGGGGGGCCTTCTCAGAGCTGCAGAGTGCCACCACTCTGCCAGGGGGCATCCAAACCTGGGGCTGCCCCTTCTCTGCAATGGTGGCTTCCTGCACAGAAGAAAGGGTGGGTTCCTTCTCTCTAGATTGGAGGGCTTCTGATTCATGTACCAGGTTTCCAGCCTTGTCTCCATGGGCATCCATGTAGGACACAAGGAATTCACAAAGCTCCCTTCCGCTCATTAGAGCAGGCAGGAAACATGACAAATCTTATAAGAAATACAGAAGCTTCAAAGACCCTTGGCACTTGAGAGATTTGTTCATTCATTCAAAAACATGTGTGGAGCATTTATTACCTACCAGGCAATGCTCTAGGCCTAGGAGTTCGATAAACGTCCCTGCCCTCACGGAGCATATATTCTAACATGAGATGCAGACAATGAAATAGTAAACAAGTAAATATACATGGTAATTTCAGCTAGTGATGAGGGCTATGAACAAAAATGAAGCAGAGTGAGAGATAGAGCATTGATGGGGGAGGAATGGCCACTTTTGAAAAGATTGCCATTGGAAACATCTCTGGGGAAGTGACAGTTTATTAAATGTCATTGTTTCAATGTCATTCAGAGATCTAAAGAAATTTAGAGAGCCATGTACAGAGCTGAGAGAAAATCATTCCACATAGAGTGAATAGTAGGTAGAAAGAGAGGCCATCTTAGCCATCTTATCTGATGTGCTCCTACCTAGTCCCCCCACCAGCACTATTTAACCTGTTTCAATCATTCATTCATTTAGGTACCCATTGAGACGGTCACTGTCTCAAGCTATAATTTATTTTTTTAAGGAGACTCTTTTTCAGAAAACTGTACTTAACCTAATTCCCTCATGCTACGTTTTAAGCCCAATAGCTCTCTTAGGGTAAGGGTAAATACAAGTAGAAGTGTGTTTTCAGCACAGTAATTCTTCATATGCTTGGAATCTTAGGATTGCTACAGGACAGCTCTTTTCTCTTCTGAAAGGCCAAGGCCTTTTTAAGGTCACTCATAAATCCTACTTTCTCTCCTCTGCTTTTGAGAATTTCTCAACATCCTCCCAATCCATGTGACCTGGGACAATCTCTTAGCCTTTCTGGATGCAAAATAATCATGCTGAGAAAAATCCCCTACTGCTCTGTGCATTTTATTTTTCTTTTTACACGATAGTATACCTGACTGAGTCAGAGTCTATTTGTTTTATGCTGTTGTGTGAGTTATGAAAAAGACCAGCACATCATGGCCACTGAGTACAATGAAATCTCTCTGTCATACAAACCACTGGACATTTCAAATCACTTGTTTTGTATGGTGAGAGTGATAGGAGGAGAAGGATGAGGCTGAGTTGGTATGATGCACTTTGTACTCTGCTTTGAGGAGAAACAAGTGACACAATTTAGTATGTGTCACTTGTTCAGGAATTGTTTTGGAAGAGAAACTTAGGTGGGTGTTGGTCAAGAAAGCTGGTTGAACTTCATGCCCATTTCTTAAGTTTTTTGCGAGCACTAGGGTAAGGATCTGGGCACAACCAATCATGACCTATGGCTCTGCAGAGCTCTAAAGCTCTTTAAGAATTTTCAAAAACCATTGTGTTCACTCAGTAACTTAGAAGTGTTTGAGTTGTATATGATTTAATCCTCAGAAATGGTAAACCCTCTAGAGGTATTCATGGTAATTAACGTTCAGTAACCAAAACGTGAAGTCAACTGAAATGCTCATTCCCTATTCAATGACCATAATAGTAATATTAAAAATAATATTTTGTCATACATCTCTAGACCATCTTTGGTTTATGAAGAACAAAAGGCAGTGTGTGTGTGAGGTGGCAAGAGAGATGGCATGTGTATAACAGATTCTAACCCTCCAGCAAAACAAATGTTGCTATTTCTCCGGTAATAACATGGACTAGAATTGAGGCCATTTTGGAAATAAATGAATTAATGCAAAACTGAAAGTTAAAATTAATGATCTCTAAAACAATTCTTTAAGAACTTAACATTCTTAAATGTACAATACTAAACATTTTCTTGCCTCTGAAGAAAGTAGCAAACATCTTTCAGAGAGAGGGAAGAAATGATTTTATGAAAGTGATACTCCCTGAGAAGGTTCAGAGGCAGATTTCTCAGCCACCTATCACATTTGGTAAAGACAAGGTAGACCGTTCAACTAATAACATTGTTAAGTGGGGAAATCAACTAAAAACTTGTTTATCTGTTTAAAGAATCTTTTAACTGTTGAGAAGTAACAGACATTGGCAGTTGCTACCTCTAACCTAAATGTCAGATATATTAAAACAAAACAGCAATTTTAATGAAAAATTGTTTTCCTAAAGAAACAGATTTTAATGTAAAATTCAGAGAGTGCCATTTGCAGTCTTAGTGATTCTGTTTGAGTCCAACTATCAGTAATTTATATGGGTTTGTTTTAGTACTTTCTGATAAAGCTTAGAATTGACACATAAGAAAGAAAATGATACCTGAAACACTTATTATCACTTTATGTGTTTAGGTGGTAAGCTTAATGGGCTTAATAGGCATTGCAACTTTGCAGTGACTAGCCCAGCTTTGCAAGGAGATCATAAACTATCCAACTCATACCTGGCCTAGAATTTCTTTATGTAAAGGGACAAATGTATTTATGTAAAGGTTCTGTATCCTTTCCCAATGCTAAAGCTAAACTATTTCAAAAATAGAATTTTAAAAACACATGGAGAGGTAATTTCAACTGGAAATTTTGAGCAGGTACAAAGTTATATATACCCATTCCACTCTAGCTAGAATGGAGAGTTAATTGTCAAAGTTTTTGAGAATAAAATGTCTACCAAGTTAGACCTTCCCTAGAAAAGGTTCGATATATGTAATTTCATGTTCACCTTTTGGGTAAGTATACCTGGGTAAAACATATGTGTGTACATATATGTATATACGGATATTATACACATGTGCAAATGTATGTATAACATGCATATTTACTATATATTTCTCTTTTTTTTTAACCTTCTGTTACCATAGAAGGTTTTTTCTGGATCCTCTACCTATTCTACAATGGCACATCTAACTAGTTAATGGTAATTGCGTGCTTTTAACTACATCAAGGGATTAAGGGCCCAAAGAAGATTCTTGGCAAGTGAGTTGAATAGAAACTTGAACAATTGCTAAAGGAAACTCCCCTGGGAGTGAAGGGGACTAAGAAATTCATTATCTTCTCTTTTTATTGTTATATACCATAGCAGTGTCCACATCCTTACAGTCTAGTACTACAACAGTTATTCTTTCCAGAATCTAATATATCAGCTCTGAACTATACTTTTTTTTAATGTTTCAAAAAGGTCTTGATCCTTTAGCTTCCAGAAAGATGACTTTAACCTATCTATGCTTCTGTTAGATTGGACTATGTACTAACTTTCATTTCCTAAAACAACATCTTCAATAATGTTTTATTTGCTCCAACAATAGGATACTTTGCTATTTAATTGTAAGATTTTCTTCCCCTACCTCTGGTAGTTCTATAGAAATATGTGAGCAGTGTTCATGCTGTACCCCAAACATTTAACCTCAGGGGACTGTTTACTAAGTTGAGCATTAAACCATCCCACATGTCACCACATGGTGACAAATGTAAGCTCCAGAGATATTCATCTCCATGGATCAATATTATATGTTATCAAGGTGGGCAATTTTAAAACTTCCAACTACTGTTTCCAATCACAAAATTCTTCTAACTACAAGGCATATAACAGGTACTTCATATAATCCCCATTATAGCCCAAGGCATCTATGTAGTTGCCCCATTATAAACAGATTCCTGATATTCAGAGAAGTTACCTTTTTACACAAGATTACACAGCTATTAATTGGCAGAAGTGGGACTTGAACTGTTCTTTCCACTATCGAAATCTCTCTAAGGATTAATTAATAAAGCATTAATCAATTATTGGGGTATAGGCCGGGCGCGGTGCCTTACGCCTGTAATCCCAACACTTTGGGAGGCCGAGGCGGGCAGATCAGAAGGTCAGGAGATCGAGACCATCCTGGCTAACACGGTGAAACCCCGTCTCTACTAAAAAATACAAAAAAAAATTAGCCGGGCATGGTGACAGGCGCCTGTACTCCCACCTACTTGGGAGGATGAGGCAGGAGAATGGCCTTAACCGGGGAGGTGGAGCTTGCAGTGAGCCGAGATCATGCCACTGCACTCCAGCCTGGGCGACAGAGAGAGACTCCATCTCAAAAAATAAAAATAAATAAATGAATAAATAAAAGAAAAGTTATTGGGGTATAAAGCTGGGAAGATAAGACATTGAACTCATATGTAATATTTCATCTGATGCTTAAAACACTGTTTTTGTCTATTTCTTATCAGAAGTGGTGTTATACTACTTGTACATAAATCAGTAGTTGAGATCATGTTAGCTTTTCTTAATAAATCTAATGTGGCAATTGAAGGCATAGCATCTATTTTGGATTTTGTTTTAGAATCTGTTTCAAAATCTAATTATGCCATCTAGTTTGGGAAAAAGAAAAGTTTTCTGGAAAATGCAAGGGTTTCCCTGGTTTGACATGCGCCTGGTTTGACAGCTCCTCCACCTCCTTGCTTATGTCACCAAGCATTTTCCATTGACTCAGTGAGGGATAATCTGTGAAGAATTGTAGGGCAGAGGCAGTGAAAGCAATATTAATAATATTTTACATCTGAACAGTGCTTTCCAAATTATACAAAACTCAGCTTTTTCACAGGAAACCTCCAAGGTAAACAAAGCCACACAACTCATAATGGGAAAACTTGGACTGGGATTCTTTCACAACACAACACAAGATCTCTTGGTGTATTATTATAGCCTGCATTATCAGTGCATCTAATAGAATTGATTTCATCTTCTATGACTTTACTGTGCCTTTGGGTATTGACTAAGAAAATCTCAGCCTACCTTTCCTAGAACAGGACACATAACCCATGAGCAAACTTAATAATAGCAACAATGTATTGAGCACTGACTATTTGTCAGGCACTATAGAAAGCACTTTTATTCATTCATTCAGCAAATATACATTGAATGCCTTCTATGGTCACGGCCTCAGATTAGGCTCTGCAGATATAGGGATGTATAATCCCATTGGATACAAAAGCCTATGTAGTGCTGGCCTTTATTCTCCTCAGTTCCTTTTTCCCCAAAAAGGATGATGCTGTTATGACCTCTAAAGAGGCTTCCTTTGCTGACGTAGGGCATGTGAGAAGGAAGTCTAGTCTCCAGAGTGAGACATCCTGGAGAGAACTCTCTACTTGACCTCTAGGCCACTTGATAGTGTGACCTTGAGCAAGGATCCTTACTGCTCTGTGCCTCGGTTTCCTCAACTACAAACTGATGAAAATAATACTGCTTACCTCATAGGTTGGTGGTGATGGCTAAATGCATTAGAGTATGTAAAACACTTAACATAATGACTGGCAGACAGAACACATGCAAGTAATGTCATTCATTACCATCATCATCATCCTCAGTAGTAGTGGACTTTGTACATGGAATTCTAAGTTTTCTTGCCAGGGAAGTCTACCTTACTTGCCTCTCATTATATCAAACTCTTCCCCTGCAGTTTTCAACTCATCTTTGCACAGGGGCAGCAGTGCCCTCACCTCAGGGACACTCAGAGGTGACAGAACCCTACATCAGAAGGGACTGGCTCAGTTTGGGAGTGAGGAATTACAGGCCCTCCCAGGGAGCAGAGATGCTGCAGTTCTTCTCAGGCTGTGTCTCTTCCAAACCTCTTTTCTTGTCTCTTCCAAACCTCTTTTCTTGTCTCTTCCAAACTCTTCCAAACCTCTCTAGATAAGTGTTCCCTGTAGAACAGGAGACAGCAGGAAATGAGGGGCCTGGATAAACAGGAAGTATCTTCACTGTAGCCACAAGGGGATGTTGTGGAATGAAGCCTCCAGGAAGTTGCTGTTGTTGACTCAGTTAATGGAAAGGGAAGCAGCCTGAATGAAAAAGCAAGTGTAGAACCCCCTCCCTGACCCCACCAGAATTTAGAGACTCCGTGGCTCCTATCACACTCAGAAGAAAGCCCAATCCTTGCTGTGGCCCTCAAGGCCCATCAGACCTTGCCCCAACAGCCCTGCTGACCTCATCTCCTCTGCACCTCTCCCCCTTTCACTCTGCTCTAACCCCCACTTCCTGCCTGTACCAAGCATCCCTTGGAACTTGCCTTTGCTGTGCCCTCTACCTGGAATCTTCTTCCTTCTGGAGCCTACATGGCTTGCTCCTCACTCATCATAGAGCTGTTCCTGACTACCACACCTACACAGACCACAGGCCCCGCTCCACCCCTCATCCTGCCTTGTCTTTCAACACAATCACAAGATGTTGTATTGTGTGTTCATGTATTGGCTCATTGTCTATCTCCACTCACCAGAATGCAAGCTTCATGAGGGCAGGGGCTTTTCTGTGTGTCTACTGCTGCATCCCTAGAGATGCATATGGTAACATGGAGAAAATGTGTGTTTACAAATGAATGATAGACTCCCATTTGCAAACCCTAAAACATGCTGCTAGACCACCTTCTTTGAAAAAGATGGCCTAGATTTCTAGATTCAAGGCCAGTTTTAATAAGCATTCAGACAGAGTAATGTGCATAGCAGAATACAGATGTTTTGAGACAAGATCTGGCTCTATCGCCCAGGCTGGAATGCAGTGGTGTGATCTTGGCTCACTGCAGCCTCCACTTCCTGGGCTCAAGTGATGCTTCCATCTCAGCCTCCCGGGTAGCTGAGACTAGAAGTACACACCACCATGCCCAGCTAACTTTTGTATTTTTTGTAGCGACAGGGTTTTTCCATGTTGCCCAGGCTGGTCTTGAACTCCTGAGCTCAAGCGATCTGCCTGCCTAGGCCTCCCAAAGTGCTAGGATTACAGACAGCGACCACACCCACACAGAATACAGAAGTTTTAAGGCAAGATGCCCATGAAGGAAAAGAGAGGTTGAACTCAGAACCCATTTCTTTAAAATATATCTAAACACCTTTCTTTGGGCAGGAATTTTACATGGAGTTATGGACTTGTTTCACCGCAGTAATGCTTAACTATAATTGTAATATTTACAACATTGACCTTCAATTTCCATTTCTAGTTTAAAACAGTGGAGATAGGTAGAAATTAGATTAATTGCCCAACTGAGTTCAGTTTTTTTTTTTGTTTTTTGTTTTTTTGCTTAGGAGGCATCTTATCCTAAAAAATCTCTGTATTCGGCCATATACACCTACACACCTACTCTGGCTGCTTATAAACTTATATCATAAAACTAGTAAACATCTTTTTTGTGGTTTTTTTTCTTTTCTTTTTTTTTTTTTTTTTTTTGACAGAGTCTCACTCTGTTGCCCAGGCTTTAGTGCAGTGTTGCAATCTCGGCTCACTGCAACCTCTGCCTCCTGGGTTCAAGCAATTCTCATGCCTCAGCCTCCCAAATAGCTGGGATTACAGGCATGTGCCACCAGGCCTGGCTAATTTTTGTGTTTTTAGTAGAGATGGGACTTTGCCATGTTGGCCAAGCTGGCCTCGAACCCCTGGCCTCAAGTGATCTGCCTACCTCAGCCTCCCAAACTGTTGGGATTACAGGCATCAGTCACCACACCCAGCCACTGGGTATGGTGTACCCATAATAGTAAACAATTCCGATACTAAAAAACAAAAAGAAAAACTAAGCTAAAAGCCCCCCACTATTTGTTGCTTGAATAAATAAGAGTAGATTTGAATTATTAATGAGCAAGATAGTGCATGGTGTATTTTATATTCTCACTGTATAATGAAGTACTCCATTTGTAGTGCTTAGCAAAATAGTATTCTATATTTAAATAATTCTTACATATTACTAACAACAGTTAGCATTTATGTAGCCTCAGAAGACTGGAACTCACTTTGAATGAATGTTGCCTCATAACACCTCTTTGATGTAGTCAGGAAGTATATGATTCTCTCAATGAGAAATTCTGGTTAGAAGAGTTCCCCAAATTATATAACAAATCAATAGAGGAGAGATACAAGTTTGCACATTTTTACTTCACGTTATGATTGTATAGTTCTTGAAGTTGGAACCAAGAAGCCATTTGTTATAAAGGTATAATGGAAAGCAACTTGTTCTTTGGAGGCAGAAAGACCTGAGTTCAGGATATTTCTTATTTAAGATTTTCCTTATATGTAAAAAGAAGATACAAATTTAGGTTGAAGGCTATGGGATATAGGTGATCAATAAATAGGAGCCATTATTCCTGATGCCCTGGTATAGCATTAGTGAGACAGTCCCACTTGAGAAATGTGATGGAGCACTCAGTGTGTAGTAGGTACTGCCTCCAGACATGGGAATTCAGGAATGTGAGGCATGCCTCCTGCCCTCAGTGAGTCTCTAGGCTGGTGAAGGAGTACAGGTAGTAAATAAGTACATAGAGAGTAGAACATAGAGCGTGCCATGGTTTGAGTAAGCCCAGTACACTATGGAAGCCTGTAAGAGAGTAGTCTGGGATGAGGAGGGAAGGCTACCCCAAGGAGGTAACCCATGAGTTACAGCTTTATAGGTTAAGTAGGAATTTGCCAGGTGAAGGAAAGATGGGAAAGGAAGAGGCCTACACTAAAGCAGAAATGCCAGAGAGAATGGTGAACTCTAAGAATTAGAGTCCTGGATGAACGTAGTATTACACAGAAACTGGGGTCACATTATGAAGGAGTTTGGGTCTTATGTGCAAGTCTAACAGGATTGGGTCATGGGAAGCATGTTCAGCAGAGGAGTGGCTCATTGCCTAGTCTGACTGGAAGTCCACTCTGGCTGGAGTGTGAACTGTGACTGCACTAAGGCCAACATGCCAAGTAGGGAGCAGAGCCACTTGCAAATACCTCTCTATTAACAGATGAGGAGGCGGCTGCAGTATTGCAGCCAGACCCGATGAGGGCTTGTGAAACTGCAGAGTCCCAGTATCCTTGAATTATGTTGATTGCCTTCTAGTTAGTCTTCTGTCTTTCCTTTTTAAAGAAGAAAGAAGTCAAACTAGAAAAGCAGCCATCTTGAGGATATGATTAAGTTGCCATTCAACAAGGGTAAGGTTTCTGGGGAGACAGGCATATTTGTTGGCACTACACCTAAAATATTCATGAGGCACATTTAGTTCAGCAGGAATATTGTGATTGTCTTCCAGAGAAGAAGGTCTAAAATCAGAAATCCAAACCCTGGTTCCTGCCCTGGGGAATCACTTACTCTGGGCAAGGGAGACAGACTTACAAGCCCAGACAGATATCCCTTATCTAACTGTTCTGCCCTGATTCCTCCTCAAATTCCTAAAAACTCGTAAGTGGAAATTCAGTGATGTTAAATGCTGGACTTAGAATATTCTAGGCACCTCCTGAGAGCAAATACACATGCACATACATAATAACATCTCAATGTTATTGCTAAAATATTTTCATAGGGGCTAAAACTCCCGAAGTTGACCATATACCACGCTAGGAGAAAGAAAAGTCTGATACCATGTCCTTGTACTTAACTGTTGCCATCATAGCACCAGCCTTGCCTTAGCATGGCATGTAACCCATGAGTTACAGCTTCATAGGTTAAGTATCTACATTTAGTAGGTGCTGAATAAAGGTTGGATGAGGGCAGCAGGATGGAAGAAGAGGCGGAAGGAGATAAGCCCCTCTGCCTATAGGGGCAGACTCCAGAAGTTACACATATCACTTCCTCTCAGATTCAACTGGACAGAAAATGAGAATATGGACTCATCTGGACACAAGAGGGGCTGAGAATATCACCTTTTTCCTGTGTGGTCCTATGCCCAGCTAAAAGTCAGGATTCTATTATAAACAGAAGAGGAAGGTGGATATTGGGAGACACATAACAATCTCTAGTGCAGGTGACAAATGAATCCTTTAAATAAATGACCAGAACTCAAGTTCTAGGATTCACATATGCTAAACAGCAATCCAGAGGGAGTTAATAAGTCCTGAAAACACAGTCTTAGGAGAAGTTTGTCAAGATTTCATGAAACAAGGAAGCTTTGATCTGGGGTTTCAAAGGCATGGCAGGTACAAGGCACTCTTCAATCGGATTACTTCTTTCTAGGTCAGTTGGAGAGATTACGGCCCGGTAGGCTGCTTCTCCAGTCCCACTTCCATGCCTTGGCACTTGCAGTTCTTCCATGCTGACTGGGCATCCCATGCACTTACCCTGTTGTATGTGTTGCTGCCATTCACTTAGGTAATTCTGTTCATTTGCAGGTAGATCTCTATTAACAGATGACAGGACCATTTCTGATCAAACCCAGAGTATCATTCACATCTTTTACAGCCATTGGTTGGGGCGTGAGTTGCATAGAATAAACCAGTAAGTTTCTGCTTATGTAGATGTGTCCATCCTCAGCCTTTCCCAACCCTTTTAGATGCAACAGAACCCATGATACAGCCATGGGCTGTAGAGAGACAGAAGGAGGGCTGAACCAGGAGGCAGAGCACTGGGTGTAGTCTTCAGACCACTCACTTTGGGCATCATGGAGAGGGAATGGGATTTAGAGCCAGACCAGCGTGGGCTGGAACCCTGGCCCTAATAGTTACTAATTTTGCAGTCTTGGGAAGTTTTCCCCTCTGTAAAGTATGTATAATAATGCTACTCTTCAGGGTGTTGTAACTGAAATAAGAATGTACCTAAAGCATGTAGGTACTCAATAGATGGTTGTTATTGTTATTATTGCCTCTTCTCTAAATTTTGATATTGAAAATACCTTAAGTTCTACTGAGTCTATTAATGATATTTAGCTCTCTTAAAGACACAGCAGTTCTGCTATATTGAGAATCATCTCCATCCAAAAAATATATGGCATTTTTCTGAAATTCACTTAATTTCTAAGTAAACTTCCTACATAGAGCATCATCCATTTTTGTGAAGGAATAAAAGAAAAATCCATCAGGTCTTTCTAAGCTTCAAATAAAAATAACTCTTAGACAAATTCTCTATAAGGTCACTAATTTTGATGATATCAGTTGCTTCATTTGGTACAACACTGTGCCAAAAATAAAAAATTGTTTAAAACAGCTATTTATTTGCCAGTACTATGGAGAAATAAGCCAGCAACAATCAGTATTAATTCCACTAAGAGATTTCTTTGGAAGAAGTATGAATCAATCTTCATTCTTTTTTTTAAACAAATATTAGAAAACAAAGTTTCTTCACAAGAGTGTTAAGCCGGGACACTGCATGCTTCTCATTCATTCCACCTTCTAATTTGTGTTGTAGAATAGAAGGTCTGAGCACAAAAATTTTATAATTACTTCCTGATGGTATTCCAGCTTCAGATTCTTTCTTGTGCATGGAAGTAAAATAAACTCAAGAGTACCTTGAACTCTTTAATTCTGAATGAGCACAACATAATACCATCTGAATGCTTCAACTTCCCTTGAACCTTCTGCTTTTCTGCTTGATCCTCCTACACAATTATTCCAGGCAATTATTGTCATTACTCAGGCATGGAATCTGAACCCATCTTTACTAACTTCATATTTAAGCAAAACCAAATCTCTTCAGGTCTTTTCTACTTAGTGAAAATTCAGAAACAGTGTTTAAGAACCGGGTATGAATTGGAGCACTTTGTAACACCCAAAGGATGGGAAACACCTTACCTCAAAATCTTAGTCTACCAGGGATGGGTAGTATATAAGCACCATGACAAAGGTGCAAATTTAGTAACTTGGGCTTCCTCATTTTCTTTTAAGTTGGGCAAATGAGGAGGACCAGTTCTATCTAAAAATTAGCTTTTTTAGGCTGGAAGTTGCAAAATTGGCCACCTGCAAGCCAAATCCATAGGTGCATTTTATTTGGCCTGTACAGTGTTGTTTAAAATTGAATTCCTTACTAGTCTTTAAACATAAGTAAGATTTGACATTAAAAACTATCTTCCAAATTCTCTTAAAAAATTGGTAGAGCTGGTATCACTGGGTGTCCCTTCCCACAGACCACCATTGGCTCAACATGAGCTAGGTCTGTCCTTTTCATAGAGCAAGCACTCTCCAATTGAGCCACTCCAGGTATACACAGGGAGTAGTGAGAAATAATGCTGTGGAATGAGGATAGGTCATTGATAGGTCATTCTATGGATGACCTTGAGCACCAACCTAAGCATTGTCAATTAATTGTATGAACCACAGGAGAATCATCAGAGTTTCAAGAGCCATGATTTAGGAAGATCATGGTGCCTCTGGAGTCCAGCCTAGCTAGAAGAAAGGAGAAAATGGGGGTAAGGGAAATCAGTAAGGAGGCTATTACAACTTATTAAACAACCATGTCTCCTTTTTTTAACCCCTCTCTCTTAATACTATGTGAAAATTCCTTAGAGTGAACTGGAAATAATTCTGGACTAAAAATTAGACAACTAGGCTCAAATTACAGGATGGCCCTTATTAGCAAAATGCATGGGCAAGACTTAAGCATTCCAGGCCTCTCTTTGCTTATCTATGAAATGGCAATGAGGGTATTACTGACCTCTCAGGATTATGGTGATGATAAAGTGAGAAAACATTTTAGATAATCTTTGTGGACTATATCATCATTACCTCCTGGCTTCATTTCTGCAAACTTCTCCTGAACAGCAGGCTTACCCCATCTCTTTTCTATTGATTAGTTTTGACTTTACTCAAGTTATTTCCAAGCCTGGAGCTCTCCAGGTCTTCCTGTTATATTGACCTCCTTAATTAAGGCTTTAAGTCAAGATTGAAAGGTTGAAAAGGACTGTAGAGACAAGTAAGTGTCCCCTATTTTATGTAACCATCTCCTCTCCAGTATTTAAGCCTCTCCTTGAACTCCCCCAGTGATGGAGCCCTCAATCCTTATTGAAACCATTTTCATGATTAATCAATTTTTTTTTTCTGAAACCTCGTAACTTCAAACTACTTTCCTATTACTACTGTGCTCCATAAGCCAACAGAGCAAGTCTGCTCTTTGCCAGAAAAGTACTTTTGTTCTTTGAAGAAAGCTGTTTGGCCTGACCACATTTCCAGGTCTTCTTCTCCTGACTAAATATGGGTCTTCTCCAGATAATTCTTTATATGACATAGTTGCAAGTGCCCTCCTCACATCCCAGAGGTCTCCCCAACGTACACTATATTTTGTATGATCATCCAACTGTTCTTCCCCTTTCTCATCTCATTCATTAGTCTTGTGCTTAGACATTTTGGTCTCATTCCACCCTAGACTGTGCTCAAAAGCACCTCTGGCCCTGCCCAACCACATTTGCCTCTCCTCTCCCTTAATCCAAATGTTTCCTCACATGTTGTGTTGCAAAACCAATTTGTCTAAGAGAAGAGTTCATGCTCCTTAGGGTCATTGGTGAAAGATCTCAATAATTAAATGTCAAAAGTTCATATTTGACTATAATAATAATGTCTAACATACATTGAGTGTTTACTACTTGCCAGCCTCTGCACTTAAGTGACTTTCTATATCATCCCTTGGAATCTTCACATTCCCATATATAATAAGAACTGTTAGGATCATCCTTGTTTCACAGTTGGGAAAAGTGAGGCTTTGTGACATGAAGGAGCTCCCAAGTCACAGAGCCAAGAAGTGGCAGAGCTGAGATCCAAACTGGGTTGTCAGGCTGGGAGCCTGCACTCCTCATCACAGCACAAGGCCTTCTCACAGCATCTTTGCCCTGATGCCTGTTGCTGAGGGTCTTTTCATTTGTTTATTTGCTGGATAATTACTTTAGGTCTTTCACAGGATTTAATAGAAAGTATAATTACTGTTATAATTACTGTAACACATAAAGGCTTCTTTCCTTCTTCCAACTTGCTTGAACAAAGCCTCTGAAACCACAGGCGGGCCACCACCATCTTCAGGAAGATTTTCAATAGAGGATTTTAGGAGATGACCTAAAAAGAGGTGGTAATTCAAACCCAAGGTGTTGCAGTTCATTCATTCCTTCAGTGTTCTTCATTCTCCTTCCTTACTCTATTTTCATCAATAGCGCTTGTTTTCTAATATATAATTCATGTATCAATTTTGTTTATTATGTCTCCTCTCACTAGAATGCAAGCTCCATGAAGCCAGAAGTAAATGTTGTCTGTTTTGTTTATTGCTGAATCCCCAGATTAGCATGGAACAGGAGCACAACATATATTTGCTGAATAAATAAATGAATAAATGACAACAATAAAGCAATTTCATCACCTTTTGGATGTAGGCATTTAAACTTTGAGGTTCATTTTTTTCAGCCACCACCATGACCCCCTGCCTCTCTTAACTTCCCCTCACATACACTCTTCAGCTACATACACTCACTCAGCCTTGAAGCCTGAACTCACCAGGGCTTTGATTTCTGCCAGAGGCTTAGCTGATCTTTGAGGCACATACACCCCTCATCTGTGTTTCCTTAATGACGTGTTTGTCTTGAACATTGCGCTTACTGTGTTGTATTATAGTAGTTTGCGTTTGCAAACATCTCCCTGACTAACCTAAAGCTCTTTGCAGGCAGAGACCCTGTCTTCTTCATGTTTGTTTCCCCAGCACCCAGCACAGTGCCTGGCATAGTGCTCAATATTTAATTGATGAATTTAAAATTCTGTTTCCATAGATAGGGATTTGGAACCACAGGGGTAGACACAAGCTAGTTCTGCATGGGTTTTAGAAACAGAAATTGCCATTTGAGGATGGAAGTGCTTTATTCAATAAGCGTTTACTGAATGCCCATCATTTGCCAGGCTCTGTTCTAGATATAGGCTGAAATTAGCAAACAAAGTAGTCAAAAATGCTTTTCTTGGAATATTACAGTGGGAAGAGAGACATGATAAAATGATAAGTTATATAGTATGCTAGGAGTAATATATACTAAAGAGAAAAAAAGTAGGGCAGGTCAAGGGGACTTATGATTAGGGACAGGAGTTAGAATTTTCAGTAGGGTGCCAGGATAGGCTCATCAAGGAGGTGGCATTTGAGCAAAGACTTAAGAAGGCTTCCAGAAACGTTTAGTGAGCTCCTATAGTGAATGAAGCAGTGTGCTGATGCTGCAATTCCAAAATAGAGCTCATACATACTCTAGTGAGAAGACTGCCATGTCAACCAGAGTGTGATACATGTGAGAGCAGCCAAAATGTTAATATAACAGTTTACCAGTAGGCTGTCCTAGAGAGAGCTGACTTTCAATATGTGATGTAAATGTCACCATCACTGCCCTCCTCATCTCTCCTTACCATTCTAAGTTGCCTTATATCCTTTGAAACTGTGTAGAATGCTAGGAGGGTGGTAACTTTGGAAAGCGTGCATTTATGCAAAGGAGTTAGATGGTATCACCCTCTGGGATCGGAGGAACTTTGAGGTGTTACAGGACAGCCATTGGTCTAGAAGTGCTGGTGGGTCATCTTTCTTCATCATAACACAGTTATGGTTGGGCTGGAATTCTTGGAGGAGAAATGTACTGAACAGGCCAAGGAATAGGGGATTTCAGTGGAGCCGTCTGTTGACAACTCTCATCGTTTGGCTCTTTGGACATGGAGACAAGCCAGTCTTGGAGCCATACAGCCCCCTTAGATGCCACACTGCCATTGGCACCCTGCCTACTCCTCACCATATCCCCTGTAATCAGAGGCATTTTGTAAAAAACCACCCTGCTGTGTAGCACACTGGGTGTGGCCACAGCATACTTTCATTACTGCCTCAGGCAGTGCCTATAAAGGTTCTCTCTTGACCACCTCAGCAACATGTACTGAGCACCTTGGCTCACCAGGACTGACGCCAGGCATACAAAGTGGTAATCATGAAAAAAAAAAAAAAAGGTCTTCAGCAGAGAACAGGACTAGGCAGTGATTGTTCGGGCCAATGACTTGTTCACATTTCCAGGACAGTCAACTGTTTAGTATATTTCTCGTATGTTAAATTGGTTTAACTAAGTTCAGTGCTTTGACTAGCTCATGAACCAACATGATGGTCTTGGTCCCCCTCCAGCAGCTGTCTATGGAGAAATATTTTCAGCTCCATGGCTAACAGAGAATCTCAGGTCGATTGTTGAATAAATTTCCCATGTAGCTGATTGGTTGGACTTAATTCATATAATTATGCCTTTTCTAGTAAAGGTGTGAGTCTTTCTTTGAAGTTATAAAAGTGTAAAATTGGCTCACACTTGAATCTGATGAGACAAAAATCAATCAAGCAGAAGTCTTATTTAGTGGCATCTTAGCCTACTGTCTAGCAGAGTCTGAGATGAAATCTTGAGCACAAGTGCTTTAATGGTGACTGGGAGCCAAGAAGCATGAATGGGGGCCAAGTGAAGGGAAGCAAAGAAGGAAGTGGAGCCAACGTGATGACAGGGAATGGAGCAGGCCCCTGTTATGATGACTATCTGCTGGATTCTGTGGAAAGCCTGAGAAGCTACGTGAAGTGTAGTATAGAACCTCCTGTCCAGGGTAAGAAAATGGGAAGCATTTATCCATTAGCTCCCAGCCACCATGCATCAAAGTTTCTCTCCACAGATTGTTAACTCCATGCATTGACTACCAAGTGGTTTCTTGGGGTGCCTGCCTTTGTGTCCGCGGAGAAGTCTAGCATGGAAGGAGCCAGGCACTGATGTGAAGTGAGGTCCTCAGGTTGCAAACTGCATGAAGATAATCAGAATTGCATGAAGTAACAGAATTGGCTATGGCAGCAGGGGCTAGACTGAGTTAGGTGGGACTAGGAGACTATGAAGTGATGCACTAGAAGCATCTAATACAAGCACTGGATAATTCTATTTATTTGAGTCTACCTTGTTCCAATACAGGCATAAGATCGTTCACACACCTGTCATTTGCACAGTGTTCTACTGGGCACCCCCCGTTCTAGTAAATTGTGCAATTGCTTAGTGAGGTGTTAAATACTGTCTTTAACGAAAGAGCATGGGCTTGATATATATCAGACTTGTTTGATGGTTGTTAACTGTTATTTTGTCTCAAGAAAAAATTCCCCTGCCTACCCCAATTGTAAGTCCTTGATTACTGCCTCCCTTCCCCTCCTCTCCACCTCCTAAAAACCACCAGGGCATTCTGTAAGTTTCTCCCTGCCTCAGTACCACTGTGCTTCTTTTATTCCGACCCCTCCACATCTTTCCTCTCTTATATCTGAAGAAAGCTTAATTGTCAGCATTTTACACACTGTCAAATAAACAGACAACTTCTAAATGGCTTCTGAGCTTCCTGAGTTTAAAGATACAAGATTTGGAGTAAGCAAAGATTTCTTAAATAAGACACAAAAATTACTAACCAGAATAGAAAGATGGATAAATTAGACTTTATTAAAAATTAAGAACTCCTAATCATTAAATGGCAGCACTCAGAGAATAAAAAGGAAAGCTACAGTCTGGAAGAAGATATTTGTAATACATGTATCTGACAAAGGACCTATTTCCAGAATATATAAAGAAATCATGAAAATCAGTAAGAGAAAAACAAACAACCCAATTAAAAATGAGCAAAATACTTGAACAGACATTTCAAAAAGAGAAGATATCCAAATGGCAAGAACTATTAGTCATCAGGGAAATGCAAATTAAAGCCATAATTAAACACCATTACACACCCAACAGGGTGGCTAGAAGCAAAAAGACAGTCAATGCCAAGGGTTAGTAAAAATGTGGAACAGCTAGAACTCTCCTGTGTTGCCAGTGGGAGGGCAAATTATTACAACCACTTTGGGAAATTGTTTGCAATATCTTCCAGGCCTAAATCTATATCTACTGTATGATCTGGTATTTCTAATTCTCAAGATAAATGAGTACATATTTCCACCAGAAGACATGGACAAGGATGTTTACAGCAGGCTTGTTCATAATAGCCCCAAAGTGGAAAAGATCCAAATGTCCATACCAAAAAATAGATGAATAAATTTAGTCACCAGTCATCAATGGGATGGATGACTCTCACAATTTCACTCTCAAAATGTAGAGTAAAAGAAAACAGATTTTAAAAGTACATGCTTATCATTCCATTTACACAAAATTTAGGAACAGGCAAAACTAATCTATAGTGACAGAAGTCAGAATAATGGTCAACCTGAGGATTGGAGGAGGTGGTTATTGACTGGAAGAGGGCAGAAACGAGCCTTCTAAGGTACTGGAACCGTTTTAAATCCGGAGCTGGGCAGGGGTTACAATGATAGTGGTTATACTATTTAAGAAGGGACAAGATTGAGAACATAAAATTGGTGACCCATCCCACTAGCAAAGTCTCCAAGGCCTCATGGTCAAGTAGGAGAAGAAGTAGCACCATAATGAGATTGGAAATTATTACATTAGGCATAGATTTAAAAGATACCTGGCCTTCAAATTTTAACTGTTAACTAATTAGCCACGTAATCCTGGGAAGTAACAGTTTTGGACTTGGTTTTCCAATCTGTAAAATGGCTGACTGCTGAGGATATCTCATGCCCCTCCAAATCATAAGATCCCAGTAAGTACACAAGGCTAATATGAAGATATACATCTCGTGTTGGTTCTGCTTGGCTGAATAACACTAAGGAACGCAGGACCCAGAGCTAAAGAGGGAATAGAGTGAAAACTCTCACATTCTATTTAGGGCTCTGTGATGGCAAATCTTGCAATGGCCAGAACTACAGTGAACCCAGAAAGTGAGTTACTGCAGTTCCTGTACCACCACCACCATATGGGTCATGAATTTCTTTCTGCCCCTCACTGAATCATTTCCTGCCATGTCAGAGAAAACCTGCCTCCAACAGTATATGCAGTGGTTGACTGAGGCTCTTGGGAGTCAGCCCCACTTGGGTTTGAAACCCTGCTCTAATACTTACTGTCTATGTGACCTTAGATGGGTCACATAAGCCCCTGAGCCTCAATTTTATCATCCATAAAATAAGGAGGTCACCAACTCCTCAGAATTTTTGTTGTAAGCACTAAATGAGATAAAATCTATAAAAGCCCAGAGCACAGTGCCTCTCTCCTAGCCAATATTCAATGAAGTATACTGGTTATTATTAGTGTAGCCAGTGTCTGCTGTGGCCACCATCAATGCCCCAAGTTTCAGTTGATACCATGTTTGGAGATAAAAATTACTTCTTAATTTCATAAGGTAGCAAAGCAGGAAATAACCTTAGAAATGATCTGGTTAAACACCAAGCATTTGTTTAGGTCCTAATGAGTGGCAAACAATAGAAACTGAAAAGCTAGCTTGCAAAAAGCGTAATTTATTGAAAGAAAGCAGGAGTATCTCATGCAATCACAGCAAATCTAAACAACAAAATTGCAGAATGGCAGAAATCAGGGTCACTCTGGTGATCTGGGCAGCAGAGTCTGCAGATCCTCTCTTGGACATCACTATAAATATGACTCAACTCTAATGTCTCCTGTTACTGAGATCCAACACATCGCTTGATGTCTAATATAGCATTCATACTTAACATGGCCAAAACAGAACTCTGAGGTTCCCTCCTGCCCCCAAAGTCAGCTCACCCTGCCATTTTCTCCATTTCAGGAAACTGTACAATCACCCGCCCAGTTGCTCAGGCCACAGATGGAGCATTCTTCCTTGACTGTTTTCTTTCCCATACTCTCCACATCAGCAAGTCCTATTGATTTCACCTTCACACTCCACTTCTCTCCACTCAGCTCTGACCTTGATCCCATCACCTTCCTTCTTGACACTGCAGTCACTTCCTAACAGTCCCCTTGTTTCTACACTTGCTGTACTATAATCCAGTCTCCACTTAGCAGCCAAAGTGGTCATTGGAAAGCACAAATTGGGTTATGTTACTTTATGCACAAAACCTTCCAGTGGCTCCCTGTTGCGCTTAGAATGAATTCCAAACACATTACCATTGCCAACAAAGTACTACAGGATTCCATCTATTTGTCCAAACTCCCCTCTATGTGCTCACTCCCTTATTCGTTATTCTTCGGGACACACTGGTCTTCTTTCCCTCCTGGAATTATCTGCCTTTAATTTTCTATGTGGTTGGTTCCTTTTTATTGCCTCCCAAGAGAGGTCTTTCTCACCACCTGACCTGAAATAGCTACTCCCTTACTCAGTCACTTCTCATCACTTCACCATTGTTATATGTTCACCATTGCATAAAATCTAATATATTCCTATTTGTTAATTGTCTGTATCCACCAGTAGAGTGTAAGCCTACAAGGAACAAGCTTTGTCAGTCTTGTTCAACAGAGACTAGAACAGTGCCTTTAGTACACATTTAATAGATGTTTGTTGAATGAATGAATGTGTTAAATTGCTTATGAAATGTCAAATGCCAGAGAGGATTTGATTGTCCCAGCTTGGGGAGTAGAATGTCTATCCCAGGATCATTCACCTCTGGCCAAGTTCCCAGGGTCCTTGAGCAGAGGTACTGCTATCTGGAGGGCCATACCTGTGTATCTTTGCAGTCCTTACAGCTGTCTTAAGAGGGCTCAGTCCCCATTTTACAGATGCAGACACTGGGAAGGACCAGAGTGAATAAGAGGCATTCTCAATTATTGAATCCTGTTGGGTTTTATGTTAGTAGGGTATGTTTCATCTGTTCTTGTCTCTTAAATTCAATGGTGTTAACTACATGTTGATAAATATTTTCCTTCATCTCCACCTACTCTATTTTAGCACTAGTGTTGGAATTTTCATTTCCTCCTACAAGAAAGAAATATGGCCCAGATTTTCATGGTGGGACAAGATGTTTCAGTTTTCCCACGCTGATTTTTTTGTTGTTTGTTTTGGGGATTTTTGGCACTTCGGATTTAAAAAAAAAATGACAAAAGAGTCTTGGTGTCCCTTTAGTTGCCACAATCTTAGTTTAGATAACCTATCTCTTTTGTTTTGTTTTGGGTTTTCATTTTTTTTAATTAAGGCTTAGTCTTTGCTGACGAAATCTGAAAATAAGACCTCATTTTAGTTTCTTCTTCTAGCTAAATGAAATCTTTAGAATGTGATCATTTAATAGCAAAGAATGTGCCTAATCATTGACAAGAATTTAAATGTGTTTTTAGCTAGTCAAAAATAATATGCAGCTGTCAGTCCAACATTTCTACTCACTTATTATTCTATTTTCTCTGAACTTCAGCTAAGGAAATAAATGTCATAACATATGATTTCAAAGAATAAAATAAAAAGGTGTTAGTAAGTATTGGTTTGGTAACAATAGAGCATATGAGGCAAGGTATAAAATAAAATTAATTCCATTTTATTTCCTAATTTGATTTATCAGGGATCTGTGGGTTCTTTAATAGAGAGTTAAAGAGATTTAGATATAGATATGGCCATTGTGTATTTTTAAATTTTATATACCATTTCTATCATAAAACTTTAAGATAGTCACTCCATCCTTTTATGATTACTGTTTGTATGTTACATCTTTTCCCATTCTTTGACTTTAAACCTATATATGGCTTTGTATTTAAAATGAATTTTCTTGTAGAGGGCATGTAGTTGAGTGTTGCTTTTTTAATCAATTTGGTAATTTTTGTCTTTCAATTTACTTGTTTAGATCACTTATATTTAATGTAATTATTGGTATGATTGGATTAAAGTCTATATTTTCCATCTTTTTTTGTTCCATCTATTTTTATTCCCTTTTTCCCTCTTTTTTCCCACTTTTGTATTCATTGAGCATTTTGATTATTTCATTTTGCTTTTACTTTTACTTTACATTTGGCTTCTTTTAAATTGCTTTAAAATTTTTTTATCAGTTGCCCTGGAGTTTACAATATACATACTATATATACTTTTAATAATTACTTTATCTTCGTGTATATCATAAAAATGTAATATAATTAGATTCCATATCATTGGTATGATCACCTTATAACCAATTAAGTAGTGAAGCTTCTTTCAGTCCCTATGTATATATATTTTAAAAATGGTATTTGCAATTATAATAACAATTACTGAGCACTTACTGTGTTCAATATTGTATTCCATTATTATAAGAACTTTTATATTTATTGACTCATTCAATCCTCACAATAACCCAGTGAGGGTAGGTTGTATTCACTTATCTTCATCTTCCAGATGAGAAAAATAAGTCACAGAGAAGTCAAATAAGTTGATCCAGGTTTCAAGGCAATAAGTGGTAATACTACTTTTATTTTAGGAGAAAATAACAGGATAGGTTTTCATCTATAAAAGGGGGGCCAGAGAGGGGAAGAAAGCCTTCTTAGTAGCTCAAGTTTTCATGTGAGAAAATGAAGAAAAGCTGTATTCTCAGGACAGGATGGTAGTGGTGAGCCACACTCAAACAATCCCATGTAGATACAGAGTAGATAACCATTATGACTGTTATAGTTGTTACTGCTGCTGCTGCCATAAATCAGTCATCTCTGCTGAAAGTAACTCTGCACTAAATTCTCTGTCATGAACTATAAGTCCTAAAAATGTTTGCATTAGAGGGACCACCAGTACTGGTGCTCTTGAAATCCATATGCATTGATGATGTGACTCTGGGAAATCATGTCTAGGTTTCTACTTCTTTAAGTTAGGTGCATCTTTCTCCACTTTTATTTGAGTTTCATGGGGTATACATGCAGGTTTGTTACGTAAGTAAATTGTGTGTGTCCCATCATCCAAGTAGTGAGCATAGTACTGGATAGGTAGCTTTCTAACCCCCTCCTATTCTTCCCCCACAAGCAGTCCCCAGTGTCTGTTGTTCCCATCATTATGTCCCTGTGTATTCAGTGTTTAGCTCCCACTTAAAAGAGCATGGGGTATTTTGTTTTCTATTCTTATATGAGTTCCCTTAAGATAATGGCCTCTGGCTGCATCCATGTTGCAGCAAAGACATGATTTCATTCTTTTTTATGGCTGCATAGTATTCCATGGGGTATATAAAGCACATTTTCTTCATCCAGTCCACTGTTGATAGGCATCTTGGTTGATTACGTGTCTTTGCTATTGCAAATAGTGCTGCAATGAACATATGAGTGCATGAGTCTTTTTGGTAGAATGACTTATTTTCCTTTGGTTTATACCCAGTAGTGAGATTGCTGGGTTGAATAGTAGTTCTGTTTTAAGTTCCTTGACAAATCTCCACACTGCTTTCCACAGGGGCTGAACTAATTACATTCCCACTAACAGTATAAGTGTTTTAAGTTGGGTAATTTTTTAAATAGAGATTCTCCAACTCTGATTAGTTTGTACGGTATCTACCAAAGTGAGGGAGAATCTTCAGGTCCATAAAAATATTAAGGTTTACCAAAATCTGAAAAATTATTGGTTTAGCATAAGTACTGGTAACATCGCATTGTAAGAATGGAGCCATTAGCAAAGAATACAGCATAAATTGGGATAAGCCTAAGGCAGTTCTCTCAAAATGTGATACCTGGTTTGCTCAATATTGCCCTCACCACTACCCCCAGCCCAACATTAGTTTTATTTTGAGCATTGACATAATATTGCCCTACACTGAGTGACATCTATGACCTCACATAAAATCAGTCATATTTACAACTACGGGTGACTTTTGGCTGAGTTGGAAAGGCATGTAAAATATTTCACAGTATTGAAGGACATGTACTTTTATAAGTTAATTATTTTTAGTATTATTTTTCCCTTCTAAGCTGCTGAGAAGATAATTGCATTTTAGAAACCACAGTATTAATGTTAGGCACTTTGTCACTAAGCAATAGAATAGACTTTGTAATGCAATTTACATAAATTAACGACTCCCTTCTGGTGCATGTTGGATCTCCAGGACTTAAATAAAGCTTTCAAACTAGTTTGATATTTGGTGGAATATTAAGCATGTGAAATTTGTTTCAAAGTGTTTCAGTTCCATTTTCACTCACTTTCTCTCCTCTTTAGAAAGAAGTTCTCACCTCAGACTATTTGTTCTTTTCCTTCTCGTTCTCTCTATAAAACGTTTGGGCCTTAAAGAATTATATTCAAGTGATTTGTACAGAAAACTAGACTTTAATTTGAACTAACTTTAGCAGGAAGCATTCTGAAAATGTGACACAATTCTCTGTCTTAGGAAATAGTTCACATGAAAAGAATGGAGCTTTCTTAGCAACTCAAAGAATTGCAGAGTGTTACTCCTATTTCCATCAGAATGTTTAGACCTGTAGTAATAAATGTTTTAGAATATATAGGCAAATTCAAATTTAATTTGGTCCTTCATGGAATCTGAAGAAAATATGTGTTCTGTGCCTCTACTTGTGGGAAATCCTGGCTCTTCTTAACATTTCTCCTCCCCTTTCCTTTCTTTAGGCAAAGCGGGGGGTGTCTATTCTACCCACCCGGACTGTGCAGTGGTTGTCATTTTAGTAAGAACCCAGGATTCAGGTGGGTTAGCACTTCTGCACCCTCTGGAGGTTCAGGAAAAGCTTGGTGGTATAGGACCCTTTCACCATACCAGGACTAAGAAGCTTTACTGTGATTATTCGCTTTTTGAGAGTATCCTCACTTCTTCATTCCCTCTGAAGTGACAAGAGGCTGTATCTTCTCATCTCGCTGGCCTGGCAGAGCCCATGCTGAGCCAATCAGTGTCTGTAGAGCCTCCTTTTGCACTAAAATTCTTTCTTGCAAAATTGGATGCCCCATGGGGTACCTGCTGCAGTGAAAATATGCCAGTTCTGCAGAGCTGTGCAAGTTCAGGATCAGGTCCTTGAAACATGATAAAGGGACACTATAAGTAGTACGGAGCCTTTATCATAAAGTTCTCTGAAGCGGAGTTCAGAAGTGAGGAAAAACATTTTAGAAGAGTTTGTACTGTTAGGAAAGAAAATGAAGAAGTAATTTCGAGTATTTTTGGTGGATGTGTCTGGGTATAATGGAAAGAGACAGGACCTGACCTCTTGAAGGCCTGGTTTTAAATCTCTGTGTGACTTGCTACCTATTGTGGCTACTCCATTAAAAGCAGAAACTGGTAGCAGAAGAGATTTACAGATTTTTTTAACGTATTGCATAAGAAGGTGATTCAGTGTTTTCATGAATCTTGTCATAGGGGATTGGTAGCTTTTTATGTTGTTGATCTTCTGGAGATTTCCATAACATCATAGACACTTGTTCAAGAAATATGTATGTACAAATAAGAAGCTAAATGGTGGGCCAGATGGCCTCTGGGTATCATATAATTTTATTTCATGCTGCTATTCCTCCCTACCTAATGATTTAATTTTTAATAACATATAGGGAAGATAAATCATATTGAATTTTTAAAATGTATAAATATGAAATTCAATTAGTTACAAAGAATTATATATTATGTAAATGTAACCTTAAGGAAGAAAAGAGAAACATAAGTGTCTATTTATTAGGTATCTTTAAAGTCAGATAGGGCATAATAAGGATCAGTTACACTCTGCTAACATAATTAAGTCAGAAGGGAATATGTGATGTCAAAATATGTCACCAGGGAAGGTCACAAGAAGTATCTCAAAGGACATTGCATTGGTGAAGTCTTTATAATCTAGTGAATGACCCTCCACTCTTTTGACTCAGAAACATGGTATTGTCAATATTCCAAAAGTGGCTCAATCTCTCTGGACTACATGTGTAAACCAGAAGGTCATCTAACATGCAGTGAGAAGTATAACCATCAAGCAACTGGGTATTCACATGCTCTGACCAGCTTTCCCAGTCGGGAAATCAACATGGCAGGCCAAAGACAGCACACACACACAGACACACACACACACACACACACACACACACACACACACGAAGCTATTGGACTGTAATCCCAGGCAGTGTGACTCCCCAGCATTCTTAACCACTGCATAAAAGGTGCCCTTATAATCGATGAACATTGCTGTTAAAAAAAAAAAAAAGTTTGCTCATTTCTGTTCCATAGCCTACTTCCTTGCTTCCATCCTTCCACTTTCATTGAGAACAAATTTGTTTTTGGCCTAAGAGAACACTTGTGTCTAGATCCTCCCTCCTGCTGCTTCCCCAAATCCATCAACTCTCCTGAATCTTCAAACTCTGAATCTTTGACCCTCTTCTCCTCTGGCTCCAACCTCTCAATTTGCAAACTTGCTTGGGTTTCTTCCATCCTAACAACTGATGCTCTTTTGATGCCATGTTTCCTTCAGTCTTTTTTCTTCTCTTAAGTGTTCAGGGTCTTTAAATAGTAGATTTGTCATCTCTCCTTGCTTCCCTGCAGTCCTGCCTTTATCTCCTGCCTCAAAAACTGCTTTTGCTTCCTGCCAACTCTGGTAGACACTTTGCATTCTTACTCTGGCCCCTCTTCAACTTTTGATACAGGTGACCCCTCTCTACTTCTTGACACAAGTATCCTCCTAAGCTTCTGTCAGGCTTTTCTTTTCTGGTGTTCTTCTGTTCTCCAGCTACTACTCATCTCCATTCTCATCTTCTCTTTCTTCATCCTTCCCTCCAATGCCAGTCTCCCAGGTTCTGTCCTGAGCCATCAGCTCATCTCTATGTCTCTCCTACCAAAGTGGCTTCAGGTTTCACATGTATGCTGATGGCTTCTGTCTCTGTCTCAGGCCCAGATCTGTCTTATGAGGCCAAGATCTGTAAATGGAGCTGTTAACTGGATGTCTCCACTTGCATATTCCCAAGAAACAGCCAACAAAGCATGCGGAGGGAGATATTTCCTGTCTTCATTACCTCAGATCAACTTCTCCCCCAAGATCCACCAAGAATTTGCAAGTCACCCCACTCCTCCTTCCTCCTGTGCCCCTTTAGCAAGCAGTATGGATTTTCTCTCCTTTGAAGCCTTCTTTTCTTTTCTATGTTCCTGCCACTAAGTTGGCCCAGACCCACACATTTTCTCTTTTGATTACTGCAGCTGCCCTTACATATGGTTTTTCTGTCTTTATTTTTTGTCACTCTCCAGGTCAGCCTTCATATTACAGATAAATTAATATTTCCTTTTAAAAATGTTAAAATGTGAAAGTGGTATGTGCTCATACTATTTTTCTTAAGCCTTGGACAATGCGTTGGACACATAACAAAAAGTTTTCATTATCTTAAAGCAAATATATAACCGTGGTAAGCATACTGGTACATTTCCTTCCAGCTTTAAAAGAAATGCATGAATAGTTTTTCTAATCATCATTGGGATCATGCTCCATATATCACTTTATTGCTTGATTTCTTCACACAACACATAAGGCATTATCCCATATCATTAAAAGTTATCTTAAAATATGATTTTAATGACCACACTATAGTCTAGAAAATGAAATGGATGAACCATAATTTAACCACTCCTCTATTGTTGAACATTTAGTTTGTTCATTTAAAAAAAATTGTGCTTAAATCTTTAACTCTTTCCTCTCATTATTTCCTTGAGATCAATTACTAGAAATGAAATTATTTGGTTAAATAATATGAGTATTTTTGAATTTTTTGATATACTTTACCAATTGCTTTCCAGAAAAGAGATAACAAATTATTCCCTTTGTAATGCATGAGATTGGATGTCTCACACTAACTAGAATTGAATGTTCACATTTAAATTATATGTTTTCTGATTCAATAAATGAATAATTAAATTTCTAAGTGAAGTTGAGCATGTTTTCATGTTTACTTGCTATTTTTAAATTCCGTGAATCATCTATGCATGTTGTCGGTTTGTCTTTATGTTAAGGTTTCGGTTATTCTGTTATTATTAGTTTGTATGACAGAGTAGTCATTCTGAAATTCAAGCCTTGTCAAAATCCTGTATCATTCCCTATAACTCTCAGGATGAGGTTGAAATGCCTTAGCTTGGCACACGGTGCCCCAATCATCACGCCCTTGACTACCTGACTTTGCTGCTCCAAGATGCACATAAATACAGTACAGGCTATTCTGAAGTCTTTCCAATTCTCAAAAAAAAAGTATTTGTTCTTTATGCCTCATGCTTTTGCAACATGCTCTATTTTCTACTCAAATTACTATTCTCCACCTGACCTCTGTTTTGCCTAGCCAACTCCTGCTCACTTTCAAAATCACTCAAGAGTTACCTCCCTTGTGAGGAAGCTACTTTTGACCTATTAGCCTAAATTATCTAGCCCTTTCTGTGCTCTTACCTGAGCAAGCCTTTCTCATACCCCTCACCACACTGTATTGTCTTTCCTCATAAAAAGGGCAGGTTTTTTGTTTCTGCTTCCCCAGGGCCTAATGGCCAGCAGATGGTAGATACTCAATAAAGAGGGAAGAAGGAATGAAGCTGTCATTCTTCAGCTAAAAATAACTGCATTTGCCCTTGGAAGTTTATCCCAATTTGAATTTCTTATTTGAATATTATAATATGTTCTGGTCCTTCATATGTACAAGTAGAAAGAGCTCTCTAGTATTTTTGCTAATCTATTAAAGCTTCTATATATAAAGTGTGTGGCTACCATATAGCTAATGTCTATACCCACCCATGAAGTTGTAGAAAAATAATTCTTTGGCATGAATTTGATAATCTCCAAAAATATTTATTATTATGCACAAAGAAGTAGAAATTATAAATTCATAAGGTCAGTTATCATAGCATGTAGTTTTTTCAGCTTAATTCCAAGGAAAACACAGTAAGATGCTAAGAATATTACTAGGTATATATCCAAAGGATTATAAATCATTCTACTATAAAGACACATGCACACGTATGTTTATTGCAGCACTATTCACAATAGCAAAGACTTGGAACCAACCCAAATGCCTATCAGTGATAGACTGGATAAAGAAAATGTGGTACACATACACCATGGAATACTATACAACCATTAAAAAAGGATGAGTTCATAACTTTTGCAGGGACATGGATGAAGCTGGAAACCATCATTCCAAGCAAACTAACATGGGAACAGAAAACCAAACACTGCATGTTCTCACTCATAAGTGGGAGTTGAACAATGAGAACACATGGACACAGGGAGGGGAACATCACACACCAAGGCCTGTCGTGGGGGTGGAGGGCTAGGGGAGGGATAGCGTTAGGAGAAATACCTAATGTAGATGACGGGTTGATGTGTGCAGCAAACCACCATGGCACATGTATACCTATGTAACAAACCTGCACGTTCTGCACATGTATCCCAGAACTTAAAGTATAATAAAAAAATAAATAAATAAAAATAAAAGAATGGCAGGATCAATGGATAAGTGGATGGATGGTCAATAAATCTAAAAGTTTACTTGACAAGAAGGAAACATGTTAATTTGGAAAAATAAATTTTTCTATTACCTAAGAATGCTTCTGTGTAATTTCACATTTAAGAATGCTTCTGTATAATCTCAGCAGATCATTTGAGGTTCAATTATATGCTAACATTAAAATAATTAAGCTCTAAAAGGGAAATTGGAAAAATTTTGCTGTGCAATTTAGGGCAACCCCCCCACCAAAAAAAAAAACAAAAAAAAAAACAACAAATCAACTCCCAAGAATATGGCAAAAGGATAGCATAATAAGAATATCCCCAAATCTACTAATTATATTGGGAAGCCAACCTTCACTTTTTAAACACATTTGTCTTTTAAAAAGTTGAAATAATAATTGCTTGCCTATAATCTACTGGATCCACTTGCTTAATTTGGGGGCCAACTAATCTCTCAAGTAGAGTTAGCTAAGTTTTATCAATTGTCACACCCTTCCCTCTAGGTAGCTTTCCAAGCACTGTCATTGTATCCTCTCTCTGTTGAACAAGAAAGAACTGAGGTTGGTGTTACACCAGTTGCCCCACTGACTAATTACAATTTAGTGTAAGAAGTTTGCTGAGCAGGCAATTTCAAGGGGTATCTGCATTTTAAGGCTTTTAATTCCAATTGCAGAATGTAAGAAATTTTAGGCATCAGTAAACTACTGGAAAAAGCTGAGCTACTTGTGCTGGTTGCCGAATACTGTCTGCACATTCATGTCTCTGTATCTTCGCCAGTGCTGTTCTGTCTGCTTAAAACATCATTTACCACCTCAAATTCCACGTACTTTCCCTATGGATCAAGAAAGTACATGTGCCACTTTATACTATGGGTTCCTTCTTAGGTATGCATAGGGCACCACAAAAACTGCATTTCAGGGGCAGGTGTATCCTTAGAAAACATTGATGAGAGAAGTCCTAGCCAAGTTAGGCTGCAGAATCACAGAATGTTTGTGATTAGGAAATGTTTTGTCCTAAGTAAGGGTGATCTTGTCTGTGGGGAAAAAAAAAAAAAGAATGTAAGGGGCATATTTCTATGAATTTTGTTGTTGTTGTTGTTAGGAAGAAAAAGACACTAAATGATCATTTGCTTTCCTTCCTAAAGCACTCTCCACTCTGAGCTTCCAATCAAAGCCCTGCAGTGCCTGGAGGGGGAAATCCCTGAGGGTGAAGTCACCTGATTCCACTAGCATTGTAGGCAAACTTGGTTCCCACCGCTGGGACTCGGTGGCACTCCACAGCTGCCTCCCTTCACACACTTGTCACTCAGCATCATACCTTCTCCTCACTTCCCCCTACCTGTCTTTCCCTTCCTCTCACTCTTCTTGCTTTCATTTAAAAAGCAAAAATAACACCAGTGGAAAAAAAAAAAAAACACTGGCGAATTAACATTTAAATTCTTTCAGTTCAGCTGGATTCAGCTTTTTTTCCCCCTGACTCTGTGGTTGAGTTTTTAAGATATAAATAAAAGACCTCTTAGAAACACAGTGATTAAATTTCTTATTTCATCACGGAAGCTTCCCCTTGTCCTCTTCTACCCTTTCCTAGACCTTGGCAAAGTACTCTTTGCTTCTAAACTTTTAACTCCTGCTGCTCATGAAACTGTGGCTTACCTATTAGGTGAAGGTCATGACTGGCCTGCTGGTAATGGGCTGCACTTTGTGGGCCAGTCCTGGCTGTATTGACCCATGAGCTTTCATGTCAGGGATTGTGAGGAGTGAGTGTAGTATCAATTTTACTATTTCCCATGAGTTTCAATTAGACTTCCAAATTCTACCAATAAATGTTGTAATTTCCTCAAAGTCATTTTACTTAAATCCTATTATCCTGATCTTGCTACTATATTTCTGTGTACATAAGTTGACTGTAGGAAATATAATTCTTTCAGGCTTCCGTCTTCACGGTTTTAGTCATATATCTTTGGCTAGTACCAATTAACTTGACAGCACCATATTAATACTGTTCTAATGATTCATTTCCTTCTATGCTTTTTCTGAATTTTCAAGATAGACTTTGTTCCATTTGGTTTATTTTTCTTTATGATTTTAGGCACAATGATTTACTGATATTTAAGATTATCCTGGAACAATAATTCATTGAAAATATAAGGGTGACTATGACTATTTTGAGAGAGGGAGAAAGAGTTCAAATAAAGTTCAAATGCTGCAGGCTTCCATTTATCACTGAACAGAACAATAAACTAAGAATAGACAAAGTGGCCTCCTGCAAATTTCATCCCAATTATGTTTTCTGTATTCTCTTTTTCTCATCATTTAATATCTCATCCCTGTTTTATGATGTTGTTTATTGTTTAATACACAAGATATAGCAGTTGTTGATTCCACCTACAAAATTAGGATTTATTTTCTAATTTACATTAGTTCATGATTTTCTATGTTTTTCCTGCATATTCTTAGAGTACCAAATGGATAAAATCCTGTATTGGGGCACAGGCTGAGTCACTGCAGAAAGACACCTACAGATGCAGCACCTTACCTAAGATGCATTTTTTTTTTTCTGCATCACTGTTCAGAGGTAGCTGGCAGTCCATGGAGGGTCGGTAGCTTTGCCCCACAGTGTCATTCAGGGATCCTGGAAGCAAGCCCTGCCATGCTCCATACTTGGTCCCACTTGCGGGTCCAAGTTGGCTGCTTCACTTGTCTCTATTTCCCAACCTTGGGGAATGAAAAACATGAAGTAGAGGACAATCTTTAACAAGGAGATTGAGAAGTTTCATGTGTCACTTCCACTTGCATTTCAGTGGCACAAACTTAGTACTATGGTAATACCTAACTGCAAAGGAGGCTGGAAAATGTAGTCTCTAGATGAGCAGCTGTGTTCCCTGGTAAAACTTGAGGTGAGGGTCCTATTACTCAAAGGAAGAATTGATGCAGGGTGTCATCCATAATTAGCAATGCCTTTCACAGATACTTTTAAAGTTAGTTACCTTAATATAGATTTATAAGAATTTTATTTTTATTTGCAAATTGCCCTTAAATGATTCCCCATTTCACTATTTTTCTACTCTTCCTAAACTTAGATGCTTGGTGGGAATGAGGAGCTGTCATCTTACATACTGTCTGTGAAGAAGTATCTGCGTGATACCCATTGTCCTCATATTCAGCCCACTCTCTACATTAGCACATAAATAACATGAAGATAAAATATCTTTTTTCTCCTTATAACAGATGAATCTGGAAACAAACTGATGATTTATTTACTTAGGCATTCCATAGGGTCTACAGTATAAAAAGGACATCTTATGTTTCCTCTTGGGCTTCCCAACCAGTATTAGGCTTAACAACTTAAGATTCTCACAACCCAACTCTTTGCCTCAATAAAAGAATACTCTTTCTAGTTCGTTGCAGTTCACCATAGGCTGTGTTCTCATCCAGAGACCCAGGCCTGGGGGGAAAAAATAGTGAAGTTGGTTATTATCTCCACTAGACAAGTGATGAAGGTCCATGTAGGAGAGGAAGGAAGTTGGCATCAGACCCAGTTTTTGAATCTGAGGTGTTGCCCTGTGCTCCCTGTTAAACTAGCTCTGTCAGTCATAGCTGATGCATCTGCAGCCACCCGTCAGCCCCACAGAATGGCCAGCTTCCCGCATATGTAGCCCCATGACAGAAATAGTTCTGCTTTAAATAGGCAAGTCTCACATGTGTGTTTTAAGAAACTGTAGAATTGCAGAAAGGGAAGGAAGGAAATTAACTAGCCCGAGCTTGATGTTGCATTTACATCATACTTATTTATTGAGTTTGCTCCCTGTTGGGTGTTGTACTAGGCACTGTGGATATAGTGACACAGCTTCTGACCTCATGGAACTTTCAGTCTAGCAAGTTGACAGGCATCAATCAGAGGATAACTTGGCTATGTCATTAGAACTGGGATACAGAAAGAGACAAAGCTAAGGGCATCCTGCCCAAGGCAATAGGTTGCCTTCCTAGGCCAAAAGTTATACTTCGGGGATGAAAGAGGAAATGGAGGAATAAATAACGGGATCAGGATTTTGAGAAACTTTCCTTCACTCCTCATTTCTGCTTCTCTATTTCTTCAGAAATGCAGATAACTTTTTGAATATGTTTAGATAGGAGGGGAACAATAGTTACTAGTCTGTTTAGCCTCAAATCATCCATAGGTTGAGGATTCTCCCCTCTATTAGAATCCTCAGAGGGTATCCATAGAGGGAATATTGAAGGTGGGTGAACTCAAGATCTGCTTTAAAATGGGCAGCTGGGGCAGCCAGCCAGAGTTAAAGCCAGTATTCCCATTCACATCACACCTTACTTGCTGGTGCCTGGGATTCCTTAACGGGAAGGATCCCGCATGAGAGAATAAGCCTCAGAGCCAAGAAAGCTGGTCTACTCTCCAAAAGTTACTGCTATGGTTACTTGTTTCTTTTAATGGTTTAATTTTAGTTGACTGGTTTTTATTAGGTCTTCCCAACAGCCTTCTATCGTTTGTGCAGGTCCTCTCTGGCCCAGCTGCCTGTTGCTGCAACGTGAGAACTTCTGACAGCAAAAAGAGGGAGTCTGCTACTGAAAGCTTGACTGTGTTCTTATTTAAGTCCTTAATTAGGAAGAACGCTCAGGAATATATTCATTGGATGAATAAGAGCAAAACCCTCTCCCCTCCCTGCAAGAAGAAAAGAGAGTGGGGGTTTGGGTGCAGGGAAGGATAGACATTAATATCCTCGGGTCGTATTATTCTTTGTCGTTTACAGCACTTTCATATGAGTAACTTTTCAAATTAGTGTACTAACCCAGTGAGGTAGGAAAGCTGATATCATCACCATCTTACAGATAAGGAAAGTGAGATTTAAGAACAGCTATTTGCTCACAGCACCCACGGCCTCTTCCAGGAATCCCATACTCTTTCCAGAACACCTATAAAAAGAAGCTCCAAGCCAGACCCTGAGGAAAACCTCACAATTTGGCTTTGAATCTTCTCTAAAGAGGTTAAATCTATGACAATGAAAGCCTATTAAATGTGTGTATACTTAAAGATCATGAATATTCTACTTCTGTGAAAAGTTTAGAGTCTAAAATTCAATCAGATGAAGTTCAATGAAAAGGGACCCATAATGGAAGTCATGCTTCTGCTAATGATATCACAGGACAGAGAAATTCGTTTAGTGAAATGTACAAGTAATCTAAGAGTGGAAGACGTGTGTGTATTTTGGGAAGTGGGGGGTAGCACAGAGGGAAAAAGAGAAGGTTTGTGTAAACATTAAACCCTTCCAGGCAGGGGCCTGTGTGATCCATCTTCCTTCACAAAGTGCCCAGCACAGTGTCCAGAACTGGGCTACGTAAGTGTTTGTATAACTGAACAGAAAGTGGAGACCAAGTTCTCCTTTGAAAGTCTAAACAAAAATCCATTTCTGCCACAATGCCATCAGAGGTGTGGTCACTCAGCCCTGCCACCTGTAGAGTCACTCTGTGAACAAGTCAAAGGCCTTGGTGTGCTAGGTGTGTTCTCATCTGTTAGCCTCCGTTTCAGGCAAAGTTTTGTGCCTACCTGAAGGACCTCTTCCCATTCTCCACCATGGCATGATAGCAGGCTCTGCCAGTCACTTCCTAGATAACCACAGTGAGTGAGGTTTCTTTGCCTGGTTGGGTATTGAAGTGCTCTTTCTTTCTTTTTTTTTTTTGAGATAGAGTTTCACTCTTGTTGCCCAGGCTAGAGTACAACGGCGCGATCTCGGCTCACCGCAACCTCCACCTCCCAGGTTCAAGCAATTCTCCTGCCTCAGCCTCCCGAGTAGCTGGGATTACGGGCGTGTGCCACCACACCCAGCTAACTTTTTTGTATTTTTAGTAGAGATGGGGTTTTTCCATGTTGGTCAGGTTCGTCTCAAACTCCTGACCTCAGGTGATCCACCTGCCTCGGCCTCCCAAAGTGCTGGGATTACAGGCGTGAGCCACCACTCCCGGCCTTGAAGTGCTCTTTCTAACTGCCTGGGCATGTCTGTTCTTCAGTCCACAGAGAGAAACTGTTGGAATATTCTCTAGCTTCCCAGAAGTTCTGTACATGTCTTTACCTTCTCAAGAATCATGCCAATCCTCCCACCCCAGCCTGGATAGTCCATCTTTATTCTGGCCAAAACAGAATTTGATGCCTTTCACTTCTCCTTTCTCATATATTTCTGCTATCTGTCCTTAGAAATCAGCATAATTGTGTAAAGATAGTACATTTGTGGGAAATTTTATATCCTTACTTTTAGGGAATGAGAAGAGATGCATGATATATAATAGTGTGAAAAGAAAAACCTTAGACAAATTAAATTTAAGAGTTTAATGAAGCAAAGAACAATTTGCAAATTGCCACCGCCATGTAGTCAAAAAGGATTTATGGAGAGAAAAAAGAAAATGACAAACAGAAAATGCTAGTGAGGTGCAGAAACAGCCAGATTGGGTATAGGTCAGCATTTGCCTTATTCGAACAGTTTGAACAGTTGGAGGCCTTTGGCACAAACTCGCTGACTGGAGTTTATAGTCTGTTTATACATTCAGTTAGGTTACAGTTCACTATGCATGGAGAAACCTTTAGGCCACACTTCAAATATGTAAGGAGGCAACTTTAGGCTAAACTTAATTTTACAATACCTGTTTACAACAGCTGCTACATATTAATAATATTCTATTGGCCAGGAGCTTCATGCAGCTCATCTTTAATTCTCACAATAACCATGCAAGGTAATCATAAATATACCATTTTACAGCTTCAAAAACAGTGACCCAAAGAATGGGCTCCTTACCTAACATCTGTGTAAATGGCATAACCAGAAGTCCAGTCTGTCTAACTCTTGAGCTGCCTCTAGAAAAAGTAGGCCTATGTAACAAATCTGCACATCCTACACATGCACCCTAGAACTTAAAATTAAAATTGAAAAAAGATTCCAGTAACATTAGACAAGAATAAAAACTCTTTTAAAAGATAATACCCAATAATAGCAAAGATCTGGTAGAAAAATAAAATGATTCAATACCAAAAAAAGAAATAAAGGAAAAGTAGGTAGGGAAGACATTTTCATAGTCAAATTCAGGATGTACTTACCTTCAAGCAACTAGAAGAACTTACCAAGAAATGCTTGTTGGTCACCTACTAGAGAGGTCTTTCTCAAACTGACCCATGTATCACCTGCATCTGGGCCTCATCCCAGAACCCCTCGATTAGAACCTCTTTATTTGCGACTTTGCAATTGCCATTGCTAACAGCTCTCCAGGTAATTCTTACATTACCAGAGAACTGTGCCAGGCCCAGAGCCTAGAGCAGTGTTTCTCAAAATGTAATGTTGGACCACTTGCATAAGATCACCTAGAGCAATTGTGTAAAATCCAGAGTCCCAGGCTCCATCTCTGGAAATAGGGTGGAGCCCAAAATTGATTTATATTTTTAAACATCCATTTGATTAAGCATCACATGTTATCATTAATGGTGCAATGGTGGTGAACATTACATGTTGCATAATTTTACGCATACACACACATAACTAGAGATTCAATAAGGTTTTAGGGTATGTGTGTGTGTGCATTTCTAGGTGTAAAGAAATTATGACCTGAAATTATTAGTGAACTAATATTTGAGAAAGCAAAGCAAACATGTATAGATCAACAAATAGATGGTATATATAGATAGTGTATAATCAAATGCTACCTGTGTGGTACAGAATCTGATTTCAGTGGAAGTAGATAAGAGAACAATTAATGAAGGTTGAAAGAATCAGTGCTGTTTTTATGGAGAACGGATGTCTCAACAGGCATCTTAACAGTTGAGTATTTAATACTTTCCCATATCCCATAATTCATGAAGATTGCAGTAATATACTGCTTTTCCCAAAATAAACTACAGGAAAAAGGAACTGTGTCAGCTTTTCAGAGACAGAGCTGCAGGAATACAGTAGGCAGGAGTAGCTGGCCCTGAAATGATATAGGCTGTGGATGCCATGCGGCCAGCACTCCATCACAGTGACTCACTCGGGCACCAGCCTGTTCTCACTTGTGTCTCAGGCTCCCCCCTCAGCAGAAAAGCTTGAGGACCACTTAGGAATAGTCATGATGCAAATGTCAGTTTCTCCTTTGCTGCAGCAGTACCAAAATCTTAACAAATGAGCTGAGTCACCTGGGGAGCTCCTGCAAACTACACATTCTGGTCTATTGGGTTTTATTAAAATTAGTGATTTTTCTTCCTTTTACCATTTTGGAGTTCATGTTTGCAAGTCATTCCCTTCTAGATAGTCATGACATTATCTCCCCCTTCTGGGACAGCAGAAACATTGGAGTGGCCTCACTGGGCTGGATCATTCACCAGCTTTGCAATTACACCCCCACATCCCTGGAGTCACAGAGTGGAATAGTGATGCCCACTCTGCCGAGACTAAATATCCTTACTCCAACCTAAGAGCCACCTTTAGGCTCTAAGGCCTTTCAACTAAATTGTTATTTGAGTTCTTAACCTTTCACCATATTTTGCAATGAGAAGGTACAAATTTTCTGCCCACATTAACTCTATCGCTTTATCCTTTAGGGCAACTGTTCAAGCTATTTCTCATTTATTAAAAAAAAATTATCAAGTATTCTCTGATGTTATAAGCCAAATTTACGAGAATATAATTTTTAAAATTCATACAAGTCACATTTCCCAATTTTTCTAAACCATCTGGCACCTGCAATCTAACCAACTGCCACCTAGATTCAGCAACTAGGTCTTTGGAAAGGTTTGTGGAGTGTTAAAAATCCAAGCACACAGTAGGACTTTGCTCAGTACTTAAAAATTCTACTACTTCTACCACGAGGAAAGCTCATTTTGCTTCTCTTCATTTTAAATCAGTGTGATGAGTTTGTAATATTCATACTTATATTTAATTGCAGTAGTAAAGAGTTATTTTAAAACCTCATAATAAAATGGGAAAGTATTCTAATATCTCAGTTAACCAGGCCTTTGGGAAACTGATGTGTTCAAATTATATCCAAAGGATTATGTTGATGACAACCCACCATCAAGGCAGTCCTGAATATTGAGGACAAAGAGAAAGTATCTTGAGCAAGGCTGCACAGATACCTAGGGAGGGAAGTCAGAAAATCAGAGTTCTTGTCCTTGCCACTGACTTCCTGGGTATAAGTCACTTTTCCTCTGGGCCCTGGCTAATATTAGTTTACATTGGTATGTGTGTACCAGATTCTTGAAATATGGTTGGATTTTTTTTCTTAATTAGAGAGAGACAGGGTCTTTGCTGCCCAGGCTAGAGTATAGTGGTACAATCACAGCCCACTGCAACCTCGATCTCCTGGGCTCAAGTGATTCTCCCACCTCAGCCTCCTGAGTAGCTGGGACTACAGCTGTGTACCACCATGCCCAACTAATGTTGTTTTAATAGGTAGGGTCTTGCTATGTTGCTCAAGCTGGTTTTGAACTCCTGGGCTCAAATGATCCTCCTACCTCAGCTTCCCAAAGTACTGGGATTACAGGTGTGAGCCACCACGCCTGGATTGAATATGTTTATATTGGTAAATATCCTTTACCCAGGGGCCCTGCAGTGCTGCCTTGGTCACTCAGCCCCTTTCCTGAGATTCCCTGGATTTCTCCATCATTCAGTCAGTAAAGGCTTATTGCCTCCCTGCCAGCCCCCGGTCAGGCAGTTTCCATGCAGAAAGATTTCCAAATATTTTGAGCATCACCTGTGCTCTGGGCTTAAGATTTCTTACTTCTGGAATGAAAGTTTAGAATAGATAACCCTAACTCTGGAATGCTGAGGTTTTATGTTGTACGTTTATTATTTAGAGGAAAAGGCAGATTTGACTTGGGGCCAGAACCCTGCCTTTGCCTCTGGAATTGGCTTTTTGGAAAGGTGTAAAACTATTTGCATTGAAAGCCAGGAAGGACCTGAAAGCAGTTCTCTGCCAAATTGATCTGTACACTTTGGCCATCAATAACTTCAAGTATAAGATTACTTATGGGGCCATCATTGAATCATAAAGATGAACGTCTCCTCCTAAGCTCTAGATCAGTGGTCCAAAAACAGGCTTTGGTTTCACAGTGCGATTTAGAAATGAACACAAACATATTCAGTAGATGAAGATAGAGGGTCATCTTTTCAGAGAAATTTAAGGATTAAGACAGCATCATTTTCTCTTGACCAGTGTGACCTTTTGTTTGTTTGTTTGTTTGTTTGTTTGTTTTGAGACAGAGTCTTGCTCTGTCACCCAGGCTGGAGTGCAGTGGCACGATCTTGGCACCAGCCACCACAGCCGGCTAATTTTTTGTTTTTTTTTTTTAGTAGAGATGAGGTTTCACCGTGTTAGCCAGGATGGTCTCGATCTCCCGATCTCGTGATCTGCCTGCCTTGGCCTCCCAAAGTGCTGGGATTACAGGTGTGAGCCACCGTGCCCAGCCCAGTGTGACCTATTTTTGAGGTATCAGTAACCACAATAATAGAGCAGTAACACAAGTTGTATGTTGGATATTTGAGTGGTCTGTTTTGGATAATATATGCTTATTAGGGGAAATGCGAAGTAGTTGTTCTAAAATATGTGTCATTCAACTTTCTCTTCTATGCAATTAAAACATTTTAATTGGGCAGTTTAGGACTTTGCTAGGCCCTGGGCAAATAGGAATGAACAAGACAGAAAGTGTCCCTGACTTTATAGTGCTTCCAGTATAGGTGGTACTCAGTGAAAGAAAGTTACCATTAATGATGATAATGGGAGGCAGATTTGCACAGTGGTTAATGGATGCTAGAGAAAAACTGCTACTTATTAACTGTGTGACCTTGGATAAAGTAATTACCTAGCCACTTATAAGCCTTAGTTTCATTATCTGTAAAATGGGGGCACTAATATTTCCTTAGGTCTGTTAATAAAATCAAAAAGATCAGGCCTTATAATATCTTTGGAACAATGCCCAACATATAGTAACTGTTCAACATATGGCATCTCTGATTATTAATAAATTGGAATCACTAATAAAAAGAAAAATAACAAAATAAGAGAAAAATGTTTAGCTCAGTTCTCTTTTTCAAGCTCTCTCTGGAGCACAGAGGAACCCATTTTCTATAGGCTAATTGATACTGTTTGAAAGCTGCTACATCACTGGTGAGCCTTCCTTTTCTCTGATTAAATAATTCAAATCTCCCTTTTCACTTGTTTTAAAGTCATGCCTGCTTTCTTAACCACAAGTAGCTTCTTATTGTTTGAATACACTTTTTGAAGAGTGGATTGAAACCCATAGCTGCTTAATTGTCACTTGGGAAACTTGTTTAAAACATTCATTCCCAGATGGCAACTCCAGGAATCTGTGGTTCTGATGAGCAAACCAAGGTATTTTCATGCACAGACCAATTGTAGACACAGTTTGAGAAATTCTGCTCGTGACAGCTGGTCTTGCAAACCCCTATAATAAAGGCAGATGCCATAAACTGGACATATGTCCAGGGCTGTTATTAGTCAGCGCATGCCTGTTGAAATGTCAAGCTAATTCCCTACTGCCATTCCTAGGTAGCTGTGGCCTGGTGTCTCTGACTTTTCTTCTCCCCCTCCCTCACTCTACCCCAAACCTCAGCTGCCTGACCCTTTCTCCAGGAACCTCCTGACCAACCAACAACTAAAGAAGTAACACCTAGCACAGCATTGGCCTCTGCCATAGGGGTATGGCTAATGCGTACTCTAGAACTGTACTGATTGATAATATTTTTAACATTGCCTTTGGAAATGATTGATTTAGGGAAAAGATGACATCTCTGTTCCTCAGTAAAATAGCCACACATACACACACACACCCCTACACACATGCCCCACATGTATGCACATGCATGTGTGTCCACATACCTCCCTGAGACATCTCACTAACCACTCTACTAAGACTCCTTCAGTTTAATTAATACCCAACTTCTTTATTGAAGAGGAGAAGGAATGGATGGCACAGGCTTCTGGCCCACTGGTTATGATGAATGAACTTCTCTACCCTGATATTTCATAAAAAGCTACAGCATCTTGGCAGTATTCTCCAAGGCTTCATTGGAACCAGCAGAATCCCCTTTAAAATACAGCTTTATAGGGAGAGAAAGCCCTCTTAGTTATTTACGTTATAACATGGTTATTGGGTATCTGGAGGTGCCTGCTATGTACTCCTGGGAGTTTAATTTGCCTTGCTGTGTGTGCTTTTGTGTGTGTGTGTGTGTGTGGTCTTCTAATCTGAGTGTTCATCCTTACTATGTTCACCTAAGTTTTCAGCAAAGATCCTTTTAACCGTTAAGGGTTGACATCTTGCAAAGGTTCAATGTTCTGGTGTGCCAATTCCTGGCTACAACAGATTAAAGTATTCCTAATACTTTTCTGTTCTCATTTTTAAAAAAAATATTTTCAGGAGATGGTAAGAGATTCTATACCTTTAAATGCTCCCTTGAATGGCCTTAGTTCTGACTTCTCCAATTCAAAATGATTAATCACCTCACTTTTACTGCCAAGCCTGGGATATTATGGCACTGCTCAGAGCTAACTTGGTCAAGAGTTTCATCTTTCCTGGAATTGTCCTTGGTATTTCAAGCTTTGTGTGGGGTAGGCAGCATTTTACTAGGAGTACTAAGGCATGGATTCTGTTCCTAGTTCTACCATTAACTTGCTCTGTGATCTTGACCAAGACTCTGAATCACTCTGTGCCATAGTTTCATCATTAATAAGGATGATAACAACAACCACTCACAGCTACTGAGTTATCATGTGCCAAACACTAACTCATCACTTTATATGCACTAGCTCATTCAGCAACCCTTTTTTGGGGAGTTACTATTCATCAGACACATCTTGTGCATTATCTCATTAAATTCTCATAACAATCCTATGAAGGAGCTGTTCTTATTATTCCTATTTTGCAGATGACAAGACTGACAGTTACAAGGGCAGAATTACTTGAGCAAGGCTCTCCTACAGTAAGTGGCAGATCAAAAAGTTGAACCCAGTATGGTCTGATAACCAAGCCAATGTTTATAGCCACATATATACCATACTTCCCCCGATTCAACTGACAAATGGAGATGGGTGTGAAGAATACTTTGATCAAAGATCCGGAGGCAGGAATGTACAGAGCAGTGCTTCTCAACAGGGAGCAATTCCTCCCTTCCCAGGAGACATTTGAGAGTATCTGCAAACACGTTGTCACAATTAGGGGGATGCTACTGGCATTTAGTGGATAGAGGCCAGGGCTCTCACCAAACATCCTACAATGCACAGGACAGTTCACTGTAACAAAGAATTATCTGGACCCAAATGTCAATAGTGCCAAGGTTAAAGCAAACCTCTCGAGAGCAAGACTATTCTGCTAGTGTATCTCAAAAGAAGGAGACAATTGGGCACTCTTGGTATTGCCTGGTTGCTAATGTACCCACAAATGTCCATCAGGTTATGAGGAATTGAAACTGTCAGGATATGGGGTACAGTGAGAATCAACAGCTCTTCTTGCTGGCAAGCAAGACTTTGGCTTTTATTAATCAAGTTTAATCAAGATGGATAGAATGGGAAGGTCTTCAAACTATGTGAATTCTCACATTACACCAAAAAAATTTAGTACCTATTCAAGGGTAAGAACAAACCAACTAACCCCTGGCTACATATTAGAATCATTTGGGAAGCTTTTTAACATACCATTGCTCAGGTTTCAACCCAAGAGATTCTGGTTAACTTGTCTGGTATGGCCTAGGTGGTTCCAACGCATAGCCAAGATTGAGAGTCTCTGACTATATTAGATCAAGGTGTGCAGTTAAGGAGTAGAATTTGGATGAAACAGCAGCTTTAGGGATGAGTTGATAAGAAAATGAGCATCCAGTACATGGAATTTTAAAATATTTGCAACAGGGTTCCAGAGATGTATTGCCCGAATCTAATCATGAGGAAACAGCAAACAAATCCAAATTAAGGGACATTGTACAAAATACCTGGCCTGTACAATACAAAGATGTCAATGTCAAAGAGTGAGGAATGTTCCAGATGAAACGAGACTAAAGAGAGATGATAATTGTTCAATACATTATGTGTGATTTTCTTGTGTTATAAAGGAACACTAATGGGACAATTGGCCATAATGGAAAGTGGTTTATAGATTATAATATTGTATCAGTGTTAACTTCCTGGTTTGATAATTGTACAGCAGTTATAGAAGAGAATGTCCTTGATTTTAGTAAATATATAAAACATTTTAGAGGTAAAAGGGCATAGATCTGAAACTTTTCTCAAATGATTCAGGAATAAAGTGTGTGGGTTTTTTTTGTGTGTATGTGTGTGTGTGTGTAAAGGATGGGTGGGACAAAAGGATAAAGAAAATGTCGTAAGATATGCATATTGGGGAATCTGGATGAAGGGTATATAGGAATTCTTTGTATTACTCTATTTTTGCCACTTTTCTCTAAATCTTGAAATTATATCAAAATACAAAGTTAAAGTAAATTACTTTAAATGGTAATAAAAGAATTCCTGTCTCCAGAGTCCTTTTGGGGGCTAAGATACTTGTCTGCATTTCATGGATGTCTTAGGTGACATCTTTTGTTCAAAGAAGAGGGAATGGATAGAAATGGGCAAGAGGTATCCTGAAGATTATCAGGTAATTATTATTATTTTATAATGAGGGAAAATTAATTGTGACTTTCAAGCTAGGAGATTCCCCTAAACAGGTTTTCTGATAGAGCTAAGTTACCTCTTAAAGCGCCTCCGTCTTTAAACATCTAATGTCAAGTCAGGTTCATCTAAGTCAGAATAGTGACCTGAAGAGCTACAGCTACTTTTAGTACTTTGTCTCGGAGAATGCAGTTTCCCTCTTTTTAGATCCTTTTATCATAAGGTGGGGTGAGGGCATGGGAGGAGTAGCTACTGAAGAAGACAGAAATAGATTAAATATTCAATTGAGTAAAACCCTTTAAAGCACTCCCTTCCCCATGACCACCCACACCCTGCCCCATCTATGCCTCCCTCTGGCATAAATAAAAAATATTTAGGTGGTGAAAGGGGGTGCAGGAACTGTTCCTTCTTTATAGACCAAAAAAAATTAAGTAAAATTAAAACCTACTTTCTATAAAAAAAAAAAGTTTTAAAAAGTGAAGTCAATGAATGTTTATGGGCACAAAATTTATTGTCTACTTCGAAGAAAGTGATTTATTTTTACATTGTTCTTCATGATCCATTGATAGGGCAACCACCCACCCCAACTGGCCCAGGACAGTTCTTCTGGGTACTAGTCCTCCTACCATAATTATCAACACCTTCTTTTACACTGAAATGTGTCTTAGTTTGAATATTTAGTTCTATAGTCATCTACCTATAGAAAAAGCCATTTCTCCTCCTATGAGAAAATAATTTTTACCAAGAATGGTATTTTACCCAGATCACTGGGCTTCCTAATAGGAAAATTAACAAGATCAGGTAAATAGCCATGTGGAAATCTGAGCCCATTTGTGATAGAACAGAGATGGATGTACAAATAGAAAACCAACACGTTCCACAAATGAAACAATGAAAGACTTGAGAACAGACAATCAAAGGGGACAGTTTTGCTGTTTCTTTTTTCCTCAACCACCATTCTAAATTACTTTTTTGATAGAACAAAACAATGTTTTATTCTTGCCCTTGCAGGCAGAGGCTGCATTGCCAGCATGCATTTGTCTTCCATTTCCACATAAAGGCCGGATAGTACTGATGGTATCTGCTTAAGAACTTAATAAAACTCACACCTAGTTTCAGGGGAAGTCAACCCAGGCATCTGTTTGGAGGCTGCCACTCACCTCTAGCCCTGTCTAGCTCACAAAATGACATACATGTTTGCTGCTCTGTTCAACCTATCTGGGAAGCAAAGGCTCCATCAAGAGGAAATAAACTGTAGCTGATACATGGCCAAGAGGATGATTTAATGCAGTCCAGAGAGCTTTCAGAGCAATTTCAACTCCCATGCTTGAGTGTTGAAAAAGTGTGACTGCAGTTTAAAGTCCTTATGTACGAGCTTATGGGACAGCTTCTTTCAAATACAGACAGGTTTTTGTATTTAAAATATTCCCCAAAGTAGCATTTTGTGGGAAAGACTGTGTATAACCCTTCAGATCTGAAACAGGGACAGTTTGATGGTGACTAGATTAGAGTTTAAACACGTTCTTTATGTTTTGGCCAGTGCAGATTGACAGGTCTCATGGATGCCTCTTTTGATGGTGGGATATTTAAATCATAGGACCACAGAGCTCCTAGTTGTGGCCATACCTTACATACTCCTGGACACAGTTGCTGTTTCTTGTGGTGGGGGCTTGTCTCTCCTCAGAGCTTGTGTCGTGGCAAAGTATACTCTATGATGGGCACTGCTGCTGATGCCCATAATTGAAGGCAGATATTCCGAGGAAACCTCTCATGATGTAATAATATCCACTAGAATTCTACACACCAACCCTGCATAGTTGGTTTTTGTTTTGTTTTGTTTTTAGACAGAGTCTCACTCTGTCACTCAGGCTGGAGTGCAGTGGCACAATCTTGGCTTACTCAGCTCAATGCAACCTCCACCTCCTAGGTTCAAGTGATTCTTCTGCTTCAGCCTCCCGAGTAGCTGGCACTACAGGTGCACACCACCATGCCTGGCTAATTTTTGTAGTTTTAGTAGAGATGGGGTTTCACCATATTGGCCAAGCTGGTCTCGAACTCCTGACATCGTGATCCACCCCCCTTGGCCTCCCAAAGTGCTGGGATTACAGGTGTGAGCCACCACGCCTAGCCCAAATATTCTTCATTTGGGAAAAGAACCCACCTCACTAAAATGGTGATGACCTCATAGTGGATGTTCCTTTACTGTTGTTGCATTTGTGGAACATCTTCCATACTTTAAGAAACTTTCTGGTCGCATCTGATAATTTTTATGTGGCATTTGCACTGATAGAGCATGAGAAATTAACCAAGCTCTAAGACGGAATAGTGGAGAAGAGCCTGTGTCTCAATAGCTGTGTAGCAAAATAAAGGTCTTAGCTCTGTGGCCGTGCTACAAGCACTTTGTCATCACTAGCCTCTGACAATCAAATAGCTTTTCTTTCTCAAGAATAAAAAACTAGGTGATGCTTATACCAAGCCAACAAAAAAGATTTTATGATTTTTAGTGTCCAACCATTAAAAGAACAATGACTTTGGGTGCCATCTGAGTGGCTTAGAGGAGGTCTCTATTTGAGAGAAGATGGTGGAGCCAAGTCCAGTGTTGGCAAACTCACCAACTGTTTTGCATTGTGATTGCATTCTCATCATGAGCTTTAGTGGGGCATAGAGGCTACAGACTTCAAAGGCAATTGGCTCAGGGAAACAAAAGCAATAATACCCTTTATTTTTTGTAGCAAAAATAATATCTACTGTAAAACCCTAGTCTGCTGATCATAAGAATATAATCTTAGCCACCTCAGGGTTTTCTCAGTCAATTCAGACCACTCCCAAACAGATGCTGAATTTAAAACACTTACACATGATTCCTGATCAACTGTGGAAAAAAAAAAAAGGTGATGATTGCACCACTGTACTCCAGCCTGGGCAACAGAGTGAGACCTGTCTCGAAAAATAAATAATAAATAAAATGAAACCCTTATACATTGTCAAAATGTTGAGATATGGTTGTTAAGAGTGACAGTGACCTTGTTTAAATTTAGCCAATCAGTATCCGCCACTATATTCTCAGCCTGCTGGTTCCAGTCATCTGCATATATTCCTCATGGCAGGAAGTGCCCATGTTTCCATTTGCTCCCCTGTTAAGAGGCCACGTGGTTACCCTCCATCTTCCTTGTCCTGGCCAAAGGGTCTCCTTGGGTATCCTGCTCTCTCAGCCTACCTCTGTACCCCTCTTGGAAAAATTCAGAAAGTACTTGGTGGTTCTTCCATTACACTCTAGAACTATGGGAAATCCACTGGGGCTGTCTCGGGACCTCTCTGCCTAGATGTCCACACAACCATGTCTGCTCTACTGTTAACATAGGACATGGGAGAGGGATTCTGGAGGCTGGCTGCTTTCCTGGTCACTCCTCCCTCTCCAGGTGGTGAGGCACAGGTGCTGTCTGTTTCAGATTTCTCAACTCACTTGGATCCCAGAATTTTACCACCCTTTGAAGGTTGTGACCAAGATGGGGCGGGGGGATGCAGAGCCCATACTCAGAGACCTACATCAGCATACAACCTTATTGCTCCCTTCTCTAACTCTCCTACTTTTCCCTAGTCCAGAGAATTTTTATCTTCTCTTTGATGGAACAACTGTTTCTGCAAATATACCTCCAAATATTTTGTGCTAGCAGCTGTACCTTAGCTTTTGAACCCAAGGCCAAGAATCTGACCTTTTGTTTTCTGCTTCCACAGTTGAGGCAGTAGATGACCTATATATAGCTACCTGAATAGAGTAATGGGATTCAGTGAAAGAAACCATCAATTAATATATTCCTCTGCAAATGCAAACAGCATTCCAAAAACAGAAGTTCTCGAGCAAACACTTTCCCCTTATCAAAGGTTTGCAGGTTGAATACCTTCTTGTCTTAAGTAAGCTTTGTGTTAATATGTGAACCACAAACAGGAAGGCAGCCAAAATGCTGCTGGAAAGTAAAAGATAAAATAATCAGAGTCCAAATTTTGCTTGCTGTGTGATCCATAGTAAACCTCCATGCTGTGCTCCATTCAGCTGACTCCTCATCATCTTTCTCAGCATCTTATGTACCCAGCCTTTCATAGAGACGACTACAGGCCAACTTTGCCCTAAGAACAAAATGCAAGGATTAGGCTTGTTCACAAAAGAAACACACAACTCATGATTTAAAAAAAAAAGAATCTGCCACACTCTTACAGCTCTCTAAAAAGGAAATGATCATGATTAGCTCAACAGCTACATTTTCATTTAGAGAAAATGCCCATGCCATAGATGGACACAGCCATTCAGCCAAATCAATGTTGATTAATCTCTTCTGCATTATATAAAGAGAAAATACCTAATGGTCCTGAGATATTTATAATTCTATTTTTATCTGTTCATGTTTATTATTTATGCATTTTTACAATGCTGCACAAGATTTTTTTCTCATGTGATAAAGGAGCTATGGTCATAACTTTTAGTTATTCCAACTAGAATGACGAGATTAACTTCAGCAAAGGAAAATCACTTAAGCTCCTTAAGTCATATTTTCTTCATCTGAAAAGTGGTAATAGTAATGTTTCCTCTGTGTACCTCAGAGGGTTATGAACATCAATGATATAATCAATATCAAAGGTAGACAACACATGTGAAAGCAACTTTTAAACCCTGAAGTGCTACGCAAACACCATAATGTTAATGTTATCATAATTAGTAGTATACAAAACATGTTTTCATGGATGAAACAGAGAGAGCAGAGAAATTGTGAATTCTGTGCCCTCATCTTTAGTGGAAGCAAGACTAAATGTCAGAAAGTCTGTTAACCCAATTTCCCTGCTGGCCAAAAAGAACCATGTTGGTCCATCAGGAAGGGCACTAGAGAAAATAGTGTGAGCGTGAGCTGCCCACTTCCAAGATGTTGGAACCGCAACTCCTGAAATTCAAAATACCACAGCTTTGGGTACCATTCCTTAAAACAAAAACAAACACAGACATAGCTAAGGTCCATGAAGGCTTATATAAGGCAGGACAGGTAAAATATTGAAGAATATTTGTAAAGATCAGACACCTTTAAACTCTAAGCAAAACAGCTACAATGAAAGACGCTTAGAGGGGCTTAGATACGGTGAACATGGAACTTATTCATAACATCTTGGAACCTCCATTTAAAACTTGCAAAAGACAAACTGAGGACCAAATGAAAAAGGAAAGAGTCTATACTTTTACAACAAAGTATCTGTTGAATATAAAATGAACTTACGAAATCAGTTTCTTCTAGGAGTGATACAGACTGAAAATTATTATCTTAATTCAAAAAAGTCCTATTTTTAACATTTGTTTTTTCCAATTAAACATTACATGTTTACAGAAAAATTAAAGAGTATGACCAAAAAGACAAAGAATGTTAACACAGTTTTATAACAGAAAAGCATTTTAACATTTTGATGTATCTTTTTCCAATTGTTTTGTTTTATGTATTGTGTGACATTTAATATACATAAAAGTAGTTATGCATCTATATATATGTGAGTTGTGAAGCATAATGAAATAAACCTCTATAAACCTACCACCTAACAGGATTAAGTCATTGTCCCTTATTTCAAGAGGCCAGCAATAGTTTCACAAGGGGTAGACTCTTTAAAGAAGCACAATAACTTGTTACAGGTTCTATGATGACAGAATGTACAAGGTTCAGTAGAGAGTCTAAGGAGGATGTGATCGGTTTCACTCGGCTGAAGGTGAGGGGCAGGTAGAAGTAGAACGCCCTTGTAAAGGGTGTAACCCATATTTAACTCCATTTTGAAGCTTTAGGTGATCATTAAGATAATAATATTTTGCCATGTTCATCTTTTTAGCAATATTGGCTATTTTGTATAACAATGGACAGAACTGTGCAAGCATTTGATAGAAAAGGGCACAAGCTTCAGAGACAAACATTGGTGTTAAAATCCCAGCTATACTGTCACTAGCTGAGTGGCTTTTGGCAAGGTTCTTAACTTCTTCACAATTAAAAAGTGATAATATCTGTTATTGTTTTGTGATATAAAGCTTATATCTGAAATCTGAACAGTGTTAAAGGCTGGCTTTACCTTGGCCCAATTACTACAGCACAGAGTCTCGTCACCTACTTGGCTGCTCATTATAGTGGTGCACATGACACTGGCTAGTTTTTCAGAGATGGGGAAACAGTTAAACCTAAAAGAGACTGGTGTACAAAATACAGTATTATGTGTTAATTCAGCATGAGATGTACTTCTTTCTACTTCCCAGAATAATCGTGAACATTATCCAGGTTATCCCTACTACCACTACCACGAGTAAGGGAAAGGAAGCAAGAAAAAAGAGAAAGAAACCAACATTTACTGAGCACCATGTGCCAAGTGCTTTGCAAGTATCCTGTTATCTAATTTTTATGATAATCTTCAAATTTTTGTTATACAGCTGCAGGGATGGAAATGTGGTGGGATTAGGTACTGGCCTTAGTTCACCAGTGGATTTGTTGTCTGTGGTTGGGTAGCTGAGATGGTTAATTATGTGTCAACTTGGCAGTGCCACGGTGCTCAGATGTTTGATCAAACATTGTTTTGGATGTTTCCGTGAAGGTGCTTTTTGGATGAGATTAACATTTAAATTGGTGGGCTCTGAGTAAAGCAGTTTAACCTTCATAGCGTGTGTGGGCTTCATCCAATCAGTTGAAGGCCTTAATAGAACAAAGACTGACCTCTGTGACTAAGAAGTCTGTCATTATACTGTCGTTAGACTGGAGCTGCAACTCATCTTACCTCTCCAGCCTGTTGGCCTACCTTGCAGATTTCAGCCCTGTCAAGCCTCCATAAACCCATGAGCCTCTTCCTTAGAATAAATCTCTTTCTCTCATTAAATAGATGGATGGACAGACAGATAGAGAGATAGGCAGGCAGGCAGACAGATACACATCCTGTTGGTTCTGATTCTCTGGAAAACTCTGTCAAATAGGTAGCAAATTGCCCCAAAACTCAGTGGATTAAAACAACACGTGTATTCTCTCACAGTATGTATGAATCAGGAATCCAGGCATGACTTAATTGGGTCTTTAGCTCAGGGACTCTCACAAGGATGTATCACAGAACTGGCTGTGGCTACAGTCTTATCTCAAGGTTTGACTGGGGAAGGAAGCACTTGTAAGCTCACTCAGTGGCTGTTAGCAGGATTCAGCTCCTCACAGGCTGTTGGATGAGGGCCTCGGTTCCTCTCTGGTTGTTGGCTGGTGGTCACCCCCTGTTCCTTGCCATGTGGGGTTCTCCAGAGGGCAACTCACACCACAGCAGCTTGCTTCATCAGAAGAGGCCATTGAGAGGAGCCAGAGAGAATAAAACGAGGAGTCACAGTTTTTTTGTGTGCATTCCTCTCAGAAGTGACAGCCCACCACTTTTGACAGATTGTATTATTTAAAGCAAATCCCTACATCCAGCCCATATTCAAAGGGAGGGGCTTGCATAAGGGCATGAATAGCAGGATGTGAGGATCACTGGGAACCATCTGAGAAGACAGCCAATCACACACAACGAGTAAATACACATCACTGGTTGACGAGAAGCTCAGTCTGACTCTGGGGCCCACCTTCTCCACGATGCCAGCTGCAACCTCGAAGAGCCGAGGGGAACCCTCCACAGGAATCAGCAATGAGAGGGTGGTCTGTGAGCATGGCACAAAGTGGGAGCATCGAATGGCCTAAAAGAATCATCCAGATGGTGCGGAGGCCCATTGCCCCTCAGCAAGGTCCCGGCACTCCTGCAGCCCTCAGAGTCAGCGCTTCTCTCCTCTGCCTGCAGCAGGCTCTACCTGCCCCAGAGTAAAGCCACTCTGGTGGGCTTAGTCCTGGGGCCCTATACTCACTTGACTCCTCCTGGCTTCTGTGTCCTGAAGCCTGTCAGCACTTCCCACCCACAAGCCCAAGCCCCCAGTCTTCCCATCCAGGGTGTAGTGAAGCTGTGATGAGCAGCCCAGATCCTCAAGCAGGCCCGCAGCAATCATTCGCTACCTCTAAATTATGGACAGCTGAATGTTCTCAGCTGAGTCCCTGCATGAGAATAGCCCTTAGCCTTGGAGAGCTGGCATCACCTCCCAGGGCCATGCTCCCTCCCCAGGGATAGCTCTCGACCTGTGACTGCTCCATGAGAGGAGAGGGGAACATAAGATCCTGAACTGGGGGTGCCTGTGAAGGGTACCCCTCCCCTCATTGCCACCTTGAATCTGCAGAGACCTTTGTTGGGACTGCATTGAGTTCAAGTCCTCCCTCTGCCCAATCCTGGGTCCCTCAGGTCTCCACAGGTGTTGATCCTGACAGCACTCCTAAATGAAGCTCCTGTACACAAAACCTCCACTCACAGGCCTCAGCCTACCATCCAAGAAAGGCCTGTATCTGCACAGCTGCAGCTGGCACTCCTCCAGCCGTCTTTACTTACTAGCTTCATTCTAATGTTGTGAATGCATGACCAAGGATCTCCACGCACTTGAGAAGAACCAACAGCAAGATACATAACTAGTGAGATAAACCAAGAGCACAGGTGACCTAGAGTATTCAGAGCTATGCAGAAAGTAGACAAGATCTTTTTTAAAAAAGAGATCTATTTAATATTCGCAGAAAGATTTAACAGGCTATGACAGCTGTAACACAAGAACACAGCTGCTGTGAAAAAGAGAGATATAACAAAATAAGCGTCCCTGTGCTGGCAAAATTTATTGGAAAATTTAGCAGAAGAGTTGAATGGACCTAACTGAAGAATAAGTTAATGATCTGAAAAATAATGTGAAAGGAATTCTGAGAATACAGAGTCAAAAGACAAAGAGATGGAAAATATGGAAGAAAAGAAAAACAGATAATAGATGCAAGAAATTCTATATCCAACTAGGAATGCTGAAGGAAGGTAGTAGAAGCAATGGAGAGGAAGAAATTATCTAAATATGAGTGTGAAGAAACTATGAACAAAGACACAATAAGAGCCCACTGAATGCTCTATAGGAATAGTCAGCAAATTTTTTTCTGTGAAGAACCAGATAGTAAGTAGTTTAAGTTTTGCAGGTAATATTTCTTGACTGTATTGCAGCACAAAAGCTTCAATATGTAACAAAAACACAATACGTGACTGTTTTCCTACAAAACCTTATTAAACATAAATAAGCATCAGGCCAGACTGGGCTTAGTTTGCTGACCCCTGCCTTCCAGAAATAATGGGGAAAAAAATCACACATCTAGTCACATTTTACTAAAAGTTCTGAACTCCAAAATTAGGGAAATTCTGTAAAGCTTCCAAAGACAAAACAAGGCCAGGATCTCACTTGTCTTCTATAACACAGTTGGCTAAAAAACAATGGAGTCATATTCTGGGGAAAATTGAAGTGATTCTTAACCTGGATTATGTTCTAAGTCAAACTATCAGTCTAGTGTGATACACACGTATTTGGCCAGTCAATGACTTGAAATGTTTATCACCTGTCACTATCATGGGAGGAGAGGGCCTACTCAAAGATGTTTTCTCACACAATGTAAAATGTTACTCCAAGAAAGAGGAAGATATGAGATACATGAAACAGCTGAAATAACCCCAGATTTAGATGAAGAGAAATCCAGTTATGACCATTATACAGCAGGTGAAAAACCCGATCCATTGAAAGTGAGACACCAACTCAGAGGGTTCTATGATGAATGACTTTATTAAAGAACACATTTGCTATAATAACACAAATGATAGAATTAGGAACCTGGAAGTTCAATTTTGTGGAGTTACCAATGAGATAATGGCTTATGTCTGCTCTCTTCAACACCAGTAGAAATGCATTTAGGAATTTTAGGAGGAAAAAAATGAGACAGACATGATTGTTTAATGAAGCGAGTAAAAATTTGTGCCGTTAATGAAGTGAATAAAATGGTGTTTTCTGAAACAGCAAATCCAAACTCCCACAGGTCAAGAAACTTAGAGTTGGAATTAAGAGAGTCACTAACTGTTCTTGTAAATTTATTTTTTGTTTATTGCATATATGACCATTACAGTTACTTCTCTATGTGGCTATTTTTTTTTCTACCACTGCTTTTGTTACTTTTATATAATATTTTATAAATTTGCCTTTTTCCATGATTTTATTCTTAAGTAGGCTCAGGTTGTTTTTAAATTAGAAAATAGAAGTCTTAAAATTTTATTTAGATATCGGTATTATAACATCTTCTGATTTTCTTAAGACAGATGACAGATTTTACATCTAGAAACATAAATTTATTTTTCTTGAGATTTGTATTTAAAGTATAGAAGACTCCTTCAGGAAATGAATATTTCTTGTTTTAAAGAAATCTTTTTCTGAAAGTCAGCAATTTCTCATATTTCTTACATTTCTTATTTTATTTTATTTTACACAAGGTCTCACTCTGTTCCCCAGGCTGGCATGATCATGGTTCATTTCAGCCTCAACTTCCCAGGCTCAAATGATCCTCCCACCTCAGGCTCCCAAGTAGTTGGGACCACCAGTGCATGCCACTATGCCCACCTCGTTTTCGTTTGTTTGTTTTGCAGAGATGGGGTCTTCCTATGTTGCTTAGGCTGGTCTCAAACTCCTGGGCTCAAGTGATCTTCTCACCTTGGCCTCCCAGAGTGCTGGGATTATAGGCGTGAACCACCATACCGACCCTCTTTAATTCTTTTTTTCTGATAAACTTAGGTAAAGTTACATGTAATGCTTTTCATTTAATAAAAATATTAACAGTGATTATCTTTAATGTATGGGTCACTTTGTCCTTATGTTTATGTATATTTTTCCAAGTGGTCTACCATGACCATGTTATTTTCTAAAAAGAACAACATTATTCCTTTCGAGTTACAATATCATTCAAAGCTAGAGCTTGGCAAATATATGAATTAGAGGCTTGACGTTACCATCACTTGCCCATAACTTTTAACTAATCACTCAACCTCTTTTAACCTTGGTTTTATGAAATTAAAAAATTGGGTTGAAATTTATATTTGATGATTTTGAAAAAACTTATCCTAGACCTGTTTTTTTGTTTGTTTGTTTGTTTTGAATTGTTCAAACCCTTTGCATCATTTACAAGGTCATACTATATCAGGGAGGATTCTTGATTTTAAATGTCGGTGGAATGTCTCTGGGTTTTGTGTGTGCCTACATTTATGTCCCAAGTTCTATGCAGGTCTGCCTCCGACTGGTGATGGGGCCTTGAGCATGTCATCCCCTGCTCTGTGCTTTGCATCTTTCAACTTTCAAGTCGAGGGGTTGGAATCAGTCGCCTCCAGTGTCCCTTCCAAGAATAAAGGGTAAAATGATGCTGGAGACAAAGCTTGATCACTGGGACCCTGTGGGAAAAGTAGTTACAATTGAGTGAGATCAGGGAATCTGCTGCTTATATCCATGACGCAAAGCCTGAGGATGGTCTCATTCTCATGGATGTACTGCTTCATCTTAAATGTACCAGGATTAGGCAACACAAAACAGCAGAAATAAATTCTTCCGGGGATACTCCTAGGCAGATTGGGGGTCACATTACCAATCAGCTCAGGTCAAAGCTTGTACTATTTGAATGTCTCTGCACATTCTCTTCTTCACTTGTTCATGAGAACTTCCAACAGTGTCCCACCTACCCAATGTGTTCCCTCTTTGTAGTGGGGAGAAAACTCAGTCAAAATAAAGAACGTGCAGATAACATGATAATAATCAAAGGAAAAACAATGTCGTGATTGTAAGAACAAACCAGTCTACAAGCGTTAATGCATTAATTAATGCAAAGAGCTGAAAACTATTAACACCCAAGAACAGTACTGGTAATTCTCAGTAGCACAATTGTATAAATCAGTTTATTCAGAGTCAGGAAGTGCTTAGGTCTTAAATGGTCCAACCCATGTCTTCTAAACTGGTACCTCTTAAACTTCAATGGGCTACTGATTATCTGGGGGGTCTTGCTGAGATAAAGATTCTAAATTAGTAGGTCTAGAGACTTGTGACCTGAGATAATGCATATTTAGGAAGCTTCTAGGAGATGCTGCCACCGCTGATCTGTTATCCATAAGTTGGACTATAAGGATGTAAAGCACTTAGAACAGTGTCTGCATTTAGGAAGAACTGGTGTTAGTGATGATTATTATTTCTACTAGCTGCAAGAATTCCAACTCTCCATATGCTCATGTGCTACAGGAGTACCAAGAGTTGTGCAGCAATAGCCATATTTTTAAGCTGAATAACTAGAATCATTTTGTAAACTCGTTTATGAAATTTTATGGAATAAAAATTTATTCCGTAACTTTTATTAGATCACAAATAAGCAGCCCTTGGTAGAAAGCACATTTATGGAATGAGCATAATTTGCTGCTGAGAACTGCAGAGAAGGCCTGCATATTTTGACAGGTTCCACTCATCAAGAGGACTGTCACGTCTCTCCAGTGAGCTGAGGACCATGGTTTCAGAATTACTAACTCAGAGGACCAACCAGTTGGTGACTACATAACCAGTGTGCCCAAGACAGTCCTGAAGTCACAGCATAATTAATAGCACCCCTCTCCTAGCTTGGACAACGCATTGTGTAGTCATCCTAATTATAGTGGACACTATCTATAAATTACTGGCTTTACCCAGCTTCCCTAGCTGTCCCTAAACTTTCATTTCTACCACATGGAGAAAAGGGAATTCTCAGTCAAATTTTCTTGCTTAGCTGACAATGGTTTTGGCACTGAACGATGCCTATATTCAACAATCCTGAAGTTTTGTTTGTAACACACACACATATACACACACCCATACCCACACACACGGAGGAAACCAAGTTTCATCAATACGATCCAATTTTCAGGTGCTTCTAATCTGAGCTGCTTATGTGAAGCTCTCTTCCTTTTGACAGAACCAGCTCCTCTTTCATTTCCAATCATTTCTCCAGGATTGCACAAGAATTCTTCATACTGCTGCTGGTCTATGAGATATGCATGAGAAAAACTAGATGAAGACAAAAGACGTGTCCATCCCACTGGGTGAGATGCACTGAAAGGGGTGAAGCCATATCGACCCAGCTTCCCTCTGCCATAGATAGTCCTCTGGGATGAAATCTGCATTCTGTCACTGACGAGCTGACCACCTTAGGCAGATCGTTTAATCTCTTTTAACTCGTTTCTTCATCTGCCTCATAAGTGTATTGTGAGAATGAGATAAATTAGCATATGTGCGGGGCCTAGTGTGGACTTGGCATATAGAAAGCATTTTAACCTAAGTCATATCTAATAAATTCCCACATGAAAATGTAACCACTGTGCAAAGTTGCATTCCCAAATTTTGGGCAGTGTTAGCCATAGCCGAAGAGTCGGTTTTGTTTCTAGTAAATCCACTTCAGCCATGATAGATGTAGACTGTCATGTTTCAATTTGGAAATGCTTTCCTTCAGGTCTCTTGTGTCCTGAATCTGTGATGGGTTGAAACAATCATTTTTGTTTCAAATCTTAAGGAATTTGAACATGAGAGATTTAATTTTATATAAGGTTTCATCATTAATATACATTCTTTTCTATGTCATTACATAAAGAACAGAGGAAAACAAATAGAAAAGGTGAGATGGAGAGGAGGAAAAGAGATTAGGAGTATAACAAGCTGCACACTTTCTAAATTTAATGATTGAATCATAAGAAGTTCCTTATATCTGCATCTTAAAAGAATGCAAATGCCATTTTAATTTCATGGGAAAAATAAGTTAAAGGATACCCTGCTGCTTTTGAAAAGCTTACTTTGATCACTTGCCAAATGGCAAAATGAATGGATTAAATTTTAAATCGCCTGTCTTCAAAGGACATGATATGGAACATATTTAGGATTTAGCCCTTTAATTTAACATTAAACTTACTAAAAATGTCCTCATCAATTATTGACAGCTCGATTTTAAAACAGAGCCTCCACCTCAATGTTGAGAAGGTAGAACACTGCTTGTTTTTAGAAGTACATTTTCTACTTCTTTCAGCTACAACACCGGGTAGCATTCTGCAAAGGGGTAATTTTTTAAAGAGGCTCCAAGCTGGTGAGCAGTTTGCCTATCTGCATCAGCAGGCTCATGACCCATCATTTAGAACTCAAATGGAATGTATTCAGTGAAGCATCTTGCTATTAAATAAATGTTGTAAAAAATGTGTGAGTGCTGACTAATACCAAAATCTCAAATCTCATTTGGTTTATGTTTCCTGTGATTCTGTGGGTATTTAATAACAGATGTTATTGTGCAACAAACAAGGCCATTCCCAGCAAAATATGGCTTAGGGCCAACTATTATTTTTATCCTCTTCTTAATCCCTTGAAATACCTTTTTTTTTTTTTAGAAACAACATCATATTAATGTAAATATTTAAATCCTTTGATAATGCTGCTCTCCTGCCTGGAGAATTCTGAAGTCTTCCATTGCCACTTATTTCCACATACACAAATTCTATCCATCTCTTACAGGCCATTTCTTCCTTGACCACCCCCCTATACTAACACACACACACATACACACACACACACACACACATACACACACACACACACATACACACATACACACACATACACACATACACACACACACACACACATACACACACACACACACACACACTCTCTGATGACACATTACTCTGAAATATATTCATAATATTTTAAATAGTAAGAGGAATTGGAGATTAAAGCTCAATAGAAGAAGGGTATTTGGTAGGGGAGTAGTCAAGAAAGACTTCCGAGAAGAAATTTGTATAATTTTTATTTTGGCATCCCTGTTTCATTACATTATGGAGGATCTTAATACATATGTTTAGTGTGCATTTGTTGCTTTGGTTGAAGGATAGCTTTGAAGAAAAGAACAAATTCATCAAACGGTAGTGTGTGGGAGGGAGGACTGTTCTCTCAACATTGTCTGGTTCATTTCATCACCAAGTGAGCCCTTTCCAAAGTGTAGGCATCTGCATGTCACACAGTTGGCACTCAATAGTGAATATGTGAGCAAAACACAAAAATGACACCATTACTGCCCTTGAAGTTCTTGTAATCCAGTTAATGATGGCACATTTGCCCTCACTAACAACACTGTTATGGGAGCACAGCAGAAGGATGTCTAAACCTTAATGGGATTCAGGACAGATTTCTTGGATTTGAGATATGAGCTAGGACTTGAGAGACAATTAGAAAGTTATCTGGAGGAAAAGGCTGTTACTGGCGGAAGAAAGGGCAAATGAGAAGGCTTGCAGGCACAGAATAACCTGCCTTTGGGAACCTGTAAAGAGAAGTTTGGCTGGAATATAGGCAACAAAAGCAAAGGAGAGGTATGAGATTAGTGGGGTGGGTGATAGCCATTTTATGAAGGGCCTTTAATGCCAAGCAGAGCCTTATTCTAAAAGCTGTGGGGAGCCACTAAAGAATTTTATAGAGGAATGGTATAATCAGAATTTTCTCTTTTGCTTTATTTATTTATTTATTTATTTATTTAAGACAGAGGCTCACTATATTGCCAAGGCTGGTCTCAAACTCCTGAACTCAAGCAATCCTCCCACCTTGGCCTCCCAAAGTGCTAGGATTACAAGCATGAGCTACTGCATCCAGCCCAGAATTTTCTCTTTTAGAAAGACCTCTCTAGCAGCAGGCTTCCAAGGTTGATTTTTGGGTGGCCAGACAGAGACCAGGGAGACCAAGTGCAGTCATAGGGTAAGCCACAAAATTGATGGCAGGGTGAACAGGGGGCTGATGGGAGACGTACTGAAAGGTCCAGAGAACATAGTGCTTGTTGAGTAGTGGGATGTGGAAGTGAGGGAGAAAGAAGAGATCAGGATAACATTTAGGTTGCCTGCTTAAGCAACTGGGTAGAGGGGGCCATTTGTTGTGATAGGATGAGTGGCAGATTTAGAGGCCCCAGCTTAAAAAAAAAATGGCTTCAGGGCCATTACATCAAAGACACCTATTGGAAATCTCAGCAAAACAATTGAATATGGGGCGTGGAGGTCTGGAAATGGGTTTGTCTAAAAGACAGTAGAGGTGTGTTGGGAGAAGAGGAGAAAGGAACCAGATAGGAGGGGCTTACCTACTCTGTGTGTGAGCTTCTGATGTTTTCAATAGTCACTGGCATCTTTATCCTTTGCTCACTGTCTCTCTGAGCTCCAGCTAATGGTGCAGGATCCCCAAAGGGAAGGATTGAAGGCAATTACCCAGTTGATTTCCTCCTTAGAATTATTTAATTTATCATGTTGTTTTGTAAAGGACATGATTAAACCTTTACAGACAAAAAAGAAATTTTGTGGCTAATTTGGGCTCTACATTTTCAGTAGATAATAACATCAATAAAATCAAGTTAGTTTAATTAGAGTTGATTTCATAGGAGACATTTTGCTGACATTCCTATAATTGGTCTTTACAATCTTTGAAGATTATATACAGGTACGAGTATAGATATAAATATATAGATAGATGTAGACATAGATATAATATACTTGGTTCCGGATATAGGGATATTTGGATGTACAGCTAATAAGCCAAATACAGGCATATAAACAAAATGTTTATCTTCCAATCTGGGATTAGTAATAGCTCACACACACTTACTGTGCTCAGCAACCTTTTAAAGTGATATAAATATACTAATTTACTTAACAGCCAGGATACCCCTATGAGGTAGATACTGTCATTATTTCTATTTTATAGTAAGGAAACTGAGGCATCAATGGGTAAGTACATTGTTCAAGGTTGCACAGCTGGGACCAGCATTTAAACTAGGTAGTCTAGCTCTAGAGTTTGCTAGTAACATAACTTTATACTGCCTCTTCTTACCTGTATCTTATAGATAAATGAATATTTAAACAAATTTAAAGTAAAATTCCTGTCCTCTTGTGAGACTGGATAAGCTGTAAGACAGGCTATGCATTTCATCAATTACACATGCACAATTAGAGCCTATATCTAATCAGGGCTGATGACAGCCACAGACGTTTGTACAGATTAATGATCAGAGAAGAGGAATTGATGGGCCAGAGAAGGTTGAAGCTGTCAGCTTTTAGGAAATGCCCTGAGCCAAGGCAGCCATTGATGTTGTAAACTGAAATGTGGCAGCTATAAAAGGACTGTCAGATCCTTCCTTTGCATAAAAAGTATTTATTACCATGCACAGAAGCCCAATTTTCTGGCATGTAACAGAGATCTGTATTCATAACTACTTACTCAAAAGTCTTTAGTATGCCTGGTCCACCCTCCTCCCCATCCTGGGGACATGTGGGAGAGCTCCTTTCTGCTACCTCTTACATTTTCATAGACCCATTGGGAGACTTAGAAGTGTCCTGGTGCAGGCAAGAGACTTGCAGCCATCCACAAATGGTACCTTGCTTGGCATAGCCGGGCTCCATAGCCTCTGGTGAGTGCCCCACCAGAACAAGCCCTGGGTTCACGTAATGAGAGGGTCCCACTCACCCAAAGGATGGACAGTCACTGCATGGAGTCAGAACAACAAGAGCCCTAGGCATGCAAACTATGCTGCCTTTCGGTTCCTCTCTTGTCACCTGCCCCTACTTATTGGACAGCTTCCAGGACAGGTTCCAAGCAATCCCCTCACTTGCTCCTCTTCCTCAGTCTCCACTTTGGGTACTTACAAAGTGGATTTAGGCAAGGAAAGGATGTACTCAGCCATCTATAATAGGGTGCGTTGACTTAAACTTTGCGGATTCAAGTCTCTTGGCTCGTTCTGGTGTTTAAACCTTTTAGGGAATTGACCCTTATCAGCTAAGAGTATAATATTTTGAATATAATAAGAAATATATTTTTTGTCTTCCTCCCTGTTTCCTGGTACACAGTTCCAAGAACCCCTGGAAAATCTCCTCAGTGATAAGTGTCTTTTTGTATGCTAATGAGAACACTAGGGGCCCTGGGTGGCCTCAGGATGGGGTTAGAACTTTCAGCTTTTCAGCCTACTGTCTGACCTCTGGGAAGGGGAGAGATGCTGAAGTTAGAGTTGATCACCAATTGGCAATGATGTGATCAATTCTGCCTGTGTAAGGACGCCTTCATAAAAACCCAAAGGACAGCATTCAGGGAGTTTCCAGGTTGCTGAACATGTAGAGGTACTGAGAGCGTGGTCTAGTCCAGAGAGGAGCATGGAAGCCCAGTGCCCCTTCTCGCATACCTTGCTCTATGCATCTCTTCCATCTGACTGTTACTGAGTTGTATTCTTTATAATAAAAGGATGAGCATAAGTAAAGTGCTTCCCTAAGTTCCGTAAGCCATTATAGCAAATGATCGAACCTGAGGAGGAGGTTGTGGGAACTTCCAATTTATAACTAGTGGGTCAGAAGCAAAGCCTGGACGTGCAATTGGTGTCCAAAGTGGGGCAGTCTTGGAGTACTGAGCCCTTAACCTTTGGGATCTGGCACTATCTTCAGGCAGATAGAGTCAGAATTGAGTTAAAGCGTAAGACATCCAGTGGGTGTCTACAGAGAACTGGAGAATTGCTTGCTGTGAGAAAAACTCCATGTGTTAATGACCAGAAATGAAGTAATGTGAGAGTATAGAAAAACCAATGTTTTGGTTTTCTTTCTGTACAGTACAGTGATAGAAACACTGTACTTGTTTTAGCTGTTCTGAAAACCTGGACTCCAGATTATTTTGTGACTGCACAGTACATACTTCACACTCTCTTGGGCATATTTCCCAGGGGTTAAATGAAGCTTTAGAGCCCCTCATTTGCATTGGTCTTTACCAAGACTTAATAGAGCCCTAGCATTGTATTCATGTGGTTATATATTTTTGCAAAATTTGCAAAAGTTATTTCTTATTTTTGTTCTCATTCTTAAAAAACAAACCTCCAATGTTTATGTTTAGTTGCTTTTTTTGTGTTTTGTTTTTGTTTTTGTTTTGAGACAGGGTCTCACTCGGTCACCCAGGCTGGAGTGCAGTGGCATGATCTTGGCTCACTGCAACCTCCACCTCCCAGGTTCAAGTGATCCTCCCACCTCAGCCTCCAGAGTGGCTGAGTCCACAGGTGCGCACCACTGTGCCAGGCTAATTTTTTATATCTGTGCTTAGTTTTCTATTATTTTGCTTAAAGAAGGCTCCCCAAGGTGTGAAATCTTCAGGTTACATAATACTTGGATTCACCCCCGCTCTGCCTCCCTCATTCAAAGGTTATTCCAGTTAATAGTCCTCATACACGTTTTTATTTGTATTGGAGGTGTTTGGGTTATTTTGTTTGTTTGTTTGTTGGCTTGGAGTTTTTTCAAGTTCTAAGTGTTTAGATGATGACTAAGAAGAATCAGAGAAATGGAAATTTCCTTAACTAAAGAAAACTAAAAATATACTTTTGAATAGCAATGTTATTCAGCCACAGTGAACTTTAGGACCGCTACTGGGAAAGAAATAATAGACTGGAACATGGATCATGGAACTTGCTCCACTGAGAGAGGTGTGTGATGAGTCCATGAGGTTTTAGAACAAAGTGGCTTCTTCTAGAGTTTGAGGCTGAGTATTAGATCTTTGCCTCTCACAAGAACTCCAGGGAGAAAGGATAAAGGCTTCTATACCTTTACCAGCAAGCTATCTTTTCTTGAAGCAGTTATATGACACAATGTCTGTCTGCTTCTCTTGTTAGTGAAGAAAGATTGCAGTTCCTCTTTTCACAATGATTTTTATTTAGGTAGCATCAGGACCACAAATGGAACAAAGCATAATTTCATACAAGTTTGGCTGGCCTAAGAAATCCTGATAGGTTAAAGTCCAGCTGTGGGAACTCTCACATGCACGCCAGTTATGCCCGTCACATAAGGAGTCTGCATCCTGTCCAGGAGGTCCTCCTGAGACGCCCATCACATCCAGAGTGGTTCTTCAACATGGGATTTGCCCATGGCCTGTCAATAGTATCCACTGAGAAGTGATAAACCTAAAGGAGTGGTTTTACTCTTTGGCAGTTTCTAGTAGGTATTATCTGAAAGATGAGAGCCTTGTGATTTTGAGAGATGCCAAATTTCTTATTAAAGCAATTTATGCCCAAAGGGATCATAATTGTGAAAATTGAAAAATATATAAAGCGTATAGCATCATTTGGAAAGCTGACAAAAGTACCAGTGGACTTCCCTAGTAGCTGTTTCTTCAAAGTCAGCACTGTTCTTTTGGATTGACAAGGAAAGCTGGTTTTCTTATTCCTGTTTGGAGACTTCTCACTCCTCTGCATGTATCAGTGATATTTATGCAGTATAAATAACTTGAACTCACTAGTTTTGGTTTTGCTAACTGGCTAGTTGTGTGACTTAGTGTATGTGATTAGCTTCTCTGGCTTTCAGTTGCTTTCTAGGTAATATGGTTTGGCTCCTCGTCCCCACCCAAATCTCATCTAGAATTGTAATCCCTACATGTCGAGGGAGGGACCTATAATCCCCACCCGTCTAGTGAGGGAAGTGATTGGATCATGGGGACAGTTTTCCCCATGCTGTTCTCATGATAGTGAGTGAGTTCTCACGAGATCTGATGGTTTCATAAGCGGCTCTTCCCCCTTCACTCTCTTTCCCTCTCCTGCTGCCATGTAAGACGTGCCTGCTTCCCCTTCCACCACGATTGTTAAGTTTTCTGCAACCTCCCCAGCCATGTGGAACTGTGAGTCAATTAAACTTCTTTTCTTTATAAATTACCCAGTCTCAGGTATTTCTTTATAGCAGTGTGAGAATGGACTAATACACTGGGTTTCTCAAGGACAACAAAAATTCCAATTCTTGCTCAAAGGACTTATTGAGGATTCAGTGAGATAATATTTTAGAAGTTATGATTTGTCTGCCACCTGTCTGATTTAGAGTTAAATTGAGGGTAATATTTTAATATCCTAATATTTTATAAAATACTTTTTTATATTGACCAAATAGAACATATTGAGCACTCCCTGAGTACTGAGGTCACTGCTGAAAGCTATTGATTGAAAAAAATAATAATACTTGCTTACATTCTGATTGGAAACTCTAACAGACCAATCGCTGCTTGTTTCATGTTCTGTAATTACTGAAGACAGTGCTCTCCGCATAACAATATCTTTTTAATGAGGATGCTGGACAGATCCTTCTGCCTGGTTTTTAGATCAGGCCCATCTTTATTCCATAGACCCTGTGAACTGTATAACTGATGAGGGTTACTCTATCCTGTTAATGTTAAGAAAGATTACAGGCAAAATGTTGGCCCACTCATTGTGATATTCAAGGATCTATGAGAAGCTTTTCAGTTTTTGGAACAGACCTCCTTCTTGGCTTCAATGTATGTTTCTACACTTGTTTCCCCCTTTTTCTCTTCTCGTTTTCCATTTTACTTTATTTTATTTTGCCATAATATATCTTTATAAGCCATGTTTGAGTCTTTTTAAAAATCTGGGGCACAAATAAGAAACAAATAATTATAGTAGAGGTGAATAAGATTTAAGGAAAACCACAGTAAGCCTCTCTAAGACAGCAATAAATACCTGTGTCCGTACATCTCAGACTACTTAAGAAAAGCAAATACATCTAAAGGTAGAAGTAGAAGCCTTAACATCCACAAATGTTCATATTTGACACTATATAATCATTTTATTTCAAATATGGCCTGAGTTCGGCCTGGATCTGTGTTTGTTATTTGGTAAGCAGCACATGCACATCTTCAGACATTCTACCTGGAACATATTTTATTTTATTTTATTTTATTTTATTTATTTTTCTTTTTTGAGACAGAATCTCGCTCTGTCACCCAGGCTGGAGTGCAGTGGCACAGTCTTGGCTCACTGCAACCTCTACCTCCTGAGTTCAAGTGATTCTCCTGCCTGAGCCTCCCAAGTAGTAGGGATTGCAGGCATGTGCCACCACGCCCAGCTAATTTTTATATTTTTAGTAGAGACAGGGTTTCACCATGTCAGCTAGTCTGGTCTTGAACTCCTGACCCCAGGCGATCCTCCTGCCTCGGCCTCCCAAAGTGCTGGGATTACAGGCGTGAGCTACCGTGCCCAGCCTCCAACCCCTATTCTAACCTCTCCCACTTTCTTCTCTAGAGTCCATTATTGATTTTCTCAGAGTACCATTTGTGCTCTACAATAATCACTCCATATCCTCTCCTTACCAAGTCTTTAATTGCTCTGAGCAATGCTTATTCCCTCGCAATTACACATTGCTAGGCAGATTATTCTCCAGTTCCCTACCTCTGAAGCCCAGAATATTAGGCTTAGAATTCTCTGGCTTCCTCCTATGCTTCTAGACTGTTGTTCCATCCCTTTTTATAGATGATCTCTGTGAAGCCCCTGCCCTCCAGTTGAACTCTTTTCTTCCTGTCTATGCTGCCATACCCTGCGGCTCTCCAGGTCACTCCTCCTGTTTCTCACGCAGCTTATCTGGCTCATGGTTGTCCCTCAACTCTGTTTCCTGTTGTCCTCCTGAGTCGGTGGTCACCGTGCAATCCTCTTACCTCGCTATTCTTTAGCCTCTATTCCCATCATCCTCACCCTGTCATCCATCACAATTCCATTCATGTGCCTCATGTTGACCCTAAGGGCATCTGACACTGAAAACCTTCTGAAACCTTAAACTTACAAAATTATCTTTTGGGTTTACAATTTTTTTGTCTTCTACTTTTCCCACTATGTCATTCCTACAAAACTTATTTTTCTAACTCATCCAGAACCTTGAAGTCTCACATCTTCCCATTCTTTCAGTTGAATGTGATACTCCTGGTTTCTCTTCTTTCCTCACAACCTCTCATAGTCGGGCATCTCATTGCCTACTTGCCAAGCCTTTCAAGTTATTCCTTCATGTTTCTTCTCCTATCCCTCAACACACACACACATACACACACACACACCTGTCTTGTACTCATCACCTTGGAATGACCCAAATATCCACTTCCTCCTCTCCTGGGGGGAAATGGTGTAATTATATTAGGTGCTCTGTATTCTTCCCAGAGTCATCTGGTTCTGTAGGTCTGCAAGGCTGCCTATATTTGTTTCCTGGGGCTGTTGTAACCAAGTGCCACAAACTGAGTGGCTTAAAACAATAAAAATTTATTACCATACAATTCTGAAGGCTAAAGTCCAAAGCCAAGGTGTCAGCAGTGCGGTGATACCTCTGGATCCCATAGGAGAATCCTTTTTTGCTTCTTCCTAGCTTCTGGTGGTTTGCTAGCAATATTTAGCATTCCTTGGCTTGCAGAGGTGCCACTTCACTGTCTTCACAGGACACTCTCCCTATGTTTCTCTGTCTTCACATGGCTTTCTTATAAGGACACTAGTCAACTTAGATTAGGGTCCCATACCACTTCAGTATGACATCTTTTTAACTAATTACATCTTTGATGACCCTATTTCCAAACAAGGTCATGTTCTGAGGTCCTGGGGTTCAGACTTCAACATATCCTTACTATCTCTTCTCTCTCCCTCTTTGTTAGTTTCATTTCTTCAGCCAATAAGTGTTTCCCCACACTACCAAAAATCTGCTTGTGACCGTGACTGCCCACATAGTTAGCCCAGCTCCCTGGTTTTCATTGCCAAACTCTTTTTCCAGCTTTTTCTCTGCCCTTCACTCCTCCATCTGTAATTAATCTATTACACATCTGTTCAAACAGCTCTCTCAGTAAGGTCATCAGCATCAGCCCATTTGTCAAATCCAGTGGTGTCATCTCCATCTTCACCCTATTTGACCTTCCTGCAGCATTCAATACCAGTATTATCACACTTCCTTGAAGGGCAGCTCTTTTCTGACCATTATGTTGTACCCTTAAGGGTCTCACTAGACCTCCTGTCTTTCCCCAAGCCAACTGGATCCTTACTTCTGAGATCCTGTTGTACAGCAGTGTTCAGTGTGTGGTTTATAGACTCATGAGGGATCCCAATACCAGTTCCTATGTTGTCAAAACTATTTTCATAGTAATACAAAGGTATCATTTACCTTTTAAATTGTGTTGACATTTATACCCATGGTGCAAAAGCAATGGTAGTTAAAACTGCTGGTACTTTAGCATGAATCAGTGCAGTGCCACCAAATTGTGCTAGCAGTACAGTCATGTGTCGCTTAACCTCAGGAAGATGTTCTGAGAAATGTGTCCTTAGGTGATTTCGTTGTGTGAACATGATAGAGTGTATTTACACAAATCTAGATGGTATAGCGTACTACACATCCAAGCTCTATGGTACAGCCTATTGTTCCTAGGCTACAAACCTGTACAGCATATTACTATACTGAATTCGGTAGGCAATTTTTACACATAAGTATTTGTATATCTCAATATATCTAATCATAGAAAAGGTATGGTAAAAATATGGTATTATAATCTTGTGGGACCACAGTCAGATATGCAGTCCATTGTTGACCAAAACTTCATTATGCAGTGCATGACTGTATTTCTATTCATCACAGCCACACACTCACAGTTAAAAAAAGAAAAAAGAAAAAAAGCAGAAAAAGAAAATGCCAATTTTACTTAGAAATGTCCTTGATAAGGCAGTAAGTTTTATTCATTTTTTTAACCCTTTAACCTTAAGCACATACCTTTGTAATATTCTGAGTAAAAAAATGGAAAGTACACATGAGAAGCACTTCTGTGACATCCAGAAATACAATGTTTGACTGGAGGAAACATTCTAAGCTGTCCTAAGCTGCCCTTGGTACTTTTCTCATGGAACACCATTTTTACTTGAAGAAACAACTGACAGGCAAAGTATAGTTATGGACACTTTGGTATTTGGCAGACAGTTTCTCAAAAATGAATGAAATGAATCTGCTACTATAAGAAAAATAACTGAAAGTGTGTGTTGCCCAATAATAAAGAATGAGCTTTCAAGCAAAAATTAAAATTTTGGAAAACTTGTATCCACCAATGTGAATTCCACAGCTTTTGAATAAGATAGATGGTAGATAGATTAAAAGTAATGGCAAAAATCACAATTACTTTTGCACCAAACTATAGTATTAATGAATGTGATTTTTAACACTGTATTGAAATTGGTCAAGTTGGAAAAGTTATATAACTCAGGGAACCAATATTGTCTAAATGATTAATGTACACTATTATGAAATCATTGCATGGGTTAAAATTTATTCAAAGTGAAAAATAGATAAATGGATCTTAATAAAATCATATAAAATGTTATGTGATTATGCAGTACACTTTAAGAAACTACTACTTATTGAGTTTTGATGAGATATCAATGAAGAATACTCACAATTATTTGAAGGGCTGTTAAAATACTCCACCCTTTTCCAACCGCATATTTGGATGAGGCCAGTTTTTCTTCATACCCTTCAGTCAAAACAACTTGGTGCAACAGATTGAATGCAGAAGCAGATATGAGATCCAGGTGTCTTCTATTAATGTGGAAATTAAATAGGTTTGCAAAAATGTAAAACAATGTCAATCTTCTCATTAAACTTTTTCTTCTTTTGGAAAACAGTTATTTTTCATTAAAAAGTTTATGTTAACAAACAAAGGGCTTATTATTATTACTTTTAAATAGATTTATATATAAATATTTTCAAGTTTCTCAGTTGTAATTTCTAGTTCAATAAACATTGTTAAATAAAACCCACATTTACAAAAATTCTTTAGGATCCTCAATAATTATTAAGAGTGTAAAGAGGTCCTGAAACCAAAGAGCTTGAGATCGCTGCTGTGGAACTTTATTCAAACAGGATGCTACAAAGAGAACTAACGATCGAGGAGAAATTAATAATTTATTGGATTTGTTGGGCAACACAACTGGAGAAAAATGGGAGCCAGAGGACAACAAAATATTATTGTGTCCCTGGTGAGAACCTGCACATCAAGACCACAGAAGATTTTCTGTAATGGCAGGTGGAGAATTCCTACAGCTAGTGCTTTTGGTGACACTGTTTTGCCTCAGTGTACATCTGGTGGCTTCATTGTGCTGGATCTGCCTCTAACTAATTTGGTCTGGTATCTTGTTGCCTCAGCAAATGATATGTGTGTAATGTCACCAATGGAAACAAAAATAGAGAAGGCTAGCAAGTCCCTATTCTTGGACAACTGTCACCCCTACAAATAAAGGTCCCAAAAGGCCTGAAAAGAGAGGACATGCTGAGTAAATGTCAGCTGTTTATTATTATCATCATTGTGGACTTTAAGCCCCATATGATCCAGTGAAAAACCTGGTGCCTGAGCTCTGGACTACACCCCAGGTTTGGTGCAAGAGCTCCTTTTGTTTTTCAGCCTAAGCCCAAAACAAGGAATATCAAAGAGTTTCACGTCAACGGCCAATTCTAACTTGGTGGGAGTTGGTGCCTGGAGCCTTCTATTGAGGATCAGTGGGAACAAGATGTTCTCGATGTCTGCCAATGCCTCACCAAGGAGGTAGCACATTGTCAGCACCCTCTAAGCCTAAAACCTGGAGTCCTTGATTCTTTGCTCCTAATGCAGTCTCTTGAGGCCAAACTGCTCTGATAAACTGAGATGTGAAGCATAAAAATGAAATATGAAATGAAAAGGAAGGAATTAGACTCAAAGGAAAAAGCACCTCGCTTTCAAAAGCTAGACTTAATGGCCCAAGCTCAGGCATTGGAGAGGTGATGAGAAGGTGAAACTCCCACCCTGGAAATGGGAAAACATACCAGCCACAAAGAAGACCCAAGGATTCTGTCCTTAAAAAAATATTATACTCTATATAGAAACAAGAGTTTTTAATCTCTTAATTCTCCTATTCCTGAAAACTTCCCAAACTAATCAAACTACCAGCTGTGACTTGACCAGTTCAGAGTACTCTCATTGTGAGGAAACAGAATGCATTTTAGTCATCAGTATTCCTGCTCAGGAAAACACAGTATTGTTGGGACACAATTCCGTAATGAGACTACTTGGAGTGGTAGCTGAAGCCCTGAGTCTGGGAGTTGGCTGATCCCAAGGCTTAAGAGATGAAGGGAGACAAAAAGCCTGCTCTGCATAAGACAAGGAAAAATTCTTGTTTTGTTCGTGATGGGAAAAGGAGTATAAGAAAAAAACTGAAAATGCGAGAAAGAACCCCTCAAATCTCCACAAATGTCACAAAAAAAGCAAAAGCTTTTATTGTATTCTTTGGGGTCCTTGGACTGGTATAAAAGAGAAGAGTGTGGGCAGACAAAGGAGTCAAAGATAGGAGGGGGAACTGCAGCCTGGGGATTCTCAGAAATGGGCAGCAGGGTATGGAATCATCACCAACATGGGCTTGAAGGTCTGATACAAGTTGATCTGGATGCCCAAGAGGCAGGAAGACCTTCCCTGACATTCGAGTTACTCCTCCTGTGGAGCCTCAGAAGTCAGTGTTTTTACAACCCCACCTCACTATGTTGATTCTCTTAGATGTGATCTAATTAAATATAAATGCTCTTATTAAAATAAGCATCTCCTCCTATCAACCTGACAGTATAATTCTTTATCAAGTTGACAGTATCTCTCTAGTCAGGGTCACAAGGACTTTGGCCTGGTCCTGGCTCTGCTACTGACTGTCCATGTGCCCATGGGTAAGTCCTTATCTTTTCAGATCTCAGGGTTCTGACTCGTAAAATGATGGAGGTGAGGAGGAAAAGGTTGAGTTCATCATCTCTTAAGTCCATTCCTAGTTAAAATTCTATGAATCTTGCAGTATTAATATTTCATGCATCTCCATCCTTACTTGTACTCACTGTTATGAGAAATTACCTTTTACTGTTGAAATAAAAGAATCAGGTTGGTTGTATATATAATTTCCTTAGTGGAAGTTTCTCTATTAAGAACACACTAGCTTATAACATATACTAGTTTTCTTATAATAAGGATATTTTTATGGCTAAGAGGAACCAGACAGATCAGACAGATGGTATTAACATAATGCCTATATATTTTTTCTTTTTTAATTCTCTAGTTTTCTGTTATGCCTTTCTGCAGTGTTCTGGGTGTCCTCTTACTTGTGTGTATCTGCTTCACATGTTAGATTGTTAGATGGTTGAGGGTCAGAACAATGTGATACTCATCTCTGTATCCTCTTAAAGTCTTGAGAGAGACCATGCCTCATACAAAGTAAGCATTTAATAGATACTTACTCAGTTGAATTGAAATTGTGTATTGAGTCTAAAGTTTTTAATTACTGCTTTGTATTGTGATAGCTTGGTTATGCTGTAGGAATAAAATAATTCTCAAATCTCAGTGATTTAATGCAATAGAGATTTTTTTTTTCCTTGCTATGGCAGAGTTGGCTATAGAATGGGGTTGGAGTCGGGAGAAAACTATTTCTGCTTCATACAGCCACTCAGGGACCCAGAGTGAAGAGAATCCTGTTTCTGACAGCTGTACCTTTTGAAACACATGGCCTCTTCAGAGAAATAAACTGAAAAATTACTCGAGGGCTTTCTTCTGCACTCTACACGTATTTCATTGACCAGGACTAATCAAATGGTACTGCCTGACTAGGAAACTGGATGGAGTGGATCCCATATTTTTAGGCAAGAAAAGTGCCCACCCCTCCCTAGGCCTGGCATGGTGGCTCATGCCTGTAATCTCAGCACTTTGGGAGGCTGAGACAGGTGGATCACTTGAGGTCCGGAGTTCGAGACCAGCCTGGCCAGCATGGTGAAACCCCATCTCTACTAAAAAATACAAAAATTAGCTGGGTGTGGTGGCACATGCCTGTAATCCCAGCTACTCAGGAGGCTGAGGCAGGAGAATCACTTGAATCCAGGAGGCGGGGGTTGCAGTGAGCCAAGATCATGCCACTGCACTCCAGCCTGGGCAACAGAGCAAGACTCTGTCTAAAAAAAAAAAAAAAAAAAAGAAAGAAAGAAAGAAAAAGAAAAGTGCCCCCAAGATTGGTAATCACAATATTTACCATATGCTTTACTCAGTAGCTCCAGTATTTTGGAGATAATGAACTTCTTTGAGAATCTAATGATCATTATGATCCCTCTCCTCTACAGAAATACTCAACATTTTGCGTAATTTCCCATTTGTTTCATATACTTTGAATGCTATTCACTGGTCCTCTAGAGAACCTTGGACCAAGATTATAAATCATTCAGGCATGTTTTGCACCTGGCAACAGATCTACAGATGAAAAAAATACATTACTGGTGTTCTATTTAAACCATATGTTATTAACAGCCTATTTATTTAGTTGTTTGTTTTTATCAGATATGACATCATACGAGATCCATGCCATGGCCAATGGATTTTCCTCTGTGTTTGTTTTTATCAGGAAAAATTTGAGGGACTGTTTCGGACTTATGATGACTGTGTGACGTTCCAGCTATTTAAGAGTTTCAGACGTGTCCGTATAAACTTCAGCAATCCTAAATCTGCAGCCCGAGCTAGGATAGAGCTTCATGAAACCCAATTCAGAGGGAAAAAATTAAAGCTCTACTTTGCACAGGTAAGGTAATTGTTTACCAAAGTTATTCTTTTTGCCCTACATTATTTTTTACCATTTTAAAATGTAAATGAAGCCCTTTCTATTTTCAGATTGGTTGGTAGTCTATAAATTAATTCACTGAGAAATAGACCCACATCATGATTTCCAGACAGAAACAGCTTAGTGGCTTAGAAAACAGGCTCTGAGAGCTGCCTACCAGAGCAAGTTACATAACCTCACTGGGGCTCCTTATTCTCATCTGTAAAGTGGGGATGATCAAGATCTACACCCCATACTGTTATGAGGATTGCATGAATTATTGTGTGTTTAAGTGCCTAATATTTGGCAAATACACAATAAATGCCCGCTAGTAGTTATAATAAGAATGACGTAATCACAGCTATTCCTAACCTTCCTATCAGGGTTATAATTAAAACTTAAATCATATGACAGCTTTAGTGGAATGTATAACTTTTCAATGATTCATATTTATGAGAAAAGGTGACAAATATATGGAAATTAATTTGTTTCATCCAAAAATCAATTCTAGCTCTTCCAAAATGAAATGAGTAATTCTTGGCAATGCTTATGAAGTTCACAGCAATAGAAATCAATATCCATCATGTTCCATTAGTGCCCTCACCTCATCACTAGATACCTTGATCCATCTCTTAAGTGATCTGTAAGTATGGTTTCCACCTTCAGATTCTACAGAGATGGCACAGTGAAAAGAACACAGACATTGGCCCTGCATCCATGTTCAAATTCCATCATTGCTATTCTAATGTGTGTGATGTGGACAAACCTCAGTTTCCTCGTCTTTAAAATCTCACTCAGTTCCTTAAAAAGTTAAGCATTGAATTACCATCTGGCCCAGCAATTCGACTCCTAGGTATTTAAAACAGGTACTCAAAAAAATACATGTACACACACGTTCACAACAGCACTATTCACAATAGACAAAAGGTGGAAACCATTCAAATGTCCATCAATGGATGAATGGATTAGCAAATTATAGTATGTCCATATGATGGAATATTATTCATCCATAAAAAGGACTAAAATACTGATAAATGCTACAATGTAGATGAACCTTGAAAACATTATACTAAGGGAAAGAAGCCAGACACAAAAGGTCACATATTCTGTGATTCTACTTATAGGACATATCAAGAACAGGTAAATCTGTAGAGACAGAAAACAGCATGGTGGTTGCCAGTGACCAGTGGGAGACAGGAATGGTGGTAACTGGTAATGGTAGTACTGGTAGCAATAGGCAGAGGAGTTCCTTTAAGGTGATGAAAAGAGCTTGGATCTGGATAGAAGTGGTTGTTGCAGGTTAGGAATGTACTAACTGCCACTGAACTGTTCACTTTCAAGTGGTTAATTTTATGTTATGTGAATTTCACCAAGGAAGGAAGGAAGGAGGAAAAGAGAGAAGGAGAGAAGGAAACATTTGGCAGGTGCGTGGTGGGACAGTGGACTGGCAGCCAACAGCATAGCCTGGGGATCTATTAGAAATGCAAACCCTCAGGCCCCATCCCAGGCCTCCTGAATCAGAAATGTAGGGGATAGGGCTCAGCAATCTGTGTTTTAGTAAGGACTGCAGGTGATTCTGATGTACAGTAAAGGTTGAGATCCACTATTTTCAGGATTAAATAAGGCAATTGAGCACATGGTATGTGGTAAGTGGTAATTATTATTACGGTCGGGTTCATCGGTTCATTTGTCGCAGGCTGAAACTAAACCCATGTTTTAATGTGCCAACATGACACATCTGAAGCCATGATGAATAAGTTTCTTCATCTCTACTCTATTTGAAAGGTTCAGACTCCAGAGACAGATGGAGACAAACTGCACTTGGCTCCACCCCAGCCTGCCAAACAGTTTCTCATCTCGCCCCCTTCCTCCCCACCTGTTGGCTGGCAGCCCATCAACGATGCCACGCCAGTCCTCAACTATGACCTCCTCTATGCTGTGGCCAAACTAGGACCAGGTAAGCTTTGCGGTCCATTTTAAAAATAAACGTTTGTCAGCAACCTAGAAAAGCCAAATGAGATTAACAACCTTGAGATCCTGGGTTCACAGTAACATCTGCATTTCTAATAGATTTATTCCTCTGTGTGGACAATGAGAGGGAATGATGGATGAGAATGCAGCATCAGACTTTGCACCCGTTCAAAAAGCAACTCAGGAACCTGTACTAAAATGGTGTCAAGTCCATGAAGCTTCTGGATTGCAATGCAGATATTTTAAGATCCAACAGCACTACCTAATTCTTGTGGGATTTAACTCTATCCCAGGAGGAAATTGTTTCCTCAGAACAGACAAAATGAACCCTACCAGCTGGAAGGAGGCATCTATGCTGTGCAACCCAGTTTTATTGCTGTCACAGTGCTAGTACACACTCAGGAACCCCTTGTTACAAGAAAACCTGCCTGCCAAAGTGAACCTCCAAGTTCCTAAGAAGTCAGTCACAGCAGCCTCTAACTTTAAAAAAATCTTAGTCACTTTGTTCTGATGTTGGCATATGTAGCTCTGATTCACTCATTCTCACGCAGTATAGCATTCTAAAATATGAATCTACCACCACACTTTATTTAGCCACTCTCCTGTTGATGGACATTTAGATTATTTCCAGGTTTTTTGCTATTACAATCAAAGTAACAGTTAACATTCTTGTACATCTCTATGCACTTGTCCAAAAGTTTCTTTAGGCTTTGTAGTTAGAAGGGATACTGCCCTCAATTTCAGCAGATGATGACACCTTGCGCCCCAAAGTATTTTTTTCTGTGTTATATTAGGAGAGGAAATAATAGAAATTGAAGGGGCTGAAACCAGGTGGCAGCTGAGATTTTTAGCACTGTGAATTGAGTGGTAACTAATGGCCATTATGTCTGCTCTGTCTACTGCTGGTTATCTTGGGATAGGAAGGAGCTTTAAAAATAGAATCTGAATGCCTGACCCCACCCCAAGAGATTCTAATTTGATGTGGGTAAAGTTCAGGTATCAGTACATTTTAAAAGCTCCCCCACTGATTCTAATATGCAGATAAGTTCAAGAACCACTGGTAGCTAAATGCCAAGTACCAAGAATAGTCAACTTATAAGTTCTTACCAGCATTTCTTAATGTAGCAGGAAAACATTTGGCCCAGAGTCGCCCACCCCAGAAATCTGCAGTTTTGATAATCACATCTGTTGATCCTTGTATACGCCAAAACCTGAGAACCCTAGGAATTATGGTGACCAACTGTCCTGGTTTCTCCAGGACTAAGGAGTCCCTTGGCCATAGGACCTTCACTGCTAAAATCAGAAAATTCCCAGGCAAACCAAGAAAAGCTGGTCGTCTTACCAGGTACCTAGATTAAGATGATGCTGATCTGATTAATAAGCACTTCTTGCAAGAAGATTGCCAGCTGTTGCATGTATGTCCTGAAAGTTAAATTATAGAACTTTCAAGAGCAAGCTCACTGGAGGTTTCCTTGTAATCACCATCACATCACTCAGCTTCTCAGGCCCTTTAAAATGGCCATAAGTTTTACCTTCAAGAAGCAGTAGGTATGTCTAACTAACATGTGCTGATGAAAGAAGCAATATAATAATAAGAGAGATGTTAGTGAAATATGATTTCATTAAACGTCTGGTTCACATCCAGGATCCTGATCTTAGACCCTCCCCCTTCAGAGAGCCACATGTGTGATATGCTTAAACACTGCACAGTGTATAAAGTAAATTAAGTCTACTCACATGAAGCCTTGTGAAGCCCTTTCCCACAGTCATTCAGGACATTGCAGAAACAAGCACACATATCCAAATGGACCAATTTCAGCCAAGGTCCTTGAAGCTGCCAGTTTGACTCCTATGCACAGATATTGACAAGGACACACTTGAACACTTTGTAGAGGTGTTTTGAATGTCAGCAAACAGAGCTCTTTATAGAATCACTAAGGTCTTGGCTAGAGGACCTAGGAGTCTGACCTGGATTTTACAGAAAAGGAAACTAAGGCCCAGAGCGAAGCAGGGAGCTGATTTGACAATGAAAGTGCCAGAGCTTCCAATGCTGTGCTCTTCCTACTTCACTATTTAGAAAGGAGGCTCAGGCTATGTCAGACTTTCTAACCATCACACCCCAGCTGGACTCCAGCTCACTCATGTGGAGCTGATCATCCAGTAAAATTCAAATCATTTTTATCAAGAATGTGAAAGAACATTAGTTGTTGTCAGCATTCACAAAGATTGATGCAGAAAAAGCTAGGGGCAAGTTCCAGACACCCTTACTGGCTGACCCAGCTGAGTCCAGGCTCTGGAAGGCACAGACAGGGACAAATGTGACTTGGGACTGATGGAGGCAGAAGGCACAGATGGGATGGAAATTAGGCCCCGGAAGGGACGCTCACAGAGCCTGACACAGAAGAGGAAGGAAAGAAAGAGGGAGGAAGGAAATGGTCTTAAAGAGGCAGAGAAAAAAAAGCAGTTGGCGATGGGGGATGGGGAGCTCGGAGTGGTAAATAACTTATCAATAATGTTAAAAATACACGCCTTTTACCTTAATGTTACAGCTAATCTATAGCACCCACCTTCTTTTATCACAATAAATGTACCATCTACCATTTTTGAAGGGCCCTGCTTTGTAATAAACACAGAGATAGGACCTATTATTATCCCCATTTTATGGATTTGGAAACGAGGCTGTAGAAAGAAGCATGAACTTTCCCAAGGTGACACAGCTGGTTGGTGACATCGTCAGATTTCAAACCCTGGCGCTTCTGACTCCAGAGAGTAAACTTCACACTCCGCCAGCTGGCCTTCTATTAAGGATACTGGTTGGCTTGGCTGACTTCAGGCCTGCTCTGCTTCAACTCTGGCAAACATTTATTTGTTTTTAACCCTGAATCAAGAATTATTTCTTGGTTTTTTTTTTTTTTTTTTTTTTTGAGACAGAATCTTACCCTGTCACCCAGGCTGGAGTGCAGTGGCACAATATCGGCTGACTGCAACCTCCTCCTCCCGGGTTCAAGCAATTCTCCTGCCTCAGCTTCCTGAGCAGCTGGGACTACAGGCGCATGCCACCACACCTGGCTAATTTTTATATTTTTTAGTACAGACGGGGTTTCACCATGTTGACCAGGCTGGTCTCAAACTCCTGACCTCGTGATCCACCCGCCTCAGTCTCCCAAAGTGCTGGGATTCCAGACATGAGCCACCGCGCTAGGCCTCAAGAATTATTTCTAACAAACACCAATCTAAACTTCCAGAAAGCCTAACCTAGTGTCTGGTAAATGTGCAAATGGAGACTTGTGCATTTGGTACAAGAGCAAATATTGAGAGTTTCCTGATTTTTAAGTATGACTGATATTGTGTCCATGGAACAGCTGCAATCTGGATGTATTTTCTAGGATATGTTTCTCTCCATTCCTTGCCAGCAATTTGGGACTGTTTGTCTTTATTTGGTTATCCATTTATCCCTTTTCTATGTCCTTGAAGCTTCCTCAGCCACACACATGCATGATTTGCGTCCAACAATTGAGTTGAAAATATCAGACGTTAAATTAAAGGTTGTTTCAGCTGCAACAATCAGGGAGCAGGGCCACACCCTTCCTCCTCCCCATGGCATCCTCCCCCACATCGCGTCTCTGCCCCCTTCCCAACCAGGTGCCAAGGCAAGAGGTTGCTCCTTCAGTCTCCTCCTGTCACTTTGCACAAATATTCACTTTTCCTTATGGTAATTTTCTATCATTCAACTTACTATCTTCACTTCTTACTGAGGGAAAGAATGCATGTTTCATTCATTTTGGTATTCCCAGTACCTGAAACTACCTGGCACATAGTGGATGCTCAATAAACATTGGAGGAATGAATGTGTGAATGAACGAAGGAATAGACCAGAGCTATTAGCCTGCCTAGAGATAGTTTCTTTACTGACAAATTGTTGCTTTCTTATAGCTTTAGCCAGACTCAGTCGGGAAGCATTAAATTAATGTTTTCTATAATTAGAGGACTTCTAGCATTTTCATTTTTAAAAAAGTGATTTAGTAAAATTTAGTTTTAATCCTTTGGCAGAATCATTTCAGTAACAAATTATAACTAATTGCATGTTAAAGAATGACTACCTCAGTTCCAGAAGTACAGAAACAAATTAGAATGGGAGCAGAGGAAAGCAACTCAAATGATCAAAGGAATGGAGTTTTGCATTAGAGGAATGATGAACAGTGTTTAATTGGTAGAGCAGAGTGATTGAGAAGGTATGTAGACATTTAAAGCTGCTGGGAAAAAGTCAGTCTAAAGAAAGAACGTTATGGAGCAGGGATCCAGAGTGAGATGGGACTCGGGCTAAGTCAACTGACTGGCTGCCCCCAGAGGCAATGACACAGTTTATTAGGACCCTTTCATGGAGAACAAATGAAACAGTGGGGATCCAGGCCTCATCTCAGACAAGCAAGGGGCAAAACAGTCTGTAGTTCTTTAAGGAGGAATATTGGTGACCTCTCAGAGAGGGACAAGTCCAATTCCTGAAAACTTCTAGAGTGGTCCTAGAAACAAACATAAAGAAAGCAGTGCAGTTATAATGGAACCATGATCAGACCCAAACCTGTGGGTGCCTATTGAAATCCTTTGAAATATTTAAGATGTTGCGACAGGAGACGAGGGCCACGTTATATTCAAGAAGTGTCTCTCAGTTCCCTTTATTATACCAAGAGCAAGTTTATATTCCGAAAATTATGAGAGGCATAATTTTAAACATCCTTAATCATTGTCCCCATGACCATTCTATCTTTGATCCAGAGAGTAAGTAAAATAGGTATTATACATTAGAAAATAAATAAATAAAAATGACTTAAAATTATGTGGGGATGAAGATAAATTACTTACTATGTGCCAGGCACTGTTCTAAATACCTTACAATATTATTTAATGTTCACAGACAATAACAGGTATTATTATTGTCCTCAATTATACAGCTGGGGAATGTGAGGCACAGAGTGGTTAAGTAACTTGCCCAAGGCGACACAGCTACTAAATTAAAATATGTCCTCTGCCACTGGCAAGAAGAGTAAAAGATTGGTTGAGCCAGCACCCTTGCCCTGGGAAGTGAAACATTTTTCTCTAGAAGAAATTTAAGATTGCTGTAAAGGAGAAATTTAAGAATACAAAACAACTTATGCCTTTCGTTCCCTCACATTTTATTTCTCTACTTTTTGGCACCCACTAAAACACACTACTGCATCAATTCTTTACGGTACATTTCATGCTTTTTTCTTGTGTCCAGCAGGACGTGCAGATCAAAATTTGCCTTCCTCTGTTTAAGGGGCAGTTATTGTCTCTATAAAACACAATCCTTGTGTGTTTCTATTAGTCCCTTGGGGAATGTGTAGAAGCCCATCAGTTTAACAGTGACCTAGACAGAATAAGATGGGCTCTGACCTTGAGGAGAATTATGAGTTGAATATTTATTTTGAAATATCTGTTGTTCCTGACTCCAGAAGCAGTACAGTGCCAGGTTCTTTTCTGATGTAAAACAAAATAGGAGAAAATAAAAACCCAGCCTGGCAAAATAGCTTATCTCCACCAATCAGCAGAAAATGGTAAAATAGAGACGCACGTGGCACTAACTAGACAGGAAATCAGAGGTGGGAAGCAAAATGCCAGCCTTTATTCTGCTCTCTAAGATGGCTCTGGAAGGTCATGTTCATTGTCACTGAAAATGCCTGCAGGGAGCGATATGAAAAGTCATTGTCTCTTCTTTTTTTTCCTCCTGCTATTTTTAGCTCTTGTTAGGAAGATCAATTTTAGTTAACTGCAGAGAAGGGTTTTTAAAATGGTGCTTGAGTTTCAAGTTGCATGTGTCTGCTATATTTAGATTTTTTTCCAAATTCTTCTGTATCAAAACATGACATAGTAAGGCAATTTTGCTGGTGTTACTGCTTGGTATGGTGTTTTCCCCAATGGGAAAAGATATTCCATTAACTAATGTAACCTATACTAAAGAAACATTTTCTATTCCAGGCTCTGATTCAGAGGTAGAAAAAAATTCAGTTTTTAAAATATAGATGAACACCTATGTTTTTGGTGCATGTGGTATGAATATTATATAAGGCCTCGATTCTCATTCAGCAATTGCTGTATTCTCTGATCACAAAAACAATAGGCAAGTAAAACAGTGAGTGTCCAGTGTTCCCATTAGCACAGTCTCTCTGTGTCATACCCCACATAAGGGACTCAGATTGGGATCCTGGAGCACATGTTCAAATTTTCCCATTGCCTTTGAAAGAATTGTCCCTGGAAAAAAAAGGTTTTTTCAGAGGCTTTTCTTCCCAGCATATATTCCATTAATCTATCTTCCATCACTATGGAGTAGCAATATTAAAATACTTCCTTTTCTAAATTTACAGGTAAACTGTGTACATTGTAGAAAAACAGAAGACATATGACCAAAAAATGGGAAAATATGAATAACAAATCCTACTGCCTATAAAAAAAAGTACTTTAAGGAAGAATCATTGTAGTGTTTACCCTTGCATTTTTTCTTATAGGTATGTGTGTGTGTGCATTTGTGTGTCCTCACAGTTGTTGTGGAGGCTGGGCCCCTAATATGGGGCAAGGGAGAACAGGATGTTTCATTCCCAGGGAGGACCCAGCTCACAGAGGGCTCTCCCAGGCAGCTCCCCCTTTCTTCATCTCCGCCACTTTCCTCTCACCCCATGTGGAGGAGCCCCTTTACTCTGGTCGCTCTCCCTCTTTATCTTCCCACCTCTTTCCCCTCTGTGGTTCCCTTAGTTTTCTTTGCCTATACCTTCCCTCCGGGATTCTGCTTCTTTTTCTCAACCATTAATTCAGGTCCTCAGTCAATCAGTTGATCCCATAAAGTACTTTGGGTCCTAAATGTCTCAGGAAGGGTTGAAGATAAATCTCCCCATTCCCAATCTAGTATTAGAGAGAAACCTCCAGAAGATAAGCAAATGTTCTTATACTGAAATATATATAGCTCCCCTTATACCAAAACTACAGAGTATGCTCTTTGTCTTCTTTCTTTCCCTTGCTCTCTTGCTCACTCTCATCCTCCCCCTTCCCCATCTTACCAAGGACCCCTTCTTATTTCCTACTTTGATATGGATCAGAACTGAGGAGGGGGAGGAAAGGAAAGAGAACCCCAATTATTTCATCAATATTTTCTTAAAATGCACACATACAAGGCCTACTGAGGCAGAATGTCAGTTTACAGCCCTGATGCCACCTGCAGCATCCCAACCTCGTGCATGCCTAAATCTAGGAAGTAGTAAGGCGGTTACGCTGGTCGCTCAGCAGACCTGGATTGGAGTTCACCACTTTTCTCTGGGATCCACCAAAGTTCAATAGGAGCTCATGGAAACACAAAAGAATCAGAGAGAAAAAAGGTTACAAAGGACTGAATTCCCTGGACTCTGTCTTTTAATCCCAAATCCTCTTTCCACTTCCACTTAGAAGATAAGTTCTTTCTCTGCTCCCAGATTGAGCTTGTGAATAGGCAGCTACCAAATAGCTATGATTTTTATGTTTCCAATAAGTCTCTCTGCACCCAGAATATCTCCTTTTATTTTATAGCTGTAAATGGAGATCCAACATGAAGAGAGGCTTTTCTCTTGCCTCAGGATGATGATTGAAACATAGGATGTGAGTTTGAATCTAGGCTTCTAGCCTCCACATTTTATTAGCTCTGTGACCTTGAGGAAGTTTCTTAACTTCTCTGTGCCTCTGCTTCTTCAATAGTAAAATCAGTTTGTGGCAAGCATCAAATGAGATAATCCATATAAAACTGTATATCCAGTATCATACATAGGAAAGGCTCAGTGTATGTTAACTATTTATTATCACTTGATTTTCAAACCATATATTAGCCTTCTATTAAAATGTGTCACTGAGTGTGGTGGCTCACCCCTATAAATCCCAGTCTTTGGGAGGCTAAGGCAGGAGGATCAGTTGAGCCTAGGAGTTTGAGACCAGCCTAGGCAATGTAATGAGGCCCCTGTCTCTACAAAAAATAAAAAATAAGATTATCTGGGTGTGGTGGTGCACATCTGTGGTGCCAGCCACTCAGGAGACAGAGGTGGATCACTTGAGCCAAGAGGTCAAAGCTGCAGTGAGCTGTGATCCTGCCCCTGGACTCCAGCCTAGGTGACAGAGCAAAGTGAGTTCCTGTCTCAATAAAAAAATAATTTAAATGCCTGTGTTAAGCTCTTAGCTCAGTGCTGCTCAATGTGAAAGCTATGATATTTTGGAGTTGACAGTCCTACACATTGCAGTACATTTAGCATCCTTGGGTCTCACCTACTAAATGCCAACATCCACCCACACCATATGACAAAAAAAAATCCATTTCCAGACACCATTAGGGGTTTAACATTCTTATGTGAGAACCACACTAATTATACTTTCTTGAATGTGACAAAGAGTTGTCACAGGCATAGAGGCAGAGAACGCCTAGTAAGGGGTCGGCGATGTGTGCAGAAAGAAGAGTGGAAGAGGTGAGATGTATAGAGGAGCAGCCCCTGCCTCCCAGCTTTCCTCACTCCTCTATGCCTTCCCAGACACACACACACTTTTTTTCCTTCCCTTTAGAAAACTAGGGGAAGACAAGAACAATGAGAATTTGCATGGCCCATGTCCATTTATCAATTGCCACATAACAAACTATCCCAAAAATCTAGGGCTTAAGACAACAGTCATTTATTTTGTTCACAAATCTGCCATTTGGGCCAGGCTCAGGGGGAAGGGTCATCTGTTCCATGCAATGTTTCTGGGGCAGCACAACTGGGGGCTGGCAAGTCAACTATGAAGATGGTTCACTCACATGGTTGGCAAAATGGTGCTATTAGCTGAGAGTTCACTTAGACTGTGGGTCCTGGTTCTTCTTAACGTGGGCCTCTTTATGGGCTGCTTGGGCTTCCTTACAACTTGGACATAGGGTTCCAAGCATGAGCATTCTGCAAGAGCAAAGTAGAAGCGCATAGCATATTTGTTACCTAATTCAGAAGTCACACTGCTTACTTCCACCACATAGGTTGAGGATCCCTTATCCAAAATGCTTGGGGCCAGAAGTGTTTTGGATTTTGGATATTTTGGGATTAGCGATACACAACAACCTGTACTATATTTGTCAAGACAATCATTAAAGCCTGCCCAGGATTGAAGGGAGAGAACACAGAGGGAACACTCCTTAATGGAACATTGTCAAGGTTACAGGAGAGTATGTGGGGTGGGAAACATTATGACCATCTTTGGAAAACACAACCTGCTACCACAAATAACTTTCCTGTTGAGAATTCACCCGTAATATGAGAGATAGTACAGTTTTAAAATGAGAATGTAGAGGATCTTCTTCCAGAGTCCAAAACTTCCTTCCCTAAGAGATGCAGATTAACTCAGTTTATAATTTATAGTCTCTTCTTTTCATAATTTATTGTGTTGTCTTTTGAGGAGATTCATTGTCAAAGAGACCATGCCTAGAATAACTATCAATGGCCAAAACAAAACAAGGCAAGGTTCAGAAGGAATACATGATCCATCTTTAGCTAGAGAACAAATATTCACTAAAAATATGAGTTGCCATGAAAATGTATTAAAAGTGAAAGACAAAACTAGGCTCCCTTTCAGTAGAGTCGCTTGTAGAATATGTAAACAGTGGGAAGTATGAGAGTTAGGGACAGAGAGGGGCTATGAACACATTCTTTGAAGTCAGGCAAGCCTGAGTTTAAATCCTGGCTCTGCCATTTACTACCTGTGTGATCTCAACTTACTGTTGTATAACTAGATATTATGAAACCCACATGACAGAGCTGTTGTTATAATTAAAGATCTATTTCATGCCAAGTAGTTACAGACTTTCCTGTGCCTGGCATTTAGTAAGTGCTCCATAAGCAATTGTTATTATGTTTAGGGAATGTAGTGAGTTTCTATGACACCTACTGTGTGCTAGCACTGATAGAATGCTGATAAGAGGATAGATGCTTGCCTTTAAATGGTTTTCCACTTAGTTGAAAAGCTAAAACTTACACAAGTTAAACTATAGGAAGAATATTCACGTGTGAGTACATACCAGACATCACTCAAGTATGTTAGTAATGACCAAGCGTGATGCTCTTCATAAATCAATCACATATTCATTGAACACTAATGTGTACCTTAAGCTGCAGCAGTCACAAAAGGTTAAGTCTTGACTTCAGTGGTTTGGAATATAACACATTGCTAGAGGAAATAACTAATGAATAATATCAAAGGTGATATAATTAAGCATTATAAATGGGTGTTTCTATCTCAAAAAAAAAAAAAGAAAATCAGAGATCTCATTAAAACGGCAACATAAGATTTTCTGTCTCATGGAAATAGAGGTATAGAAAAGGTTAGGAAAGAGGAAAAAAAGGAGAGAAAATTGCCAGTGATGACAGAGAAAGGGGAAGTGGTGGTTGGAGGAAAAAGGATAGGTTCATTTTGAAGACCAGATTATATGATACCCACTACCGTGGGATGCAGCCTGTTATCGTTCACCCCTTACTGCTCTTTGCAATGGTGTCTCCACTGAGGAAAAGCTCTTTGCAATTGTTCAGCTGCTTAATTCTTTGACTATTGTGTGATGTAATCAGATTAGTTAATCATACTGGAAACCAGAAATTACTTGGGGGCAACAGTGGCCAAAATAATATCGCCCTAAATAATCATAGCATGCATCTTGGGAGAGGGCTTTATCAAGTATTTGACACATATGTCTGTTTCCTAGTATCCCAGTGATATGAGTGTTGTTCTCATTGATGAGGAAAACTGAGATTCAGAAATGTTATATAACTTTCTCAGAGTCACATTACTCATATGTGATAAGGTGATCTCTCCAACTGTTGTCTTAGGTGGCTTATTCTGGCACGGAAGTTAGTTCCTGTCGTGGGGAAACCAGCAAAGAGTATTTTGGGTGGGAGGGTTAGTCATGGATAGGGTTATAACAAGGGGTGTGTAGGGAAGGAGCATGCAGAGAAGGTTTGACAAGCAATGTTCAATAGTGCTTGGTGACTGATTACAAATGATGAAAGAGAGAGAAAATTCAAGGATGACTGACTCTAAGGATTTGCACCTAGAAGGCTGGAAGAATGATGGCAATTCTAAGAAGCGTGATAGCTGGTAACGGAACCTAGATTGGCAGAGAAAATAATTCTACTTTAGACATGTGAGTTTGGAAAAGAGTAGTCAACTTGTAGAGAGACGTCAGTAAGTCAGGATGCATGTGTGAGATCAGGCCTGGATATGTAGCTCCTCATAGGGCAGGAACTGGGGCTCATGATGAGCAAGAGAAAGAATGTCCTGGAAAGAAGGGCAGCAGGTGCTGAGCAGAGCAAAGCTTGGCCTTGCCTGTTAGATGTGGCTGTATTTTCAAAGCCTCTAGTTCTGGGATTCTATCTATTGCTTGGCAGTACACATACAAAGACTTTGTCCAGCAGGCACTAAACTTATAGGAAGATTTCCCCTTCCTTCCATCATAGAGTTTTTCTTATTAGGAATCTAAATAATGAATCTCAAAAGCTTCTCTAATACATAGACATGTAGCTCTGTTTCATCTCTCTACCTTTACCTTGTCTGAATTTTGCTGATTTTTATAAACTTTGCATAATCATACTGATTATTTTAGAAAGAATTTAAGAGGTGGCCAAGTCATGGCCCGTAAGCCAAGGTGGCATGAGAGAGAAACTCAGTGGCACTTGGACTGCCAGCCACCAACACATTTCTCTGCAATTGTGGCAAGTGAGGTTGTACCATGTCACCAAGTTTCCCAGCCCCTAGTCAGCACAGGGACTCACCCTCCTCCCTCCTGAGAATGGGAAACAGCCCATGGGCACCCTCACTCCCTCCTCCAGTCATAGAGGAATTGGGACATTGTCACAAACCTGTCTCCAGCCACTTGGGAAAAGACGAGACAGAACTTTGGCATCTAATTTAAGCAATGGCCAAACCTCAGTCAGTTTCAAAGGCCTGAATGAGAATTTAACGTTAACCATGTGCTAAAAGGTTTTTCATTTAATTGGCTGAAAGTTTGTTTCATGGAATAGGTAGAAAACCCTGACCAATGCACTTGTTGGTGACTTTTGGTCCTGGCCTCCTTTCTGCACACAAAGGAGAGGACAGTTTCAATACTGGCAGAGGAGTGAGCATGTGATGGGTCAACCCTCTGCTTGTCTTTTCAGAGAAATGCTGGTTCCATTGGTCTGTTCTCACTGCACCATGGTGGGACCTCCCACCCTGTGTGGGTAAGATTTGACAGACTCTCTGTCCCCAGACAAGCCCAGTTGGTCCATGTGCCTGGTGACAGCATTGACGTCAGCCCTTGTGGTAGAGGAAATAGTTGAAGCCCAAAGGGAAAAAGAGGCCAAAAAAAGAAAAATTCAATCCAACAAGACCAAAGCTATTTCTTTTTATTTTGTGGTTCTCAGCAGCTGTTAAGCTTTGCTGGCTTTCGATAGTAAGAAAGTGTCCAAGAATAGAACAGTGCAATGTCAGAGTTAATGGGATCACAGCAATAAAATGTCTCTACTACTGAGCAATCTGATGGTATTAAGTTGATGTGGAAGTTGCTTTGCACCCTGCACACAGAGTGGACTCCCTGCTTGCCCTCCCATTCTGAGTGTTCCCCCAACACACCTATTCTGAGAGGAAAGCAACCACTTCTAAAGTGGTAAATGCATTGCAAAAGAAGTGTCTTCAGGCCGGGCACGGTGGCTCACGCCTGTAATCTCAGCACTTTGGGAGGCTGAGGCAGGTGGATTACCTGAGGTCAGGAGTTCAAGACCAGTCTGGCCAATATGGTGAAACCCCGTCTCTACTAAAAATACAAAAAATTAGCCGGGTGTGATCGTAGGTGCCTGTAATCCCAGCTACTCGAGAGGCTGAGGCAGGAGAATCGTTTGAACCCAGGAGGCAGAGGTTGCGGTGAGCCAAGATCGTGCCATTGCACTCTCCAGCCTGGGCAACAAGAGCAAAACACCATCTCAAGAAAAAAAAAAAAAAAAAAGAAGTGTTCTTCATCTCAGCCAGGGAAAAAAGGTTTAATCAAAGGCCTAGCTTTGTTAGGTGTATTTTATTACAATTTCTTTAAAATGGCCAGCTTCTTGCTAACAGATGGAAAAAGGGGAAGGGTGTCTGAGATCTCCGAATTCTCTGGCCTGAGCCTTGCCCTCATCTCAACCCCAGGTTCTGGGTCTCTGCTGCAGATTCCTTTCTATTCCTCATTTGAGGATGACAGAGGCCATCCCCCTTTCCTCAATGCACTCCCCATCCACAGAGCAATGAATGAAACTACAGTGGCCACCAGTGTTTCTTCAAAAGGGGCTTCCCCTGCAAATGTAAGAACTTAAAAAAAAATTCTATACATAAAAACAAGAATCACCACCATATTTGATGACTCAGCAAACATTTCTTTCTCTGTCTCTCTTTGGATGGTGTCTTTCATTCAGCATTGCAAGAAGTTCCTGAAGGAAAGACAAAATTTGAGAAACCCTGGATGCGGTTAACTCAATCATTGTTCACCGTGGAACTTTGAGTGACTTGATGTTCTCTCCTGAACAACAATGAGAACACCAAAGATGAACGGGAGCTGGTGGCTGGGAGCGCCAGAGAAGCCATCCAGGATTCCTTACCTCCTTTCCTTTATGCATTCTCAGCTTCCATCCCTCCATTATCCTCTACCTGCACTGTTACCATTTACCATTTTCCAGCAAAAAAATATGTAGAATGGAGGAAGGGAGGGGGCACATTGTGTGTGTGCCAGTATCCTCATGGGGCCACAGCCTCTTGCTGGGAGTTCCATGTAACCGTCACCACCCAAACACAGAAGCACTGAGAAGCACTTAGGGCTGATGGGTACACATGTAGATTCTACTAAATCGGAATTTGCAGGTTTGCTTCCCTATACTGGTAAACTCTTTTTTTTTTTTTTTTTTTTTGAGACAGTCTTGCTGTGTGGCCCAGGCTGGAGTGCAGTGGCATGACCTCAGCTCACTGCAACTACCACTTCCTGGGTTTAAGTGATTCTCATGCCTCAGCCTCCGCAGTAGCTGGGACTTCAGGCATGCACCACCATGCCCAGCTAATTTTTGTATTTTTAGTAGAGGTGGGGGTTTCCCCATGTTGACCAGGCTGGTCTTGAACTTCCAACCTCAAGTGACCTGCCCACCTCAGCCTCCCAAAGTGCTGGCATTACAGGCATGAGACACCACGCCCGACCTAAACTCTTTTTTTAATGAGCACTCCCAGTTAATTGTCAGTGTTTAAGAACCACTGCTTAGAGACACCCCCAACCAGAGCTGCCCACTCTGACCCAGAGCCTTTGATACAACCCTCAGATAAAGCTGGTTTGTTGTAGATTTCTCTCCTTAGCAATGTCTGCAGATTATCTGTTTACCCGGGGACATGGATTAAAATGCCAAAATATTTTAGAGAGAACAGAACCCACACAATTAAGTGAACCTTACTTAGCATCGATACATACAGCACTATACCGCATATGCGTAGTTTGCAACTTCCCCATGGATTACAGCGTGCTGGGTTAGTGCCAACTATCAATTCTTGCTCCGCAGGGCAGGATAGCAAAGTGATCAGGCAGTCATCTCCTTCCTGGGTCTCCCCTGTATCCCTGCTCCTGTCACTGTCTTCTTCTGTATCAGACTGGGCCACATCAGCTTGCTTGTATCAGAGATTCAATGCTTGTTGATGCAGTTCTCCCTGCCTATGATTTCACCACTTCTAGACTTTAAATACAGAGTCATATCAGCCATACTTCAATGGCTGTGGCTGGTTCTATTTCTCTGTACTATCAATATCCAGGGAAATGCTGGAGTTGTAACACTCTATTTCTGTGAAATATTTGCTGCCCTCACCCAGGAAAGCCTTTACTCTACACAGCAGGATGTCAAGGGCAAGAGGTGCCTAATACAGACTTCTCTGACTCTTAACTGAATGAGCACACTCTCAGCAGGGTATGGCTGTGTTCGTTTGCTAGGGTTGCCATAACAAAATGCAACAAACCTCCGGGCGTGGTGGCTCACACCTGTAATCCCAGCACTTTGGGAGGCCAAGGCGGGTGGATCACCTGAGATCAGGAGTTCGAGACCAGCCTGACCAACATGGTGAAACTCCGTCTCTACTAAAAATACAAAAATTAGCCAGGCACGGTGGCGTGCACCTGTAATCCCAGCTACTAGGGAGGCTGAGGCAAGAGAATTGCTTGAACCCAGGAGGCAGAGGTTGCAGTGAGCTGAGATCACACCACTGCACTCCAGCCTGGGCAGCAGAGCAGGACTCTGACTCAAAAAAAAAAAAAAATGCCACAAACCGAGTGGCATTTATGACAAAAATTTATAGACTCACCGTTCTGGAAGTTAGAAGTTCAAGTCAAGGTGTACACAGGACCATGCTGTCTCTGAAGGTGTCAGGAAAGGATCTGTTCCTGGCCTGTCGTAGCTTTGGGTAGTTCCTTGGCTTATGGCTGCATAACCTCAGTCTTCACATGGCATTCTCCCTATGTATATGTCAATGTCCAAACTTCCTTTTTCTATAAGGGTGCTAGTCGTATTGATGTAGAGCCCACCCTAATGACCTCATCTTAATTTGATCATCTGCAAAGACCTTAGGTCCAAATAAAGTTACTTTCACAGCTACTAGAGGTTAGTTAGGACCTCAACATCTTTTGAGGGGACTCAATTCAACCAATAACAATGGCTGACTCTGAATGTCTACATCCTTCCCAGCATCACTTAGAAGGGCTTCGATATTTATTGCATTATCAGTGTTCCTCATTCCCTAACGTCAGCACCCAGAATTTAAAACTGTACCTTGGAGAGAGGTTCCAAGATGGCCGGATAGGAAGAGCTCCAGTCTACAGCTCCCAGCGTGAGTGATGCAGAAGATGGGTGATTTCTGCATTTCCAACTGAGGTACCAGGTTCATCTCACTGGGGCTTGTTGGACAGTGGGTGCAGCCCACAGAGCAGGGTGGGGCATCACCTCACCCAGGAAGCACTAGGGGTTGGGGAATTCCCTTTCCTAGCCAAGGGAAGCCGTGACAGATGGTACCTGGAAAGTCGGGTCACTCCCACCCTAATACTGTGCTTTTCCAATGGTCTTAGCAAACGGCACACCAGGAGATTATATCCTGTGCCTGGCTTGGAGGGTGCCATGCCCATGGAGCCTCACTCACTGCTAGCACAGCAGTCTGAGATCAAACTGCAAGGTGGCAGGGAGGCTGTGAGGAGGGGCATCCACCATTGCTGAGGCTTGAGTAGATAAACAAAGCAGCCAGGAAGCTCAAACTGGGTGGAGCCCACTGCAGCTCAAGGAGGCCTGCCTGCCTCTGTAGACTCCACCTCTGGGGGTAGGGCATAGCTGAACAAAAGGCAGCAGAAACTTCTTCAGACTTGCACATCCCTGTCTGACAGCATTGAAGACAGTAGTGGTTCTCCAAGCACGGAGTTGGAGATCTGAGTATGGAGACTGCCTCCTCAAGTGGTTCCCTGACCCCTGAGTAGCCTAACTGGGAGACACCTCCAAGTAGGGGCCAACTGACACCTCATACAGCCAGGTGCCCCTCTGAGACGAAGCTTCCAGAGGAAGGATCAGGCAGCAACATTTGCCGCTCTGCAATATTTGTTGTTCTGCAGCCTCCGCTGGTGATACCCAGGCAAACAGGGTCTGGAGTGGACCTCCAGCAAACTCCAACAGACCTGCAGCTGAGGGTCCTGACTGTTAGAAGGAAAACTAACAAACAGAAAGGACCTCCACACCAAAACCCCATCTGTACGTTACCATCATCAAAGACCAAAGGTAGATAAAACCACAAAGATGGGGAGAAACCAGAGCAGAAAAGCTGAAAATTCTAAAAATCAGAGCACCTCTTCTCCTCCAAAGGAACGCAGCTCCTCACCAGCAATGGAACAAAGCTGGATGGAGAATGACTTTGACGAGTTGAGAGAAGAAGGCTTCAGATGATTGGTAAGAACAAACTTCTCCAAGCTAAAGGAGGAAGTTCGAACCCATCACAAAGAAGCTAAAAACCTTGAAAAAAGATTAGACAAATGGCTAACTAGAATAAACAGCATAGAGAAGACGTTAAATGACCTGATGGAGCTGAAAACCATGGCAAGAGAACTATGTGATGCATACAAAAGCTTCAGTAGCCAATTTGATCAGGTGGAAGAAAGGGTATCAGTGATTGAAGATCAAATGAATGAAATGAAGCGAGAAGAGAAGTTTAGAGAAAAAAGAATAAAAAGAAATGAACAAGCCTCCAAGAAATAAGCGACTATGTGAAAAGACCAAATCTACATCTGATTGGTGTGCCTGAAAGTGACGGGGAGAATGGAACCAAGTTGGAAAACACTCTTCAGGATATCAGCCAGGAGAACTTCCCCAACCTAGCAAGTCAGGCCAACATTCAAATTCAGGAAATACAGAGAACGCCACAAAGATACTCCATGAGAAGAGCAACTCCAAGAAACATAATTGTCAGATTCTCCAAAGTTGAAATGAAGGAAAAAATGTTAAGGGCAGCAAGAAAGAAAGGTCAGGTTACCCACAAAGGAAAGCCCACCAGACTAACAGCTGATCTCTCAGCAGAAACTCTACAAGCCAGAAGAGAGTGGGCGCCAATATTCAACATTCTTAAAGAGAAGAATTTTCAACCCAGAATTTCATATCCAGCCAAACTAAGCTTCATAAGTGAAGGAGAAATAAAATACTTTACAGACAAGCAAATGCTGAGAGATTTTGTCATCACCAGGCCTGCCCTAAAAGAGCTCCTGAAGGAAGCACTAAACATGGAAAGGAACAACTGGTACCAGCCACTGCAAAAACATGCCAAACTGTAAAGACCATCGATGCTAGGAAGAAACTGCATCAACTAATGAACAAAATAACCAGCTAACATCATAATGACAGGATCAAATTCACACATAACAATGTTAAATGTAAATGGGCTAAATGCTCCAATTAAAAGACACAGACTGGCAAATTGGATAAAGAGTCAAGACCCATCAGTGTGCTGTATTCAGGAGACCCATCTCACGTGCGGAGACACACATAGGCTCAAAATAAAGAGATGGAGGAAGATCTACCAAGCAAATAGAAAACAAAAAAAAAGCAGGGGTTGCAATCCTAGTCTCTGATAAAACAGACTTTAAACCAACAAAGACCAAAAGATACAAAGAAGGCCATTACATAATGGTAAAGGGATCAATTCAACAAGAAGAGCTAACTATCCTAAATATATATGCACCCAATACAGGAGCACCCAGATTCATAAAGCAAGTCCTTACAGACCTAAAAGAGACTTAGACTCCCACACAATAATAATGAGAGACTTTAACACCCCACTGTCAACATTAGACAGATCAACGAGAGAGAAAGTTAACAAGGATATCCAGGAATAGAATTCAGCTCTGCACCAAGCAGACCTAATAGACATCTACAGAACTCTCCACCCCAAATCAACAGAATATACATTCTTCTCAGCACCACATTGCACTTATTCTAAAATTGACCACATAGTTGGAAGTAAGGCACTCCTCAGCAAATGTAAAAGAACAGAAATTATAACAAACTGTCTCTCAGACCACAGTGCAATCAAACTAGAATTCAGGATTAAGAAACTGACCAAAAACCACTCAACTTCATGGAAACTGATCAACCTGCTCCTGAATGATTACTGGGTACATAAGGAAATGAAGGCAGAAACAAAGATGTTCTTTGAAACCAATGAGAACAAAGACACAACATACCAGAATCTCTGGGACACATTTAAAGCAGTGTGTAGAGGGAAATTTATAGCACTAAATGCCCACAAGAGAAAGCAGGAAAGATCTAAAATTGACACCCTAACATCACAATTAAAAGAATTAGACAAGCAAGAGCAAACACATTCAAAAGCTAGCAGAAGGCTAAGATCAGAGCAGAACTGAAGGAGATAGGGACACAAAAAAACCCTTCAAAAAATTAATGAATCCGGGATCTGGTTTTTTGAAAAGATCAACAAAATTGATAGACCACTAGCAAGACTAATAAAGAAGAAAAGAGAGAAGAATCAAATAGATGCAATAAATATGATAAAGGGGATATCACAACCATTCCCACAGAAATACAAACTACCATCAGAGAATACTATAAACACTCTACGCAAATAAACTAGAAAATCTAGAAGATATGGATAAATTCCTGGACACATACACCCTCCCAAGACTTAAACAGAAAGAAGTTGAATCCCTGAATAGACCAATAACAGGCTCTGAAATTGAGGCAATAATTGATAGCCTACGAACCAAAAAAAGTCCAGAACCAGATGTATTCACAGCCAAATTCTACCAGAGGTACAAGGAAAAGCTGGTACCATTCCTTCTGAAATTATTCCAGTAATAGAAAAAGAGGAATCCTCCCTAACTAATTTTATGAGGCCAGCATCATCCTGATACCAAAGCCTGGCAGAGACACAACGAAAAAAGAGAATTTTAGACCAATATCCCTGATGAACATCAATGCAAAAATCCTCAATTAAATAGTGGCAAACCGAATCCAGCAGCACATCAAAAAGCTTATCCACCATGATCAAGTGGGCTTCATCCCTGAGATGCAAGGCTGGTTCAACATGTGCAAATCAATAAACATAATCCATCATATAAATAGAACCAAAGACAAAAACCACATGATTATCTCAATAGATGCAGAAAAGGCCTTTGACAAAATTCAACAGCCCTTCATGCTAAAAACTCTCAATAAATTAGGTATTGATGGAACATATCTCAAAAGTAATAAGAGTTATTTATGACAAACCCACAGCTAATATCATACTGAATGGGCAAAAACTGGAAGCATTCCCTTTGAAAACTGGCACAAGACAGGGATGCCCTCTCTCACCACTCCTATTCAACATAGTGTTGGAAGTTCTGGCTAGGGCAATCAGGCAGGAGAAAGAAATAAAGGGTATTCAATTAGGAAAAGAGGAAGTCAAATTGTCTCTGTTTCCAGATGACATGATTGTATATTTAGAAAACCCCATCATCTCAGCCCAAAATCCCCTTAAGCTGATAAGCAACTTCAGCAAAGTCTCAGGATACAAAATCAATGTGCAAAAATCACAAGCATTCATATACACCAATAACCAACAAACAGAGAGCCAAATCATGAGTAAACTCCCATTCACAATTTCTTCAAAGAGAATAAAATACCTAGGAATTCAACTTAGAAGGGATGTGAAGGACCTCTTCAAGAAGAACTACAAACCACTGCTCAATGAAATAAAAAAGGACACAAACAAATGGAAGAACATTCCATGCTCATGGATAGGAAGAATCAATATCATGAAAATGGCCATACTGCCCAAGGTAATTTATAGATTCGATGCCATCCCCATCAAGCTACCAAGGACTTTCTTCACAGAACTGGAAAAACTACTTTAAAGTTCATATGGAACGAAAAAAGAGCTCACATTGCCAAGACAATCCTAAGCCAAAAGAACAAACCTGGAGGCATCACGCTACCTGACTTCAAACTATACTACAAGTCTACAGTAACCAAAATAGCACGGTACTGGTACCAAAATGGAGATATAGACCAATGGAACAGAACAGAGCCCTCAGAAACAATACCACATATCTACAACCATCTGATCCTTGACAAACCTGACAAAAACAAGCAATGGGGAAAGGATTCCCTATTTAATAAATGGTGCTGAGAAAACTGGCTAGCCATATGTAGAAAGGTGAAACTGGATCCCTTCCTCCTACTTTATACACAAATTAATTCAAGATGGATTAAAGACTTAAATGTTAGACCTAAAACCATAAAAACCCTAGAAGAAAACCTAGGCAATACCATTCAGGACATAGGCATGGGCAAGGACTTCATGACTGAAACACCAGAAGCAATGGCAACAAAAGCCAAAATTGACAAATGGGATCTAATTAAACTAAAGAGCTTCTGCACAGCAAAAGAAACTACCATCAGAGTGAGCAGGCAACCTACAGATTGGGAGAAAATTTTTACAATCTACCCATGTGACAAAGGGCTAATATCCAGAATCTACAAAGAACTTAAACAAATTTACAAGAAAAAAAATCAAACAACCCCATCAAAAAGTGGGAAAATTATATGAACAGACACTTCTCAAAAGATGACATTTATGCAGCCAACAGACACATGAAAAAGTGCTCATCATCACTGGCCATCAGAGAAATGCAAATCAAAACCACAATGAAATACCATCTCACACCAGTTAGAATGGTGATCATTAAAAAGTCAGGAAACAACAGGTGCTGGAGAGGATGTGGAGAAATAGGAACACTTTTACACTGTTGGTGGGACTGTAAACTAGTTCAGCCTTTGTGGAAGACAGTGTGGCAATTCCTCAAGGATCTAGAACTAGAAATACCATTTGACCCAGCCATCCCATTACTGGGTATATACCCAAAGGATTATAAATCATGCTGCTATAAAGACACATGCACACATATGTTTATTGTGGCACTATTCACAATAGCAAAGACTTGGAACCAACCCAAATGTCCATCAATGATAGACTGGATTAAGAAAAGGTGGCACATATGCACCATGGAATACTATGCAGCCATAAAAAAGGATGAGTTCATGTCCTTTGTAGGGACACGGATGAAGCTGGAAACCATCATTCTCAGCAAACTATCACAAGGACAGAAAGCCAAACACCACATATTCTCACTCATAGGTGGGAATTGAACAATGAGAACACTTGGACACAGGGTGGGGAACATCACACACTGGGGCCTGTCATGGGGTGGGGGAAGGGGGGGAGGGATAGCATTAGGAGATATGTAAATGACGAGTTAACAGGTGTAGCACACCAACATGGCACATGTATACATATGTAACAAACCTGCACATTGTGCACATGTACCCTAGAAGTTAAAGTATAATAAAAAAAAAAAAACTGTACCTTGTGAAAGTTTGCTATTTGCACCATTAAGGCTTACCAAGATGTGCACAGTAGCACATAATTAGTGCCCTGTCACTGGAACTGACAATACTTGCTCCAGCCATCCAGTGGAGGCACTTAGACTGAGAATAGCAGATTCCTGGGCTGCATCGGGTCTAGCTTTGATCCTGGAAGAAGGTCAGGATTTAGGGAACTCTGGAGGGGAAGTGAGGCTATGCGAAGTAAAAGTAGCTATTTTGGTGGCCCTAAGAATGTAGCTGTCATGATTAGGGGCCAACAGATAAACCAGTTTGACCAAAACAAAGAAGGAACTGATGCAGGTAGTGATGGAAAAGATTGGTGAGAGATTACGCAGGGTCTTCTGTGCTAGACTACAAAATTTATACTTGATCTTGTGAGATCTAGAGAGCCACTAACCAGGAGGATATCTGGGAGTTATTGTTTTTGGAAGATTTATCTTTTGATCCATGAAAGATGGGAAGTGAAGGATGGGATGTCCGGAGAGGATTAAGATTAGTATGTCAACAATGAAGTTGAAAAGTTACAAGCATGCAGGTTGAGAATACCCCCTCCTCTTACCCCACCACCTGGAGTCCTTCCGCTTGTCTTTTAGACCCAGATCAGCTGCCAGTCCACTAGGAAGCCTTTCAGAGTTACTTACCATTTGATGCCATAGTCCTTAACATACATTGCCACCATAGTGCTCACCATTTTATATTGTGATATGTTCTGTCTCCACATGTCTCCACTGGACTGTGCACTTGTGAAAGGCACAAATACTTTTTATTCTACCTTGTAGCCTTTATGAACAGCAATAGACCACGAGAGATGCTCAAGAAACATCTAATGAAGCAACAGAAAGACAGAAAGCCAGTCAGCTAACAGCCATTTGACTGTAATATGAGCCAGTCAAGAATGTAGACACTTGGAACTAGAAAGGGCCTTGATGGTCATCTAACCCAGTTACCCAGTAACCACTGAATCCTGGGCATGTGATAACCCCACCTTATTCCATCCTGGAGCAGCTCTGGCTGTAAGAAGTGTAGAGCTGGAGGGGAACTCAGAAACTACCATATTCAAAAGATAAAGAAGTGAAGTGATTGGCCCAAGGTTGCTCAAAAACTAGCAGCAAAGTTGGAAAATAGAAGAGAAACTAATACGACTAACTGCCAAGTCCATCCAGTCCTCGCCACCATCCTACAGAGTGGAAGTATTACCATGTTGAAATTTACGGTAAAGGATGTGGAGGCTAAGAGGTATTGAGTGGCTTGTTTGGGGTTGCACAGTTGATAAGTGGCAGAGCCAGGATAGGAGGAAATTGATCTCTTTCCACTTGCCAACACCCTGTGCCATCCCTGCATAAGATCACAGGCTTCCTGAGACCCTGGAAAATGCTCCTGTCATTTCCTAAGCAGACCCTGCTCCAGGATCTCTTTTGAAATCCCCCCCTCTTTCTCACTTCCATTTTTCTTGCTTTTCAGGAGAGAAGTATGAGCTCCATGCAGGGACTGAGTCCACCCCAAGTGTCGTCGTGCACGTGTGCGACAGTGACATAGAGGAAGAAGAGGACCCAAAGACTTCCCCAAAGCCAAAAATCATCCAAACTCGGCGTCCTGGCCTGCCACCCTCCGTGTCCAACTGAGCTGCCTGCTCCTTCTCGATAATAGCCGTCTCCTCTTTATCATGCTTTTTCCCCCTGTTGTTTGTCAAAAAAAATTGCCTTTAAATTCCTGGGTGTTTGGTTGTTTGAGATTCCTTCCTTGTTATCAAGCCTCTCGGACAAAAGGGCTAGGAAAAGGTGATATGTCTCCTGATCATATCATACCCATTAAGTATAACCCATTATTTAGAAGGTTCTAGGGAAAAAAGTAGTATTTTCTTATTAAACAATCAGCACAGCCTATATCTTTGTTCTCTCATGTTGATCCAAGCCAGAGACATCAGTAACAAATAGCACCTGTGTTGTTTGTGAGCTGTTTCAGTCCCAGTCCTGATGTGTGTGCGTTGTTCTCTCCTGGCCACTTAAATAGGACCATATGTAAACTTGACTTTGACTGCATGAGATATCCCTATCTGGTCTCACTCAGTCCTCTGCATCCCAACATTCCCAGGACATGCATGATCACCAGCATTTATTTTCATTATTTGAGGATATCTTATAACTCACAGATTGTCAGCATCCAGCCATGTCCTATCTAGATTAGGAAAATGATCAGAATATTCCAGCTCAACAAGTCTGGGTATATTCACTATTGTGAGTCAATACACCATAGCTCTGTTGAAATTCCTGGAGGCAAAATTGACCTTGGCCCCAAAGATATTCCTCAATAGATTTCAAACACCACTCCCCTGTAGAACTCTCCCAGCCTCGTTGGGGAGGCTTGTCCAGGGTGATAGAGACTGATTTCAGACAAACCTATTTATTACAAAAGTTTCATGGTGTCTGAATGATTGTTTTCTCTCTTTGTATATTTGTACAAATGTTTCAGCTGTGCTTTTAAAAAATCTGGATGTTTTTTATTTAGTGATTGTTCGACAATTAGCTGCTTCAAAACATAATGTGCATTGCTTATGAATGCCTTCATATACTAATACAGATACTCTGATAATATTACACTCTAATAAGGATAATGCTGAATTTTGAAAGGACACAAAACATCTAATGCCAATATATACATGATTAGCCAACATCTTTGCTATCAAGACCACTTGTTTTTAAATAAAGATGCAAGTGTCAGTTGTAGATTATTGGGATGAAGCTAAATCCCCAGAATGCAGCAGCAGCTGAGCATGTTAAAATGGGGAAGGATGATAGCTACATGTATGCCGGTCCTACTCACGCGACACCCGTGTGCTCAAAAAAGTTATTTGTTTTTGTTACGTGTGATTTTTCTATTTCTCTAGCCCAAAGTGCATTACAGAAGATACACCTATAGAACCATTACCTTCTGCTATGTGTGCCAGGCCTCATCTACTCCTGTACATTAATGAATTACTTTAGATGCAAACGCAGATTACAATGGAGTGGGGAAGTACTTTCATTACCCAAGCCTCAGAAAAACACACAAGAACAATAACACAGCAAACAGATTGAGGGATTGTTGTGGTTTTTGACTAAGGTGTATGTTAGTTTCATCAGAAACTTAAAACATAGACTGATCACTCAGAAATTAAAGTCCGTTTTACTGTGAATATAGCAATATAGTACTGGACACAGTACTGGTGAAACTGAGGAGAGCATTGCTTGTAAAATCCTGAGTTTCCATAAGGAAAATGAAAACTCCTTTTAAAAATAAAATCTGAGGAGTGTACAATAAGCATATGCTTTGACTTTCCTTTGCTGTGGAGGTTTTTGGTTTTTCATTGATGATAAACGACTACAGACTTAGTAGTGGAGAAATGGTGTCCTCTAGTGGAAGAAATAGTAGGCTCCGCTATTCAGATGCAGAGCACTGCAGCATCCAGCCTTTCAAAGCTGACTCTTCTCAATCATCTGTGGGTCATTTGACTTGATTTTTTAAGCTACCCTGAATTTCCAGAATGCAGGTTCTAAAGAAATCTAGATGAGAGAAAGTATTTGAAAATGATTTTTAAATGTTTTTTAAAAGACACATCTGACATTTTTAACAACTTAGTAAAAGTTGAAATGACCATTCTGTGTAGTCATAAAAGAAACACAATGAAGTGTATGGCCTCTGGAGTTAGTCTTAGTAAAACTTATTGCTCTGTGTCAATGTTAACCTGTCTCAGATCAAGTAATTCTTTCACTAGGTTGGGTTTGGGGAGGGGGGAAAAGAGGGGCTTTTCCTAGGAGAACGATAAGAAATGGAAAGACTCCTTGAAGTGTTGCAAGGGAACCTCCTAGCACTGTGAAAGTCAGAATCGCCTCAGCATTTCCATGACGCACATTATGCAAATCTCTTTAGCACTATTTTAAGTTTGAAAACTTTAACAATGAAGGGGAAGGGGAAGATTTCCACCAACTGAATCATTTGTGCACGTGTATAGCTCAAAGAGCTTAGACTTCAAATATATCTGGTGAATGACTCTTTGTCCATGTGGTTTAATTTCTGTGTTGTCGACCTGAGTTGAATATTCTTGAGGGGTAATTGTGGGGGACTGCATTTCAACCTAGAGTTTTTCTAAGAAGTCCCCAACGTATGGGGTTAACCCATATACCTAGGCTCTTCCTGAAAGTGGGGGAAGCTGGTTGGCAGCCCTCTCTTGGGGGAAGGGGAATTTGAGCAGGGCCTGGAGGGCAGGGTTGGCCTCTGATAAGAGGAACTGGGAGAGCTCCCTGTTTTATTGCCATGTTTCAACATCTTGGTCCTAAAAGCCATTTCAAGTGTACTAAAAACCTCTTTTAATGTCTTCCCACTCTATTCTCTTGTTAAAAGCACTATAAGAGACCTGAGTTAGCAAAAAAATTATTATTCAGGAGAAAAGCACTATCATAATCTAAATGATTAATACATTAAATGCCATTAAAATGAAGAGCTTCTGTTCATCAGATGGGTATTAGGAGAATGAAAAGGGACAGCATCAGACTGGAAAAGGATATTTGAGACACATGTAGTTGTAAAATAAATTATATCCAAAATGTAAAAAGAAAACCCTACAAATAAGGAAAACAGACAATCCATTTCTTTGATCATCAAAAAATTTCAAAGGCACTTCATACAGGCAATTCACATACACACAGACATACACAAAATACCCAGATGACCCATTAGCATTCAAAAGATGCTCAATTTTATTGCTTATCTGACAAAAGCAAATGATAATCTCAGAGCTACTACACAGATCTATCAGAATGACTAAAATTAAGTCTGGAGAAATAAAAAGTTCTGGTAAGGATATGAAGGAAGGGGAACTGTCATGCACCACTGGTGGAGTGTCAACTGGTGCTCACTTCACAGCACTGTTTGGTAATATCTGCTAAAGCTAACATGCCTCTGGGAGCAATTCACTCCAGGGCATGCACCTAGCAGATACAAGTGCACACATCTATCAAAATACTTGTACAATAATGTCCCTAGCAAAGTTGTTCATCATAGCCATTAACTGGATACAGCCCAAATGTCCTTCAACTATAGAATAAACTGTGCTATCCTCACACAAAGGAATGTCACAAAGCAATAAGACACATAAACTAGTGGTACATATATGAACATGAATAGATCGCAAAATCATATTTTGAGCAAAAAAGAAAAACTAGACATGAAAAAAATACATAGTATATGACTCCTTTTAGCAAGCTAAGAAAGTCAAAACTGGCCTATATAAATAGAAATAATAGTGGCTATTATGAAAACACTTAGGACTGTAAGGTCCCCCAACACCACCCCCAAACTAAAAAAAGTGCTAAGAGTCCAAAGAAGGACTCAGACCTAAGTCCAGCATGAGGAGTAGATGAGTTTATTAGGACTTACATACGGGGCACTCTGGGATGGCGGCAGGATAGCTCTGGAGATCTGCCCCACCTCCCATCCATAAACTGCTTTTAAGCTAATTTCCTGGCTCTTTGCCTACGTGTTTGAACAATGAGACTGTTTTTCTTGGTAGTTCCTCAGAAACTCTCTGGGAGGTTTGGCTTCTCAGGGACACCTGCTCCTCAGCTCGGCACCAGGGTCTTGGCTCACTGTCCGGCCCTCAGAGTTCAGGCAACAGACTTATACCCTTCGGTAACCTGTTGGGGGACCTGTCACAGTACAGTGGCTACCTTTTGAATGGTACTGCCTGAGAGGAACCCTCTCATGTGGAAGCCTTCCAATGTGCCATCAATATTCTACATCTCGATCCTGATCTCCATATGGATGTATACCCATGTAAAATTCAGTTAAAATGTGTGCCATATACTACAGTAAGTTATACCTCAACTAAAACAAAAGCTGTTCTCCCTGAGGACAGAGAAGAAGGAGCCATTAGTTGTGATGGGGGTTTAGAATGTCCTCATACTAAAAACGTACGTCTCCCATCTCATGTCTGTGAGATATTTCCATATTTTCAAAGCCTTCATTTAAAAATCTATAAATAAGTGTTCCTTTTTAAATGAGAGAGCACAGGACTTAGGCTCTGGGTGAAACACTGTTCATTCAAGTAACAAACTGTGTGCCTGACACTGGGTTTTCAGTGGTGAACAAGGTAGCTTTTGTCCCTGCCATTTCAGGGAGTGGAGTCTAGCATGGAAAAGAGATAAGAAATAAACAAGCAAATAATGGCCACAAATTCTCATAGGTAAGTACAGTGAAGAAAACCAAAAGTACTCTATGAGAATAGAGAATAAAAGTGGAGGATCATAGTCAGGGAAGGCCTCTCTAAAGAGGTAACATTTAAGCCGACCTGGAGGCACTGGCCATGGAAATGCTGCGAGAAAAGCATTCCAGGCAGCAGGGCTGAAGGCTGTGACTCTGGAAAGGCCTTGTCTTGTCGTGTTGGAGGAGCCTGAAGGATTTTGTTGGTATGGCTGAGGCACAGGGAGTGAGGGTGAGCACAGTTTAGGATGAGGTTGGAAGGCAGGTGGCGGAGGAAGGCAGGCTCAGTAGAACCTATTATTAATAGGCCAGGCTAGGGGGTTTGAGTTCATTTTAAGGGTTTCAAAAAGGGAATTATATGACCCAATTCATTGGTAAATCCTAACACAAACAAGAAGTTTCCTAATACAAAGCTACAGCCCAAAATGTCCAGATCCTCTGTAGCACTGGGGCTTGACGGGTCTTGCCCACATTAGGCTTGAAGATAGCTTTTGATAGCCTCGTGCTCCTCACTGCAATCCTATCTATTAACACCAGAAGAATTCTCAATATCCAACATCAATATGCAGTGTCTTGTGGTTCTAAAGTTTTTTTTTACTTCCCCTCCCCACGTCATTTAGAAAGCCTCAATGCAGAAAAAGGGGAACAGAGCAGGTGATAAAGGATGATAAGTCAGTCAGTGATTCAGGGAAACATTCATTTAGCTGCTGGTACAGAGTGTCCCTGCCAGAAGCCACCACGCTGAGCGTCATTGAACATTTGGCAGCCTTTCCCCTTAAATTTATGCAATCTGAGAAAGGGAAAATTTCAAGCAAAAAGTTTTCTGTCAAGCTCATTCATCTGCACCTTTCAAAGAAAGTCTGGGCAAATGTTTTTGGAGTTGATTCATGAGCTTTTTATGTCTCTAAAAGGAAGCCATATTTAAGGTTAGTCGTGTGTATGTGTACGCAAGCACATTTGGTACAGGTTGGAAATAGGAAATCCAAAATAGGCAGAAATGGATGAAACACTTTGTGCTAAAAAATTCATCCACAATACCTCCTTGGTGCTTTTGTGTTATTTTCCATTCTCAACCAATAATTGAGTTAGAAAACTTTTAGGGTTGGACAGGACTATGGGGCCTCCTTGACTAGTTGCTATCATTAGGAAAATCATTACTGTTCCCCAAACAATCTTTGGATTTGCCAGTAGGGTATTTTATTCTTAAAACAAGATTTATAGTTTCCGTACAAAGCTGCCAAGTTCAACACCTTGATAATCCATCTGATGTGCTGTTGTGGATGCTGTAGTCCCAGTTCCCCACTTCAGAGTCCCAGCTCCCCACTTCAGAGTCCCAGCTCCCCACTTCAGAGTGGAAACACTCATGCCCCCAGATGTTAGGAAGGTTGGTGGGTCATGACTCGCTGCTGAGTGGCCAGGCATTGCACTCAGCTGGAGAGATGCTCCCCACCCAAGGTCTCACCCTCCTCAGGGACAGCCTGCATCCAGTGACTAGTCAAGGAAGGCCTTCCCTTGGGCCACTCCAGCTCCAGAGCTATCCCTGTGGGATAGGCTGAGGCCCGGTATTTCAGTTCAACTCTGCCTTTATCCCCAACAGGTAAGGACTCTAAAGTCTCCCTAGTAAACCTCCTGCATGTACATCTCCCTCTCAGAGTCTAAGTCCTAGAAAAACTAACCTGACACTTACATCATCCTCAATAGCTTCTTCCATCACTTTGAGCGCCCCGGAATTGTACAACTCTTTTCCATCAATCGCTGCTGTTTCATTCTTAAGATGGATTGGTTATGCTAGGGGTTAGCATATTTTCCAAAAGCAGTGCAGCAAAGTTCTTCATGCTTTCTTTGTGCTGTCCTGCTGAGTTCAGGTCAGGGGTAGGTAGGGTAGACGTGCAGGTGACTTGGCACAAAGTTCCTCAGTGGAGAAAGGAGGGCTTCTCTCAACCATCCCTGTGGAGTGAGGAGGACAATGGATGCCTGTTCAGCTGTTGTCAGGAGCCTTCATGAAAAACACGGGTCTATAACAGGGAGGGTAGAACCCAAATTCTGGCCCATGTGCCACCCTCAGGCCACCTCAAAAGATGTCACCACCTCCCTGTCAACCTTGTATATGAGAAAGGGATGAAGATTGTGCAAGCGACTTTAGACAAGTTACTATAGTCCCTACAACTCAGTTTCCTCTCCTGTAAAATGGGCATAAAAATCCACTTTTGTCATGAGGACTTAATAAGATAATAACAGTAACAATTATTATTGGAGGGCCGGTTAATAACTACATTCACAAGTTTTGCTGCCACAAGACCTAGGTTTAAACCCCAGCTCTGCTGCTTGGTAAACTTGTGGTCTTGGACAGTTTTTTTAAACCTAAGTTTTGGTTTCCACATTTATCAAAAGTAAAGGATGATAGTATCTGTCTCAGAGAGTTAGGAGGGATTGAATGAGAAAGAGTATCAAGTGCTGGGTACATAGGAAGTCCTCACCCAGAGCTCTTTATGCATCAGGCCCCACACAGAGCACCTGGCATTTGTACCCTCAGTCTTCATGATGGCACCTTCACTGTTTCCATTCTTCAGAAAGAATAGTCAGCATTTTTTGAGTGCTTACACCGTGTCAAGAGCTCTTAAAAGTTCTTTACATTCTTTTTTTTTTTTTTTTTTTTGAGACGGACTTTTGTTCTTGTTGCCCAGGCTGGAGTGCAATGGTGTGATCTCAGCTCACCGCAACCTCCGCCTCCCAGGTTCAAGAGATTTTCCTGCCTCAGCCTCCCCAAGTAGCTGGGATTACAGGCATGTGCCACCATGCCCAGCTAATTTTATATTTTTTAGAAGAAATGGGGTTTCACCATGTTGGTCAGGCTGCTCTTGAACTCCCAACTTCAGGTGATCCGCCCTCCTCGGCCTCCGGAACTGCTGCGATTACAGGCTTGAGCCACTGCACCTGGCCAAGTTCTTTACATTCTTATTTAATTCTCTCTATGCTCTTATGATGAAGGCACTGATACCCACATTTTACATGTAAGGCAACTAAAGCCCAGAAAAGCTAAGTCCTTGGTACTCAAAGCATGTTCTACGCACTGCAGCATCTGCATCTGCATCCCGGGAGTATCTGCATCCCCCGTGGAGCTGGTTAGAGACGCAGAGTCTCAAGCGCCACCCCTGGCCTACTGAAACAGAATCTGCCTTTTAACAAGATCCTCCCTTGATTCCCAGTACTTTAAAGTTTAAGAAGCACTCAAGATCAACCGCCTAATATATCCCCAGCAGGGCTATGATTGCAGAGCACATACTTTTAACTGCCTCTGTGTATGAAATGCCCATCAAAAAAAAGTGCTCAAAGCATATAATTTTCCTTCCCCCAGCAATTCATTTGACTGAGCTTCCTCCTCTGTTCCTGTCCACAGTCCATTCTTACCCACTGTGCTGGCCTTGCTGTTTTCGATAGAATCTCCAGGTATTGCTGCTATGCTCCAGGTTCTGATAAACTTCCGCCCAGGGTCATTCCAAATATCTCTATTAAAAGTGCTTCTGAATAAGCTACAATGTGATTTCCAGAAAGGCAATTATTCCAGGAGTACACCAGTGTTCTGAGAATAGCCACTCCTAGCTTTACTGGGAGTAACAGGATGGTCTCAGACAGGCATTAGTGCCAGAAGCTGCCATGTGGATAATCTTTCCCTGAGAATGAAGGCAATCAGGAGAAAAGAAGAGCTGAAATGCTGAAAGAGAAGAAGAGGGATGGGAAGTGAGTTTAATGTTATTATTTGAGTGCCTAGACCAAACTATACCTGATACTCATATCCCCTGGACTTTTCAGATGCCTGAAGCAACAGATTTTCCTCTTCCTCAAACAAGCTTAAGTGGGGTTTCTTCACTCTCCACTGAGTGGCTGACTGAAAAATAAAGAAAACATAATATTTCTGTGGGATCGGTGGTGATATCCCCTTTATCATTTTTTATTGTGTCTATTTGATTCTTCTCTCTTTTTTTCTTTATTAGTCTTGCTAGCGGTCTATCAATTTTGTTGATCCTTTCAAAAAACCAGCTCCTGGATTCATGAATTTTTTGAAGCATTTTTTTGTGTCTCTATTTCCTTCAGATCTGCTCTGATTTTAGTTATTTCTTGCCTTCTGCTAGCTTTTGAATGTGTTTGCTCTTGCTTTTCTAGTTCTTTTAATTGTGATGTTAGGGTGTCAATTTTGGATCTTTCCTGCTTTCTCTTGTGGGCATTTAGTGGTATAAATTTCCCTCTACACACTGCTTTGAATGCGTCCCAGAGATTCTGGTATGTTGTGTCTTTGTTCTCGTTGGTTTCAAAGAACATCTTTATTTCTGCCTTCATTTCGTTATGTACCCAGTAGTCATTCAGGAGCAGGTTGTTCAGTTTCCATGTAGTTGAGCGGTTTTGAGTGAGATTCTTAATCCTGAGTTCTAGTTTGATTGCACTGTGGTCTGAGAGATAGTTTGTTATAATTTCTGTTCTTTTACATTTGCTGAGGAGAGCTTTACTTCCAACTATGTGGTCAATTTTGGAATAGGTGTGGTGTGGTGCTGAAAAAAATGTATATTCTGTTGATTTGGGGTGGAGAGTTCTGTAGATGTCTATTAGGTCTGCTTGGTGCAGAGCTGAGTTCAATTCCTGGGTATCCTTGTTGACTTTCTGTCTCGTTGATCTGTCTAATGTTGACAGTGGGGTGTTAAAGTCTCCCATTATTAATGTGTGGGAGTCTAAGTCTCTTTGTAGGTCACTCAGGACTTGCTTTATGAATCTGGGTGCTCCTGTATTGGGTGCATATATATTTAGGATAGTTAGCTCTTCTTGGTGAATTGATCCCTTTACCATTATGTAATGGCCTACAAAGCTGGAGGCATCACACTACCTGACTTCAAACTATACTACAAGGCTACAGTAACCAAAACAGCATGGTACTGGTACCAAAACAGAGATATACATCAATGGAACAGAACAGAGCCCTCAGAAATAATGCCGCATATCTACAACTGTCTGATCTTTGACAAACCTGAGAAAAACAAGCAATGGGGAAAGGTTTCCCTATTTCATAAATGGTGCTGGGAAAACTGGCTAGCCATATGTAGAAAGCTGAAACTGGATCCCTTCCTTACACCTTATACAAAAATCAATTCAAGATGGATTAAAGACTTAAACGTTAGACCTAAAACCATAAAAACTCTAGAAGAAAACCTAGGCATCACCATTCAGGACATAGGCATGGGCAAGGACTTCATGTCCAAAACACCAAAAGCAATGGCAACAAAAGCCAAAATTGACAAATGGGATCTAATTAAACTAAAGAGCTTCTGCACAGCAAAAGAAACTACCATCAGAGTGAACAGGCAACCTACAAAATGGGAGAAAATTTTCGCAACCTACTCATCTGACAAAGGGCTAATATCCAGAATCTACAATGAACTCAAACAAATTTACAAGAATAAAACAAACAACCCCATCAAAAAGTGGGCGAAGGACATGAACAGACACTTCTCAAAAGAAGACATTTATGCAACCAAAAAACACATGAAAAAATGCTCACCATCACTGGCCATCAGAGAAATGCAAATCAAAACCACAATGAGATACCATCTCACACCAGTTAGAATGGCAATCATTAAAAAGTCAGGAAACAACAGGTGCTGGAGAGGATGTGGAGAAATAGGAACACTTTTACACTGTTGGTGGGACTGTAAACTAGTTCAACCATTGCGGAATTCAGTGTGGCGATTCCTCAGGGATCTAGAACTAGAAATACCATTTGACCCAGCCATCCCATTACTGGGTATATACCCAAAGGACTATAAATCTTGCTGCTATAAAGACACATGCACATGTATGTTTATTGCGGCACTATTCACAATAGCAAAGACTTGGAACCAACCCAAATGTCCAACAATGATAGACTGGATTAAGAAAATGTGGCACATATACACCATGGAATACTATGTAGCCATAAAAAATGATGAGTTCATGTCCTTTGTAGGGACATGGATGAAATTGGAAATCATCATTCTCAGTAAACTCTCGCAAGAACAAAAAACCAAACACCGCATATTCTCACTCATAGGTGGGAATTGAACAATGAGATCACATGGACATAGGAAGGGGAACATCACACTCTGGGGACTGTGGTGGGGTGGGGGGAGGGGGGAGGGATAGCATTTGGAGATATACCTAATGCTAGATGACGAGTTAGTGGGTGTAGCGCACCAGCATGGTACATGTATACATATGTAACTAACTTGCACAATGTGCACATGTACCCTAAAACTTGAAGTATAATAAAAAAAAAAGAATAATTTGGGCTTTTAATAAGACAGTGGAATCCACTGGAATGGAAAAAAAAAAGAAAACATAATAGATACATATGTAAAGTCCTGTATTTATTTATTTATTTATTTATTTATTTATTTATTTATTTATTTATTTATTTACTGAGACAGGGCCTCACTCTGTCACCCAGGGTGGAGTCCAGTGGTGTGATCACAGCTCACTGAAGCCTCAACCTCCTAGGTTCAAGGGATTCTCCCACCTCAGCCCCTCCAAGGTAGCTGGCACTACAGGTGTGCACCACCACACCGGGCTAATTTTTTGTATTTTATTTGTAAAGATGGGGTCTTACTATGTTGCCCAGGCTAGACAACTCCTAGGCTCAAGTGATCCTCCTGCCTCAGCCTCTGAAAATGCTGGGATTACAGGTATGAGCCACCATGCCCAGTCACTGTTTGTTTTAAAAATGTAAATGCACAGGGAGAAAGAGAAGAGTTTGGAGAAGAGATAATAGAAGTTTGAGAGCCTTAGTTAATCAGCAACGCAGTATGTGTAAATACGGGGGAAGGGCAAAATCTGCTGTCTATGAGTTTCTGTTTAAAATGGTAGATGAAGGACATATATTTATTGCCCATCCAATCCCCAGAAATCTCCTGGAAATTACACAGAAGGTCATCAAAGGAAATATATATAATAGCCCTGCAACCCAATAAAGCATATCAACAGCTGTCTAGAAAATCTAAGTCACTTCTGGAATGCAGAAAGAAGTCTAACAGAGAAGCTAGAAATGACACAGCCTCAACAGATGACATGGAGAGATGAAGGCTACAGTGGATATGGGAGGATTCTTTCCAGCTGCGTCTAAGAGGCAATTCAAGCTTAGAGTCAATAAATATAAAAAGAAGTGGCAGGAAGTTAAAGATATGCATTAGAAAGAGTTGGAGCCAATTGAGCCCATCATCATCACTATTGCTGGCCCTATTTGCAGAATTGCCCCAAGGCCAAATTCCTAGGACTTGTCTTACCTGGTAAGGACTCCTAATGGGATTTGGGGAGCCCATCAGAGCCTCCGTAATCATACCTGACCTCCACTGAACACATGAATGAGAAAAAAAGTTTACTTCCTAGTTATGATGGAGCATATTTCCCAGTATCTTCACTGAAGAAGTGGAGCATGGAAGGTAAGTTTTACAAGATCTTGCATGTTTGAAAATGTCTTTATTGCACCTTCACACTCACATAATAGTTGGTTTGTGGAAATTTATTCAGGGTTTTGATGGCATCACTCCATTGCTTTCCAGCTTCTAGAAGGCCTATGTCATTCTAAATTCTGACCCTTTTACGTAAACTGTATTTTCTCCTGGAAGCTTTTAGGGCTGCTTTGTCTCAACTGCTCTGAGTTTCATGTATTTGATTTCTTATAAGTCCTTTCAACCTAGAAATTCATATCCTTCCATTGTGGACATTTTTCTTGAAGAGAGTGTATTAGTTCATTCGCGTGCTGCAAACAAAGACATACCCAACTGGGTAATTTATGAAGGAAAGAGGTTTAATGGACTCACCATTCAACATGGCTGGGAAGGCCCCACAATCATGGTGAAAGCCAAAGGAGAAGCAAAGGCACGTCTTACACAGCGGAACGCAAAAGAGAACTTGTGCAGGGAAACTCCCATTTATAAAACCATCAGATCTTTTGAGACTTATGTGCTACCATGAGAACAGTATGGGAGAAACCACCCCTATGATTCAATTATCTCCACTTCGCCCTGCCCTTCCCATGTGCTGTTTATTATGACTCAAGATGATATTTAGGTAGGGACACAGGAAACCATACCAAACAGCTTATTTGAAACTTTCCTCCCCTATATCTATCTCACTGTTCCCTCCTATTATTCGAAGGATATCTACTAGTTGGACCTTAAGTCTTCCAAAATTGTTCTCAAATTCCTGTTTTCTTTCTCTACAATTTTCTATCTCTTTGACTTTTTGGCTCTATTTTTCTGGGAAATTTCTGAAACATTATCTTTCAACACTTTTATTTATTTTTCTTTCTGTTGACATGTATTTAATTTCTGAGAGGATTTTTTTATTCCTGAATGTTTCTTTTCTATTACCTCCTGCTTTTTCTTTTTTTCTTTCTTTCTTTTTTGAGACAGGGTCTCACTCTTTCACCCAGCCTGGAGTCCAGTGGCATGATCACGGCTTACTGCAACCTCAACCTTCCCAGGCTCAGGTTATACTTCTGTCTCAGCCTCCCAAGTACCTGGGACTACAAGCATATGCCAACATCGTTGGCTAATTTTTGTATTTTTTGCAGAGATGGGGTTTCTCCATGTTGTCCAGGCTGGTCTCGAACTCCTATGTTCAAGTGATCTTCCTGTCTTGGCCTCCCAGAATGCTGGGATTACAGGCATGAGCCACTGTGCCTGGCACCACCTGCTCTTGTTTTATGAATACAATATCTTCTTTTATCACTCTGAAGATAATATTTTTGTTCATTTTTGTTCTTATTTCCTTTGCATTCTTTTTTCCTATTTCCTTTTTTCTTTCTTTATTTGTTTCTTTCTTCCTTTCTCATTCTTTCTCTTTCTCAGCTCTACCTCTCTCTTCCTGTTTGAACAGTGGTTCTTAATATGAAGAGATTTTAGTTCTGAGGGCAATGTCTGGAGATGTATTTTGTTGTCTGTCACAACTGGGAATTTGCACTACTGGGATCCAGTACGTAGAGGCCAGGGATACTGCTAAATATCTTACAATGCACAGCACAACAAGGATTATCCAGCCCCAAATATTAGTAGCGTTGAGATTAGTAAAACCTTGTTTAGAGGCTTTTCTCAAATGTCTTAGTGTCCTTGATTCCTTGCTTATATTTTAGGGAAACACTGAAAAGTGTGATTGGATTGATTGTGTGATTATGAGTGGAGCTTGTTGACTGAATTTCATGGTGGGTTGATCTGGATATGCAGTTTCACTGTGGGACTTCTAACTCTATGTTTATAGCTTTTCTCTTTGGCTAATCAGTTTATTCAGAGAAGAGGCATTCAATCTCCTGCCTGGAGAGTTTAAGTCTAGTGGCCAATATTCTAGGAGCTTACAGAAAAGGGAGCCACCCAGTACGTAGAGTGTCTTCAGTACAGTCTCATACCCACCTCAGCTGTAGCTGGCATCCCTGGTACCCAATTCTTCCTAGTTTGGTATCTCCAGGGAATCTGGCCTCTAGTCATCTTCTCAGGTGGAAAGGGGATGGGAGAGTGATCTAGGATTCTAGTTGCCTTTTATTCTCTATGTCAAACAATCTATTTTTAGTCCTACCTTCACCCCACTTTCAGAGTTACCTGGCACCTAAAATTACTGAGCTTCTTTCCTTTGCATCATCCCCCTGGGTTGCCTCCTGAGGAGGCTGATGCAAAGAAACCTGGTTAGATTTCAGCTGTCTCTAATCTGTGAAGTAAGCAACAAACTTTCTTCAGCGTTCTAGCTTCCAAAATGTTGTTGCAATTCTTCCTGTCCTTGTGGGCTTATAACATTCTTCCTTTTTCTAACAAGGTTTTGAAGGGAGTAAAAATAAACTATGAGTTTAATTGACCATGTGCAGCCAGAAATCTGAATGACTTTCTTTCATAGTCATTTTCTTCACTAGAAATATCATTGATTATCCCCTAGACTGCCTGAGGACTCAGAGTCCTCTTGAAAGAAACATTCTACTTCATACTCATTCATACCCTCTCATCTCAATGTATGAAAATTGAATTCATACAATTCCTGAAAAGAGACTTGCAGTTCTTCTCTCAATGGGATGTGTCACAATAAGAAATGTGTCAGAGATGAGACAAGCAAATGTAGCCAGAGATGAGACAAGCAAATGTAGATGTTATATCTCTATCAGTTTCCCATAAATGGTAACAGTGCTGGGAGAAAGTTTTCTAACAGCCTATACTTTTCTCAAGGCCTTACAGGTGACATCCTTTAGAACAGTAATCTACCCTGGCCTACAGAAGTACGTTATCTATTTTGTTGTTTTGTTACAACTCATAATCCCTAGATAGCTCTCATTCAGGCCTTTGGCTAGACCACGGCTATCTACTGGTAGTGCCAAGGCAACATGTTGAAAAGATAACATCAAGGAAAAGAAACCAGAGAAAAGTTAGCATCTAGCTCTGTTCACTTAAGGAATATCAACTAATATTTCTATTAACTATTTTGTTCCCTGTGTTGTCCTTTACATGAATTTTTCCTCAGTTAAACCTCAAGACCATCTCATAAAGTTGATTCTTATTAGTATTTCTTCATTTTTAAGATGAGGAAGCCTAGATGAGCAAAAGTTAAATAAATAGCTTAAAGCTTCAATGTCAGGTAGTCTGAGTCCAGAGCCTACAGTTTTCAACACTGCACTGCACCCCACATTTGGACAAGAAGAAAGGGTAGAGTGGCCATAGCTACAGCCAGCCTGTACATTGTCATCGTGCCTCAGGGTTTATAAAATTCTGTCACCCATGTTGTAGTATTTGAACTCATTTAACACCACAGGAAGCTAGCTAATGTCAAGAGTGAAGTACCCTACACCAGAGAGCTTGGCAGAAATAAAACAAAGAGTGAAATCTCCGGGAGGCTGAAAAGAGTGCTTAGGCATTGCTGTTCACTCCTGTCCTTGTATGAGCCTTAGCCCTGCTGTGTCTGTTACCAGCACAGTGATTTCCACCATAGCACACAGTCTCAGTCTCGGTTTGTGTGGAACATTGTTTCTGTTCCTGGAACAGTGGGCAGATCTTGCCAGGAGTGGCGTGCTCAGGTAAGTTGAGTTGAGATCCTTGCTGGCTCTCCTTGCCATGCTTTGTTTCTGAAATTGTACAGTGGATGGCAGCATTGGGATCCTTGATTCATAGATCCACAGGCAGAAAGAAACATGAGAAATACTAGAGCTCAGTGTCCTATGCTCAGACAGGGCTGTATCAGACCTATTCAGGCCCAGAGATAGCTAACCTACCAGTCATAAATACTGGAGGAAAATCTTAACAAAATAACTGAGGTGTAAAAATGCAGATGTGTAAAATGTGGGTCACTTTTTTTTTTGGAGACACGGTCTCACTCTGTTACCCAGGCTGGAGTGCAGAGGCTCACTGCAGCCTCAATCTCCTGGGCTCAGGTGATCCTCCCACCTCAGCCTCCCAAGTAGCTGGGACCACAGGTGCATGCCACTGTGCCTGGCTAATTTTTGTATTTTTTGTACAGAGGGTTTCACCATATTGCCCAGGCTGGTCTTGAACTCCTGGGCTCAAGCGATGTGCCTACCTCAGCCTCCCATAGTGCTAGGATCAAGATTAAGGAGTGACTGGGCAAGTCCAAGCAGCTAGCCAGCCTTGGGTTCTGCAGGTATGGCTGTGATTTTATGCCATTGGTTCTGGTGGTCGTCTTCTACAGGTTAAATATCAATAGGGACAATTCTGGGTCCTATGGCTGTCTAAGGACAACAGCAAAGATTCAAGGAATCTCTGGTGGTTGTCAGCCCAATTCAGGAAGATCAGGTCAGGGGGATTCTAAGAACATGGAAACCCCCCATCCCCTTCTCTGCTTCTGGGGACAGGTTGTCTGTCATTACCCACTGGGCCTTTCCTTCCCTGCCCTTTTTTCCTCTCTCTTTCCTGTACCCTTGAAGATAAAAATTGGAGTCTGCTTTTTAAGATAAAAGTTGGAGGACTTTTCCAACCCTGACAGACTGGTAGGACAGAAACAACTGGTTCAGGAGCCCTTGCCAGCCTCTAGAGAAATCCCAGAACACACAGCCCTGGCACATTAATACCCTGCACAGATCAGAGACTGCTGGCCACGCAGACTCACAAAGCCACAGACTTGTCTTCCACAAGCACATTCTTACCTCAGCCACGAAGTGACCAAGCCATGTGTACTAAGGGGTGAAATCAAAGATATGTACAGGGTATTAAACAAATACCAAGGGCAACAGTTATCTGGAATACAAAGTCAAAATCAGCAACAAGTTCTATGCTCCAGTGCTGATATCAGATACAAGCTTCAAGGACAGTTTCTTTTCAAAGGCTTATTCCAGTATCGTGAGGCTAGCATGAGGTATATGCATTTGCCAGGGGCAAATTTATACTTCTGAATTAACCCATGCAGCAAATGCTATGCATCTGCTCGCAGTCCATTTGCGGTGGATGATGGAGGGGCCCGACTCGTTGTACTCCTGCTTGCTAATCCACATCTGCTGGAAGGTGGACAGTGAGGCCAGGATGGAGCCACCGATCCACACAAAGTACTTGCACTCTGGGGGCACGATATCTTGATCTTCATGGTGCTGGATGCCAGGGCAGTGATCTCCTTCTGCATCCTATTGGGGATGCCAGGGTACATGGTGGTGACGCCAGACAGCACTGTGTTGGCGTACAGGTCTTTGGGGATGTCCATATCACACTTCATGATGGAGTTGAAGGTACTTTCATGGATGCCACAGGATTCCATGCCCAGGAAGGAAGGCTGGAACAGTGCCTCGGACACCGGAACCGCTCATTGCTAATAATGATGGCCTGGCTGTCAGGCAGCTCGTAGCTCTTCTCCAGGGAGGAGGAGGATGCAGCAGTGGCCATCTCCTACTCGAAGTCCAGAGCGACATAGCATAGCTTCTCCTTGATGTTGCGCACGATTTTCCACTTGGCCATGGTGTTGAAGCTATAGCTGCGCTAGGTAGGGATCTTCATGAGGTAGTCAGTAAGGTCCTGGCCAGCCAGGTCCAGATGCAAGATGGTGTGAGGGAGGGTGTGGCGCTCGTAGATGGGCACTGTGTGGGTGACCCCATCTCCAGAGTCCATGACAATGCCAGTGGTGCAACCAGAGCTGTGGAGGGTCAGCACGGCCTGAATGGCCACGTACATGGCCTGGGTGTTGAAGGTCTTAAACATGATCTGAGTCATCTTCTCCCTATTGGCCCTGGGGTTTAGCGGGGCCTCGGTCAGCAGCACCACCTGCTCCTCCAGGGCCACGCACAGCTCGTTGTAGAAAACATGGTGCCAGATCTTCTCCATGTCGTCCCAGTTTGTGACGATGCCATGCTTGATGGGGTACTTCAGGGTCAGGATGCCGCACTTGCTCTGGGCCTGGTCGCCCACGTAGGAGTCCTTCTGGCCCATGCCCACCATCACGCCCTGGTGCCGGGGGTGCCCGATGATGGAGGGGAATATGGCTCGGAGGGCATTGTCCCAGCAAAGCTGCTTTTCACATGCCGGAGCCATTGTCAATGAAGAGCGCGGGGATCTCTTCTTCCATTGCCACTGGCAGAGGAGCACGCAGCAGCGGGAGGACATGGTGCACGTGCTGGTGGTGACGACTGAGCATCTTTATAAATCTTATCATAAAACTGAAAAATATTTTATACAACACTACATAAAAACTTTCTACCTCTTATGGAAAAAAAAAATGCCTCATTACCTGATCTGTTCTCAGCGATTTCCTCCATCTCAGAGCATCAGAGAGAAGAGACCATCGTTCATTCATTCAACAAACATTTATTGAGGGTCTACTATGTGCCTGTGCCAGGCACTGTAACAGGCCTTGGAAAGATAAGACAGCTCAGTGAAAAACACAGCCCAAGTCCCTGCCCTTACTGAGCTTACATTTTATAGGCATTTAGTGGTTAGGAAATACTACAGACTGAATTATATCCACCTCCAACCCCAAATTCATATGTTGAAGCCATAACCCCCAATGGGACTATATGTGGAGACAGGGCCTTTTGGTAGGTAATTAATGCTAAATGGGGTCATAAGGGTGGGGCCTTAACCCAGTAGAACTGGTGTCCTTATAAGAAGAGGAAGAGGCTGGGTGCTGGTGGCTCACACCTGTAATCCCAGCACTTTGGGAGGCTGAGGTGGACAGATCGCAATGTCAGGAGATCAAGACCATCCTGGCTAACACGGTGAAACGCTGTCTCTACTAAAAATACAAAAAATTTACCAGACATGGTCGTGGGCACCTGTAGTCCCAGCTACTAGGGAGGCAGAGGCAGGAGAATGGTGTGAACCCAGGAGGCAGAGGTTGTAGTGAGCTGAGATCACGCCACTGCACTCCAGCCTGGGTGACACAGCGAGACTCCTTCTCAAAAAAAAAAAAAAAAGAAGAAGAAGAAGAAGAAAAGAGATGCCAGAGACTGCTCTCTTTCCACATACACAGAGAGAAAAGGCTGTGTGAGGAAACAGCTAGGAAGCAGCCTCTGGAAAGCCAGGAAGACAGGCTTCACTGGAGCCTCACCCTGAAGGCACCTTGATCTTGGACTTCTCACCTCCAGAACTGCAAGAAAGTAAATTTTTGTCTTGCATAATACCTAGACTGTGGTATTTTATTATGAAAGCCTGAGTAGATTAATGTAAAAAGTGTCAATGGCTACTGTAAAATAGAAGAGGAGAAAGGAAAGAAAGGAAATTGCTCACAGAACAGGAACACTGAATGATTGTAATCACTATTTTGAATTTTTTAAAAGTTATTTTACAAGATCCCTTATTCTTTATGGATTCCAGTAGAGGAAAATCTACAACTTCCCATGATACACCCCTTGATTCCCTGGCTTCCTCAGCACCATCTACAGCCTTTTGCTTCATGGTTATGTCTAATGTTTATCTGCCTCCCGAGGCTCATATACCACTCCCATAAGATGTGCTGGCCTCATTCAGACACCAGCTGTTGCTGCTCAGAGGCTGCTCTAAATATAACTGCATTCCTCTCAGGGTTTTCTCTTTTCTCCAGTGAATCAAATGCTTTGATTCTCAGTTCTGGTTTTAATTGACCAACCAGGTAATTTATTTCCAAATATAAGCAATCTCCCTTCTGTATTTCAGAATCATAAAAGATAGTCTGCTCTCCTTTGACTTTTGAATTAGGTAAGCATATACCCCAGCTAATGGCCACATGGGCCTATCCCCTGATCCCTCAACTAAACTCTGGGTGTTTGTATGTGTTATCTATTGCCATTTAATAAATTACCATAGTATAATGGTTTCAACAACACACATTTATTATCTCCACATCTGTGGGTCAGGAATCCAACTGAGCTGGGCCCCCTACTTCAGGGTCTTTCACAAGGATACAATCATATTGGTGACCAGGGCTAGGGTCTCATCTGAAAGCTTGGCTGGGGAAGGATCCACTTCCAAGCTCACTCAGGTTGTTGGCAGAATTCTGTTCCTCAAAGGCTGCTGGACTGAGGGCCTCAGTTCTTTGCTAGCTGTCAGCCAACAGCCACCCTAAGATCCTTGCCACATGAACCTCTTCTTGCTACATGGGGCTCTTGAACATGGCTATTTCCTTCACCAAAGCATGAAAGCCAAGAAGACAAATAGAGAAAATCTGCTAATGAGACAGAGGTTACATGCTTGTAACATAATTATGGAAATGATAGCTCATCACCTTTGTTGTTATCCTATTAATCAGAAGCAAGTCACAAGTCCAGACCACTCAAGGAAGAGTAGGTTCATATGCAAGGAGGCAGACATAATCAGGGATATCAGGAGGCAGGCATAATCGGGGCTGTCTCAGAAACTTCCTCCCACAGTATTGGTGAGCAGAAAAGAAGCCACTTGTATCCATTACTCATCCCTACATCTCTTCTGCTTACTTTCTTATTTCTTAAGAAAAGGAAGTTTTAGGAAGGTGATACTGGTTTGGCTGTGATCATCAATCTCCTAGACAACATAGGTCAATTCTATGAAATTTCTCCTGCACTCCAGACACCTCTTAACATGAGCCACTTCGATGACCAATAGGTACCCTCTATTAAACCCACCTGACATGGGATGTACATAATGTCTGCCAAAAACTACCCTTCCTTTCTCAGGGAATGAGCCATACTATCAGAATTTCTCAAGCCAGAAACCAAGTTACCCGACTCCTTCCTCTCCATCACTCTGCCTTTATGGAGTAAAATATTAAGCATGTATTTCAAAAAAAGTATAAATTATGTGGAAGGGAATCTATGAATAAGGGTAGCTATTTGGTCATTATGGAGATAGGGTAACGCAACAAGGGAATTTCCATGTGATTTGGGTAAATTAATTGGCATCTCTAAGATATAGTTTTCTCAACTAAGAATGGAGGGATAATAATAGTAGGCATAAATCAAGGAATTGTTGTGAGGATCAGAGGAAATTACATCTGTGAAACGCTTGTATATCTTACATCCCACAAGCCCTCTATATATGTTAGCTACTATATCAGCTGTTAGAGAACCACATTATGGCTGTCATCGTTTGCTCACTAACTCAATAGTGTCTTCTCTCTTACATTGTCCACTTCAGAGACTAAGAAGCTAATTACTCATTTTCCCAGCCTCTCTTGTAGCTGGGGCTTCCCAGGGGACAGAGTTCTCGAAAAGCTTTTGTTTTTCTGATGAGAACATCTTTCTTCCTTGAACAAAGATTCAGTGTCTGCTGTGTCAGCAACCATCTGTGTCCATGAGGTAGCAAGCATTTAGTTGAACGTGAGTACACTAAGGATGGTGGAGTGGAATCCCTGAGGATTCTGTCAAACAGCAGAACCAATGCCAGCATTCAGTTACCTGAAGGCTCCTTGTTACCTAAGAACATGAAACCTCTCCATGTTTAAGCTACTGTTGATCAGGAATTCTGTTATTTGCAGCTGAAAGCACTCCTAACAGATATATTTGTCAGTAGCCTAGAAGTCAAATATCTGAAATTTTAAGTCCATAAATTTTGGCCAAGATCATAACCTCTGTCAACTCAAGGTTTGAAATCCTGTCTCTTTACACACTGGATAACTTTTTATATAGTGTAAATTCAGAAAAATTATGTGGCCTCTCTAATGTTCTCTGTTCTTCTTGCTAATGTACTATGTTTACCTAAAAAGTGCATCCCTAACAGTGAAAGCAGCCCCAGATATTCCAGGCTCCAATATTATGTCAAAGAAGTAGTAAGAAGAAGAAAGGTAGCAATACTAAAAAGAGGCATAACTTCAGAAAGAGACAACAAACAAAAGAGGAAGGAGAGAAATATAGAGATATAACCATGTAGAACATCAGCCCTTGGTGTCCAAAGTTTTATTTGGTATTTTTATTTTTAGAGATGGGGTCTCATGCTGTTGCCCAAGCTGGAGTGGAGTGGCGTGATCATAGCTTACTGCAGTGTTAAACTCCTCGGCTCAAATGATTCTCCAACCTCCTAAGTAGCTGAAATTATAGCACAAGCCACTGCACTAACTAGTTTTTTTGCTTGTTTGTTTGTTTTTAATAGAGTTGGGGTCTTACCATGTTGCTCAGGCTGACTTCAAGCTCCTGATTTCAAACAGTCTTCCGTCTCGGTCTCCTAAAATGCTGGGATTATAGGTGTGAGCCACTGTGCCCAGGCTAAAGTTCTTACAGTATTGATCTTAGACGTTGCCCTCAAGCATACATTTATTATGTGACTTTCTCCCACATTCTGTCTCTTCCTAAGAATTCTCAAGCGGGATATTTCAGGATCATAAAAGACATATATATATATATATACATAGAGATATCAGACAGGCAATATACAAAGTAGATAAGTGTCTATCCAATGTAAGTTAAGGGCCCAGTGAAAACTTACCTTCTGCAAAATATCTGGTCTATACTCCTGCCTGTAAGTGCCAATACCTGGCTGAAAATGTTATCTTGAGACTTACTAATGTGCAGATGATACAGCAATGGACTGACTCTAGAACTGCAACGGCCACTAGCCACCTGTAGCTATTAGACACTTGAAATGTAGCCAGTGCTGTATATTGAAGTTAAGGGCCCAGTATGTCGAATACATTAAACGAACAAGTCAGCAGAGCTTTAATAAACAATCAGATTAACAGCCCAGTAGGAGAATTACAATCCCATAAGTAGTAGATTTAAATCCTCACTGGTCCCAAGTTGTGGGTCAGCAGAAGCATTTGCCTGTGAATTTTGGGGGCAACAAAGAGCCATCACATCACTTGGTGGTCTCTGTGTGGGTTCCTTTCAAATTTATTCCTATTTAAGAGTAGCAAAAAGAGGCATTTTCCAGATGACAAGATTTTGTGTTTTAGAACACTCTGTAAGCCAAAGCCAAAACCTTCCACATTTTTTTTAAATAATAAAGAAAAAAAGAGAGACATATACTTGAGTGTAGAACTACTACTCAAATTTGAAAGATGTTTAACTCAAACAAACGCTCTAAGTATAGGGATCTCCTAGCAGGGCTTCTCCCTCTCTTTGCAGCAGAAACTGAGCTCTTCCAGAGCCTTCAGGTCTTCAGCCAGCTTAGTTAGTATAAAAGGGAGGCAAATACTCACACAAGCACTAAACTCTGAATGCAAAACAAAAGAGTTCCCTTCTCCCCCAAATCAACTGGTGAATAGCCAACAGGAAGATCCTCTAGATGACTATCTTTGTGTGAATTAGAAATTGGAATTTCAGGGAAGCCATCCATAGAGGAGCAGAAAGCTGAGAATACACCTCCTTTGCATGTGGACAGCATCCCAAAAGACGGAACCAAGAGTCAGAAGATAGAATGCTGTGGTGGTTAAAGGTTGCTAAGGAATCTCCACCTCCAGAAAAAAGTATTCCTTTGCTTGTGTGCTTCCTTGCGTTCTTACCCAAGTTGCGTAAGAACTTATCCCAGGGAAACGTGGCCTGTTTCCTTGGCAGTGCCTCTATCTGTGTCCTCACAAAAGAACACTGACTCACTTGGTAGAAAAGACAATGTGATACCCTGATGCTGGTGAAACTGTTCACTGTAAGAGTGCAGTCAACTCTTAAATTCAGTAGGTTCCAATGCTTGACTTTGGGATTTGGCCAGAATGATATGTTCCAGTTCCATCTCCCTCCTACTGTCTGTGAATTGGTCACTTTATTTGCTATCACGGAAGACACAATTGGTTGCTTTTCCCAAAACTATTACACCATATTTTTTCCTTGCTTGCAGAATAGTTAGAGGCTAAAATTGCCAGATACTTATTTCCTAAGCATCCGTGAAGTCTATAGTGGATTTTTGGAAAAGGTTTTCTCTCTGTAAATGGAAACACTGGCAAAGAGATGCCCCATTTCATTCCACTTTAGTTTACAATGGCTGATATAACAAATTACCACCAACTTGGCGGCTTAAACCAACAGATGTTTATTTTCTCACAATTCTGAAGGACAGACATCCAAAGTCAGTATCACTGGGTCCAAATCGAGGTGTTAGCAGGGCCGCACTCCCTCTGGGGCCCATGCCTTGCCTCTTGCAGCTTCTTATGGCAGTAGGCATTGCTTAGTGTCTACATCACTCTAATTTATGTGTCTGTGGTAACATTGCCTTCTCTCTTCTGTGTCTCAAATCTTCCTCTGCCTCCTTTTTGTAAAGATACTTGCGATAAATAATTAGCTGGGCATGGTGGCATGCACCTGTAGTCCCAGCTACGTGGGAGTCTGAGGTAAGGGAATTGCTTGAACCCAGGAGGCAGTGGTTGCAGTGAGCCAAGATCACACCACTGCACTCCAGCCTGGCGACAGAACAAGACTCCATTTCAAAAAACAAACACACCCCAAAAAAATACTTGTGATAGCATATAGGGACCACTCAGATAACCCAGGATAACCTCGCCATCTCAAGATCCTTAATCACTTCTGCAAACTCCCTTTTTGCCATATAAAATAACATTGCCAATTACCAGGGTGATATGGTTTGGCTGTGTCCCCACCAAAATCTCATCTTGAATTCCCGCATGTTGTGGGAGGGATCTGATGGGAGGTAGTTGAATCATGGGGGCAGGTATTTCCCATGCTATTGTTGTGATAGTAAGTCTCAGGAGATCTGATGGTTATTACAAAGGGGAGTTTCCCTGCACAAGCTTTCTTCTCTTGTCTGCCACCATGTGAGACATGCTTTCTACCTTCCACCATGATTGTGAGGACTCCCCAGCCACGTGAAACTGCAAGTCCATTAAACCTTCTTTTTTTTGTAAATCGCCCAGTCTCAGGTACATCTTTATCAGCAGCATGAAAACGGACTAGTACAGTAAATTGGTACCAGTAGAGTGGGATGTTGCTGAAGATACCTGAAAATGTGGAAGCGACTTTGGAACTGGGTAATAGGCAGATGTTGGAACAGTTTGGAGGGCTCAGAAGAAGATAGGAAAATGTGGGAAAGTCTGGAACTTCCTAGATACTTGTTGAATGGCTTTGACAAAAATGCTGATAGTGATATGAACAACGAAGTCCAGGCTGAGGTGGTCTGAGATGGAGATGAGGAACTAGGGAACTGTAGCAAAGGTGACTCTTGTTATGTTTTAGCAAAGAGGCAGGTGGCATTTTTCCCCTGCCCTAGAGATTTATGGAACTTGAACTGGAGAGAGATGATTTAAGGTATCTGGCAGAAGAAATTTCTAAGGAACAAAGCATTCAAGAGGTGACTTGGGTTCTGTTAAAGGCCCTCAGTTTTATAAGGAAAGAAGAGCATAAATGTTTGAAAAATTTGCAGCCTGACAATGCAATAGAAAAAAAAAATCCCATTTTCTGAGGAGAAATTCAAGCCAGCTGCAGAAATTTGCATCAGAAACGAGGAGTCAAATGTTAATTTCCAAGACAGTGGGGAAAATGCCTCCAGCCATGTCAGAGATCTTCATGGCAGCCCCTCTGATCACAGGCCTAGAGGCCTAGAAAGAAAAAAGGGTTTCATGGGCTGGGCCCAGGGTCCCTGTGCTGTGTGCAGCCTAGGGACTTGGTGCCCTGTGTCCCAGCTGCTCCAGTCATGGCTAAAAGGGGCCAAGGTACAACTGAGGCTGTTGCTTCAGAGGGTGGAAGCCCCAAACCTTGGCAGCTTCCACGAAGTGTTGAGCCTGCTGGTACACAGCAGTCAAAAATTGAGGTTTGGGAACCTCCACCTAGATTTCAGAGGATGTACGGAAACACCTGGATGTCCAGAAGTTTGCTGCAGAGGTGGGGCTCTCATGGAGAACCTCTGTAGGGCAGTTTGGAAGGGAAATGTGGGGTCAGAATGCCCACACAGAGTCCCTATTGGGGCACCACCTAGTGGAGCTGTGAGAAGAGGGCCACCATCCCCCAGACCCCAGAATGGCAGATCCACAAACAGTTTGCACCATGTGCCTGGAAAAGCTGCAGACACTCAACACCATTCCATGAAAGCAGCCAAGAGGGAGACTGTACCCTGCAAAGCCACAGGGGCTGAGCTGCCCAAAACCATGGGAACCCACCTCTTGCAACAGCATAACCTGGATATGAGACATGGAGTCAAAGGAGATCATTTTGGAGCTTTAACATTTGACTACCCTGCTAAATTTCAGACTTGCATGGGGCCTGTAGCCCCTTTGTTTTGGCCTATTTATCCCATTTGGAATGGCTGTATTTACCAAATGCCTGTATCCCCATTATATCTAGGAAGTAACTAAGTCGCTTTTGATTTTGCAGGCTCATAGGTGGAAGGAACTTGCCTTGTCTCTGATGAGACTTTGGTCTGTGGACTTTTGAGTTAATGCCGAAATGTCTTAAGACTTTGTGGAACTGTTGGGAAGGCATGATTGGTTTTGAAATGTGTGGACATGAGATTTGGGAGGGGCCAGAGGTGGAATGATATGGTTTGGCTGTATCCCCACCCAAATCTCATCTTGAATTCCCACGTGTTGTAAGAGGGACCCAGTGGGAGGTAATTGAATCATGGGAGCAGGTCTTTCCTGTGCTGTTCTCATGATAGTGAGTAAGTCTCACAAGATCTGATGGTTATTATAAGGGGGAGTTTCCCTGTACAAGCTCCCTTCTCTTGTCTTCTACCATGTGAGATGTGCCTTTCACCTTCCACCATGTTTGTGAGGCCTCCCCAGCCACGTGGAACTTTAAGTCCATTAAACCATTTTTTTTTTTTTTTTGGTAAATTGCCCAGTCTTGGGTATGTCTTTATCAGTAGTGTGAAAACAGACTAATACACAGGGATTAGGATGTGGATATCTTTTGGGGGAACATTGTTCAGCCTATGGAGGTGGAGGAAATATAAGATGTCTGGAACTGTGGCAGCCAACTATCATAGGGGTATAAGCCTGAGGATGCCTGAACAGAAAGAAAAAAATGCAGCTTCATTCTCAATAATGTGGTTATGCTCCTGACATAGCCACACCTGGAACTATCCACCCTGGGTTCACTTTTAAGTGAGAGAAGAAATCCCATTGATTTAGTTACCTTGAGTTGAGAATAGTGCTACTTGCAGCTTAATACTTCCTAAGAAATACAACTACTGATTTTCTTAAAACCTGAGAAGATGACAAGGAAAGTGACAATCAGCTAAAGGTAAATGGTTCAGTCTTGCCACTGTTCTTATAAAACATTTCCTGTTCCACAAAATGTACCTTTTGATTATACTCCCTTTTGTAATGTTCTATAATCTAATTGTTTTTCTGTATATGTCTAATTTCTCTAACAAAACAGGGAGCTCGATGAGAACAGGGATGCTGAATCTTTGACTCTTACCTGCTGCACACTGCTGGGACAAGAAAAACATTCATTATATCACCAGCTACTTGATCAATTAATTGATTATACTTGTATTATCTGTGGATTTCAAATGCAAATAATAATGTAATTTCCTAGAATAATTAATAACTAAATTGTGTTTATATTTCATATACCAATGTTTTCATATACCAGTGTTTATACTGCACCAGTACTATGCCAGGCATATAGCATTTCTCATTCATTCTCTTTCTATCACACACACACACACACACACACTTCTCATTTTTTATATCATTATTCCAAAATATTATCTCCAGCTTACAAAGGCAATAAGAACCAGAGCCCTCATACCCATATCCATCTGATTCTAAATTCTATTAGCTAATTCTCATACATGCCACACTGCTTCTATGACATGATACAAGATTTATCTTAGAAAGATTTGGGAAAAATTGATTTAGCAAAAGGAAGTAAAAATAAGTTTTAAAAATACCAGTTGAGTTGATCACCTGACCCCTTACTTAAAGACTAGATTGAAAAGACAGGTGGGGAAGACACTATGGGAAGAACAGAGGAAAACAGAAGACAAGAGAAGAAATAGGAAGGAGGTCTCAAACCCTTAGAGACAGACCTGGTCCTTTAAAATAAGAGCCATGGGAACTATACCCACCCACTTTAATGAAAATTACCAGTTTCCACCTACAATATTTGTAGCTGAACACCAACATTTCAGAACTCAATCACCAGCATTTCAGAAGTAAACCTGGATTTGCCACTTAAAGTCACCATAGGGATGTCAGTTGCCTAAGAGCAAGCAGGACAGTCATAGGTTCTGTCAAACTTTCATCCAGTGCCTGGGAGGATTATCCCCAGTGATAAAGTTTAAAGGGATGGCAGCAGTCAAGAATAAAGCTGTGCATTGATTTCATCATAAGTCCAAAATACTGACTGCATGTACAAATATGAATATAGTTACATATTTATAAATATTATATTTTATATGTAATTATATAATTGTTAACAGTATGTTTATATATCTCTTAACTGATTATTAACTGATCAAAAGCAATCTGCTGGATAATACATAAATTATCAATACTACTATGTTTTAAAACACATAACTATATTTTTATCTTGATTTTCCCTATCTTACATGGAAATTTTCAATAATTTACAAACATCAATAAAATTCAACAACCTGGGCTGGGCGCAGTGGCTCATGCCTGTAATCCCAGCACTTTGGGAGGCCAAGGCAGGCGGATCACGAGTTCAGGAGATTGAGCCCATCCTGGCTAACATGGTGAAACCCCATCTCTACTAAAAAATACAAAAAATTAGCTGGGTGTGGTGGCGGCCGCCTGTAGTCCCCGCTACTCGGGAGGCTGAGGCAGGAGAACGGAGTGAACCTGGGAGGTGGAGCTTGCAGTGAGCTGAGATTGCGCCACTGCATTCCAGCCTGGGTGACAGAGCGAGACTCTGTCTCAAAAAGAAAAAAAAAAAATTCAACAACCTAATTCCCATTGCAAATATTTTTCTTTCACATTTTTTCTCCACCTAATTTCTAAACACTAGTAGTAACTAACAGCACATCATTAATAACTCCAACTTTCCAAAAACACTAGACAGGATGGAAATTAACTATAAAACAAATCTAATTAACTTATGGCTAGAGATTCTGACTTTTAGCAACTTCTCAGTGATGAAGGTAAGTAAACCCTTTCACTCATGAGTCAACATGCTTAAGTATTTGTTCCAGAAAACTATTGCCTAGGAAAATAAGTCTATAACCAATAACTAACTTGACTGTGTAAATTCCTGCAAGTACATCTGTCTGGACAAAGAGTTTGTTGAAATGGAGAAGCGGTTCTCTTACCGAGACAATAGACTGCTCACCTAGGAACCAGCTCGTTAACCAAACAGCAGTTTACTACCAAGACTCACTTCAAAACTCACGCTTTGTTGCACCTACCAATCCAAATTATATGATGACATAAAATTTGTCCAATTCTCAGTCAGTCCTTTGTGTTGAACAACCCATCGTTTTTTTGTTGTTGTTTTGTTTTGTGTTGTTTTTTTTTTTTTGAGACAGAGTCTTGCTCTGTTGCCCAGGCTGGAGTGCAGTGGCATGATCTCAGCTCACTGCAACCTCTGCCTCCTGGGTTCAAGCAATTCTCTGCCTCAGCCTCCTGAGTAGCTGGGATTACAGGTGCCTGCCACCACGCCCAGCTAATTTTTTTGTATTTTTAGTAGAGACGGGATTTCACCATCTTGGCCAGGCTGGTCTTGAACTCCTGACCTCGTGATCCACCCACCTCAGCCTCCCAAAGTTCTGGGACTACAGGCATGAGCCACCGCGCCTGGCTGAAAGACCCATCTTAAACCACTTGATCCCAAACAACAAAACCCTTCCAATAACTTCTCCTGACCTCCCCTCTGACACACTCTGAAGTCTGTCAAAGTGGTATCTGCCTTTACTGCAGGGGATCCTATAAACTTAGCTTTGCTTGACTAATAGTTTTTTGGGGAGTTCACCACGTCAACACCTCTACCTATCTGTGAGTTAAGTTTGTTTCCTTAAATATGATTCATTTAAGCTTCAAATTCTAGTCTGGGCTATGAGGAAGGCAATTATCGGTGAGAATTCACAAATGGCTGCTTGCTCTCATCCAAAATTGTCCCTTTCAGCTTCCTGGAGCCCACTTCAGAAATTCTCACTTCTACTTGTCTTCGAAAAGTGGCTCTTCCCTTCTGTGGAGAAAGCAGTTACTAGGACATTATAAAATTGCCCCACCAGGTAGCTATTCCAAGAGTTTTGTTTATTTTGTACTGCTGGTGCCTGGCATAGTCTCTGTATTTCTGTTGTCTGAAAAATTCATTTAAGACCTCAATTCTGAAAGTAACAGGAGAGATGTACTGTTAACATTCTAAAGTAAGGTACTAAGTGCCTTCCTCATGGAACTTAGTTATAAAATTGCAAAACTAGGCATGTAACCTTTACTGCATCATCCACCACCAGCCTATAAAAAGAAGACTACAGATTTGAAAGTGGGCTTGGGGAGCCTAAAGAGTTGCTAGCCTAGTAAAGACATTTTTTGCATCTTCTTCCCTGTCCCATCTGATTTTATCATTTGTTTATTATATTGGGATCCATAACTGGTAAAACATTTTACATTGAGACTCAGTGCAGAAATACATATATGTGTGTTTGGATGTATGTGTGTGTGTGTGTGTGTGTGTGTGTATAAACTGAAACAAAGTTTCATAAAATAATACCTATCCTTGCTATGTGTGATGCACTCTGATATTTTCTATAATGATCCATTGTATTCTATTTTATCATTTTTAAAACATAGTTTCCAACTACTAAATGAATTTAACAAACAATGAACCACAACCTCAAGTTGAAAAACACTCTCAGAGATATGCCTATAGAAATTGGGACATCTAATCAAATGGGAGTGAGCTTCTTAGTCTGGGCTGGGTGTCTTCAATCAGCTTTGGCTTCAGAATATCCATCCAGGGAAGTCATAGACCAAAGTGAGTCAGGCTAAGTTGATTCAATACTTGCTAACCAGTCACAACCCACAGAATGAAAACCACTAACAAAACCCCGGTGCATTCCTAGACTTTGTTTGGATTGCTAATTCTCCAATAAGATTGGGAGAAATAAGAGCCAGTAAACCTCTGCCTGGCAGTTAATCCTTGTGACACAATTTTTCACAATGTTCTCTTTTCTTTCTCTAGGGATTGGTGGTTCTAAGTCCCAGGATGTGAAAATAAATAGGAGATTTGTTCAAGTCTCCTGGTAGCTGGAGAAGAAATGGCTCTCTCAACTCCCAGTTGAGGGCAATAACAATGAATGTTCTCTTGGGAAGAAAAAATTTTTACTTGGAGAGAAGTAACTCCATTCCAAGGCCTGGATACACACTGTGTGGCAGGCTTTGCCTGGGTCTGTACCTGTGTGTGAATGCAAACACCTTTCATCATTATCTCCCAGAAAAGAAAGATCTTTCTCCGTATCTTCTGAAAAAAAAAAAAAAAAAACACAATATAGAGAAATTTTTAAGATTCCAAAAATCCTAATAATCATCAGAGTTGAGCAATATTGTAAATACATCCTTTAACTTCTATTGAGAAAAACAGCAGTATATGTGAAACTAGAAAAATAATTTTTATAATTCTAACAATATATACAGCTGATTTTCCATCTCTTCAGAAACAAAGACTCTTAGCCAATTTCCTAGTCTGCTGTAGATCCTCCCACTAAAACAGAGTGCTGTACTTAGACATGAAAAGAAGTTGTAAAACCTCCCTTTTAAAAATTCAAATAGACCGCCAGTTCATCTTGAATGACGTAAGGCAGAAAGCAGGAAAGGGTAAGAGAAATAAGCAGGAAAGGGTAAGAGAAATGGAGAGTATCACTGTTCTTAAGTTCAGCAAAACTGACCTTGCCCAAGCAAAAGGAATGGCTCCAGAATCAAGTTAATGGTGGCAAAAGAAGTTACCCAAAGAGTGCAGACTAAAAAAAAGCCTGAAGGCACATGTGCACACAATTGGCTCATAAACCACCACCTGATCTAAGCCATGAAAGCAAGCAAGACTGGACTACCCCTTCCTGCGTCTCAATGACATCCTCTGCTCACAAGCTTAATGGTTCCCTTGTTCCCTCAAGGCCAACAGTCACAGTTCCTTCAGTCTCGGGACCTGTGGGTGCTGGGGACAGGAGAGAGCACAGTGTAACCCTCCTTGGATGAATGCCTCCAGAAGTGGTTGTTTCGTGCCCTCCCCAGCAATGCCTTTTTCTGGCTGGTAGTGACTGGGAAGGGGATTGATGACAAGCACAAAAATAGAACTGCCCAGAAAGGAACACGAAGCTCCATGATGGCTCTCATAAAGCTGCCTGAAAAACATTCTATCTGGTAACCACTTCCACTCATGCCAGTGGAATTAAAGTCTCTGCTAAAATAGAAGGAAATATTTTTTTTTAAAATGTAACTAATATGTTTCTTTATTATTTAACCTTATGAAAACACAGTGAAAAAGTCAAGAAAAAGATAATGCAAATTTTCCCATTTTGCAGATAAAGGAATGAACCCACCTAAGTGGAGATTTGCCTAATATTACTCATATAGTAAGTGGCACAGCCAAGACTCAAGTCAGTGACAGCTCCAAGGTACATGTTCTTTCTTCAAACTTGTCAGCTGAGGAAGAGGTAGGTAGGATCTTGGGGAGGAGCAATGAGTTGGTATGTGATGAGGCATTTGGCAACAGCCCTGTCCTGAAGGCCCAGAAGCCATCTCTACATCCTTTCCTGTGCTGAGGTTCTAATATTTAACATAACGTTTCATTTCTAGATGTTAGTAAGTTTTATTACCTCTGTGTTACATTTTATTGAATAATATTTGCCTATAAATTTTATTTGGGATGATGTAATTTATTAAATTATTTGAGGATGAGCATATGTAATCCTAAAGATCTGTATGTTTTTTCGTTTTTAGAAAGAATGAGCAGTCTGTTTAATTGTGTCCTCTCTCTCGAGCCATTTAAATTAATTTTAAAGAGATGCTTTAAAACATTCAAACACACACATTCCACATTATTCTCACAGTTTTCCCACTGCAGAAAATTCTGATATCAGAGCCCATCAAGGTCCTGGACACTCCATTTCCTGCCAATGGAATGGGAGCCCTCCCTCGTGAGGGGAAATTGTGTGTGCTTTACACAATCTTCCCCTTTGGGGCTACTAGGTTTTAATCTATTTACTTGCTTAAGAAACATGGAGCTGAGTGTGTGCCACTTACTGGGCTGTGTGGTGGGTGTTAGGGACACACTGGTCTCTGCTCTCTAAGAACTCACAGACCAGTAGAGGAGGCCGAGATATAGCCAGGGACTGACAGAAGAAGACAGCAGATGGTTCAGAGCACGCACACTGGAAAGCAACAGACTTCTCTATATGGATCCTGGTTTGGCGCTCCTGGCTCTGTGACCCTGGGCCAGATCTTGATTTTGGTAAATCTATTTTCTCATTTGTAGAAATAGGTAATAGTAAGGCCTACCAGGTAAGTTTCTTGTGAGGATTAAACAAGCAAATACATATGACAAGCTAAGTGTCACCTAGAACATGGTAAAAACTCAATAAATATCAGTAACTATTAGTATTACATGCTATGGAAACGCAGAGGGGCATTTGACCCATCCTTGACAGAGGAGGAGGATTTGGAAAGGTTTCCCCAAAAAATGGCACTCTAGAGCAAGGATAGGCAGCAGAGCGAGATGTGATTCTCAACCAGGGGGTCAGTTTTCGCCCTCCCAGGGAACATTTAGTAATGTCTGGAGACATTTTCGGTTGTCATAACTCGGGGGTGGGTGCTATGCATCTCATGGGTAGAGGCCAGGGAGGCTGCCAACATCCTGCAGTGCACAGGACAGCCCCACAACTAAGAACTGTTCAGACAGAAACAACAATAATGCCGAGGCTGAGAAGCCCTGGTTTAGAGCATGAATTCTACAGTCAAAATGCCTGGATTTTAATTCTGGCTTTGTCACTTGTCAGCTGTGTGACTTTAGGGGCATTACTGAATTTTTCTGTGCTTCACTTAGCTCATTTGTAAATGAATTAAATAAGTTAATACTGATAAATTGAACAAAGTATTACAGTATACTTAAACAAATTCTAATATCTAATTAATCCTAAAGGATCTTTTTTCACCCCAAATCAGAAGTAATGGCTATTAAAACCTACTCTTTTGTGCTCTAGACAGCTTCTAGGAAGGTCATTCTTACTTCCATGGAGTCCTTTGGACTATATGACTTTAGCCAAGTCTCAGCCTGGTTTACTATGGCTCAGTTAGTCCATGCAATTTTAAATGCACCCTTAAGACATGCAACAGAAAAGCATGGCCCCCTCTGTGATGCTGCTGGTGACAGGACCAGAAGGGACAGGGAAGAAGCCAAGCCAGGAAGGACTTGCGCTTACATTCTCTTCCACAGCTTCTGCCCTTACTGTTTTATGTTTTCTTCCCGTTTCTCCTTTCTATTCAAGACATATCTCCAACACCCTCAAAGCAATTCTCTGCTATTTTCTCAAGCTATTATGATAAAGCTTTATAGCTTCTTACTGCTTAAGGGCATTTCAGAATAATCATCTATGCTTGAATGGTTTTTGAAGGACAGATGAGAAGTCAGATATTTGCCAGGAATCTATACTTCTTCTCTAATCAAAAGGATATTCGGGGCTGGGCGCAGTGGCTCACGCCTATAATCCCAGCACTTTAGAGCCGGAGGCAGGCGGATTGCCTGAGGTCAGGAGTTAGAGACCAGCCTGGCCAACATGGTGAAACCCCGTCTCTACTAAAATACAAACATTAGCCAGGCGTGGTGGCAGGTGCCTGTAATCCCAGCTACTCAGAAAGCTGAGGCAGAAAAATCGCTTGAACCCGGGAGGCAGAGGTTGCAGTGAGCCAAGATCGCACCACTGCATTCCAGCCTGGGCGACAGAGCGAGACTCCGTCTCAAAAATAATAATAATAATAATAGCCAGGCATGGTGGTGGGCGCCTGTAATCCCAGCTACTCGGGAGGCTGAGGCAGGAGAATCGCTTAAACCCAGGGGGCGAAGATTGCAGTGAGCCGAGATCACACCATTGCACTCCAGCCTGGGCAACAGAGCAAGACTCCGTCTCAAAAAGAAAAAAAAAAAGGATATGCAAAATTGCTATATCTTACTATTGTGTCTTCAAAGTTTCCAGTGCAAGCCTTGAACTTCTTTATGGTTTTTCTCTTAATCAACCACCTGGGTCACCCATGTATTTATACAAACACCTGCACTTGAGCCCTTCACTGAAAAGAAAAGCTAAAATCACCAACCTCTATAACAAATGAGTTTAGAATGGAGAGTGCTCTAAGCAGGGGATATTTTTCTCTATTTCTCCTCCATTCTCTTTTTCCACATTTCTCGTGATAATCAGTCTGTTCTTCAGGCTGTTTGCTTTCAGAAATTTTATTTGCACTCCTCTCTAAGTGTTTCGAACTGAAAAAATAATCCAGGGAGGGCCTTGAAATTCAAATTCCCTCAGGAGCACTATCACCTCTCTCCTCAAAGAGATTCGTGGTTTGGGGGCTTCTTCCGAAGCATCCCATCATATTAGTCCTCACTTGTTTCTGTCCTTAGGCCAGAGAAACTCCGGGGTATCAACACCATCCTGAAGGGTCAACCAACTCAAGAATATATATTCAGAATTTTCAAAATAGGATGAAAGGAAGGCACCAGCTCCACAATACATCTGAGTTCTATATTTATTTTCTTTGAACAGCCAATCCAAGGAGGAATATCAAGGTCACCAACCAAAATACCTTCTCTCTTGCCCACAGCATTTTCCAAAAAGTTGAGGTCAGTGAACCCACTGTTTATTAAAATGTTATGACAAGGGATAGGTTGCTTTTTTCTATCATCTACTATTTTTATGAAATAAGTTGTGAAACTGGAATTGATTTGGGGCAAACTTATACAGTTTTGTGGTTCAGCTTCTTCACTCAGAGCTGATTTATAAAATAAGTTAAAATACCTTATTATAAAACAGCATCCTGTGAAAATATATTCTATGATTCTATGAAATGGGATTGTTTGGATGGGATCAGAAGAAAGAGTATTTATTTCCAGGTCAAAATTCAGCCAAGACAATTAATTCCCTATTTTCTTTTTAAAGTAAACACTTGGGAGCTTTTAATAACTAGCACTGGGTTAACTTGGTTTTCACCTGTGATGCTGCCCTTTCTGTTTTCATATCTTCTCTGTCTCTTTCTCCTCCTTCTTTATGAGGACCTTTAAAAGACCCACATTTCTCTTGCTTCTTTGCTTCCTATTTGGGAGGGATTCTGTCCCTGAGGTTAACTAATTTATTTATTATATTTTCATAAGGTTACTAATGTTGACTTTTAGTACAATTAAAGGGTTCCTATCAAAATCTGAAATCTACTGTGACCCATAAAAAGAGATTAATCATTATATAAACAAAAAGGGTGGGGAAGAATCAAGAAAAGATTTATTAGTGGCCCAAAGTCTTAGAGCAGAGGTCATGGGCAAAATCTGGCGTGAAGCCTGTGTTTATATACTCTTTGGGCTAAGAATGTTTTTACATTTTCAAAGAGTTGTGAAGAAAAAGAAAAAGCAAAGAAGAATATGCAATAGAGACAGTGTGTGGTCTGCATAGCTTATTATTTACTATTTGGCTCTAACAGAAAACGTTCGCTGACTGCTCCCCTATACTGTCCTTTCTTTCCTAGCTTGATATATCACTGATCAGATTCATCTTCAGATTATTAAACTGAGCTTACATTTCCTATCTACTCTATCTTTTTGGTCAAAAAACACATTAATATTATTCCTCTGATTTTTTTATAACAACAAGGCTTATTAAAAATTGTTTTGTTTTGTTTTGTTTTGTTTTGTTTGACATGGGGGGGGTTCTCACTATGTTGTCCAGGCTGGGCTTCAATTCCTGGGCTCAAGTAATCCTCTCACCTCAGCCTCCCAAGTAGCTGGGACTACAGGTGCATGACACCACACTTAGTGGTGAATTTACTTATTATTTATTGCACTAGGTAATTTTCTGATGTCATTCATGTACTCATATTTATTGAGTTCCTACAATATGCCAAGCACTGAGACGTTTCTTAGGGTGAAATAAAGTGGTTACCAATAGAGTTACCAAATCCAGCACCTTATTTCAAACAGATAATAAACTCGTTTAAATGTCTTTTTAAAAAATCTCTTTTATAGTAAATATGTGCTCTTGTTACTTTATAACTCAACAGCTTTCTTTGGTTCCTTTTTGTCTCCAGAACAAGATACAAATTAGTCAGCCTGAGTGGCTATTAGAGCATTCCACAATTGTCTTTTTAATCTCTCCTCTCACTGCTTCTCCACCTGGACTTGATACAGGATGAACTGGGCTATTCATTATTATCCAAACATAAGTTGTTCTTTCCAAAATTCATTCTGTCAAACATGTCAACCTCTCATCCTGGAAACATTTCAGATATTTTTACTAAGAATAAAAAGAGTTGGTAGAAAAGCTGTTGGGAAGGCATAGCTTCCACCTGAGGCAAACCATTCATATATACACCTTATTTAACATAGTGACAGTTTCATCCTCGCATATTAAACAACAGTTATCTCAGAACATTGAACAAGGCTAATGTGCCAAGCTTGGTGCTATGAATGAAGCATAGTCCTTGTCCTCAGAAGATACCAAAGTTTAAAACCTAACACGGTAATTTAACTCTGGATCTCTCCATCCTCCTGTCCTCCACATTCCCTCATTCACTCATCCATTCATTTAGTAAACTTCACTGGGAAGCTGTGGGGCATGCACAGTTCATCAGGCTCAGTCTCAGTTCTTTGGCATATTAACCAACAATTACAGAACAAGTGCAAGGATGGAAGAGTGCAGAGCACTCTGGGAGTGTGGAGGAGTGGCACATAATCAGGCAGAGCTGAGGGAGGAAGGGGCTTCCTGGAGGAAGGGACTCCTGAGTTTGGTCCTTAAAACTTTGAAGGAAATAGTCAGGCAAAGCATCACAAGGAAGTATCCAGACTAAATTTCTCTCCTATGTTACTTCATCTATAGCTGCGAATATGATTGCTTTTCTGGAAGCACCATGCTTGCTCAGGAATGAGGGGAAATGTCATAGAAGGAATTAAGGCTATATTTCCTGATTTTCTTTTCACTGGACTACATGGCTTAACAACAGAGAATAATGTATCTTGCCCTATTGTATTTTTAGTCTTTTGCTGTAAGTAGTAAGTCCAAGTAAAATATGTAGCAATGGGACTATAGGATTCCTAAATTCATCCCCAGGATATTGCTAAATTGAGAACTAGTCATTTCAAGCAACAAGAAAACACTGTAAATAGACAGATAAAATGCAAGCTAATAAATTTCTTTAAAATTTTTCTTTGTGCTATTAACATCATATGATGTATTGTATATGATTGGAGACAGGCTATAGTTAAAAGTGTGGACTTTACAAAAAAGAAATTCCTAGGTTCAAACCACAGCTCTGACAGCTCTTAGCTATGTAAACTAGGCAAGTTATAATGGCTGAATAGTAGCCATCATATAAAAATACCAAATGCTCTTAATCATTTCTTTTTTTGAGACACTTAGGTTGTTTCTTAATGGGGAGTATTAGTAATAAGACAATAATCAATATTGTGATACTAAAATCTTTGTTCCCCTCTCTGACAGAATAAATTTTTTTAAATGGAATTTCTAGGTTAGAATTTATATCTATTACTAGTTTAATATCTCTAGGGCAGTTTCTTCATACATAAAATGAGATGGATGATGGTACCCACTTCGCTGGATCATTGTAAGAAGTAGATAAATTAATAGGAGGAAAACTGCTTAAGCAAGTGTTTGAAACAGCTTTTCTGTCCATTTTAAATCAATGAGTAGTAGCTTCCTCCAGGGGGATTTTGCCAAGTTCCACAGCAAGTCATGTTTTTCAGGTCCTGGAATACTGCCAGTGTGGAGGAATACGAATGGAATGCAGTCAGAGGATCACATCCAGGTCATTTTCGGGATTCCACATGGCTCCTTGGTGAATTTATACTGTAGTTATACTTTTCTTTATAACAGATATTTGCGAAACCTAAGAGCTAAAGCAGTAGGGAAAATACAACAGCAAATCCACTTACCCCACATCATGTCCCATCAAACACTCACAAGCACTCATCTTTGCCGGTTTCTTTACTTAGTCCTTATCAGATAGTACCCATGGGGTTTCTTCTATCTTATAGAGCCAGTGACTGTACTGAATAACTCACCTCTTTTCATGTGTGAGCATTACTTATGCCCCAATTTCATTTTTATCTTCCTCTAAGAATAGATTCTTTATCTATCTTTCTAACTCTGATGTTATAAGCACTGAAATAATAAATCTAATTTCTCTGGAAAATTATGAACAAATGAATAGGAGACATGAGAATCCTGAAATAAAGTTGGTCCTGCTTATTTTGGGGGATATTTCCTCATAGTTGTATTGGGGAAGATAATTCATCATTTGAGTGCAAACGGTGCTCCCAATAGGGTCATATAGCCATTATCTAAAATGCCACAGGATTTATCTAGCATCACTTGTAAAAACAGAAATCTATATGTCCAGTTCTAGGGTACAAAACACATCACACTGGATGTTCTATCCAATGATGGTAAGATCCCATAGGGGAAATTAAATGCCATGAAATGGCCTTAATTATGGGAGTTAAGAAAATTGTTTTTCACAAACTACACAGCAGAATAAAAAACATGACATGAGGGGGAGAGAATAGCATCTAAAAGGCATAGGATGAGGTCAGAGTTCCGAATGCACTTTATGGGTATGGTGGTTAATTTTATGTGTCAACTTGACTGGGCTAAGGGATGCCCAGGTAGCTGCTGAAACATTCTTTCTGGGTGTGTCTGTGAGAGTATCTCCAGAAGAGATTAGCATTTTGAATTGTTAGAGTAAGAAAAGAAGATCTGCCCTCACCAATGAGGGCAGGCATCTCCAATCCGATGAGGGCTCAAATAGAACATAAGACAGAGAAATGCCAATTTTCCTCTTTTCAGTCTTTATGAACTGGGACATTCATCTCTTTCTGCCCTTGGACATTGAAGTTCCTGGTTCTCATGCTTTTGTGCCTTTGGATTCCAGGACTTACACCAGTCCCCCATCACACTGCCCACCCCGGTTCAATTACAACAGAATTGCCTTGTGACCAAGTCACTGGGGGTGGAGGAGTATAAAGTCAGTGTTTGTGTTTATGCCATCCTTGCCATATGTGTCTCTTACACAGAGAATTGAGGTGATTATGGAAATATGCCCCCGAAATAACAAGAAAGATCACAGGAAGCTACACAGGCAAGAGTAGAAAATTCAGGAATACTATAAATACCAGGATTCTTCTATACATGTACAGATGGTCCTTGAGTTACTTTTCTTCGATTTTATGATGTTACAGATGTGAAACACATTCAGTATAAACCATACTTCAAGTACCCATACAAACACTCTGTTTTTCACTTTCAGTACAGTATTCAACAAATTGCATGAGATATTCATTATCTTATTACAAAACAGTATTTGAGAGATGATTTTGCCCAACTAATCACTTATATCATAGGCTAATATAAATGTTCTGAGCACATTTAAAGTAGAGTAGGCTAGATGTATTAAATCCATTTTCCTCTTATGATATTTTCAACTTATAACGGGTTTATCAGTATGTAACCCCACTTTAAGTCAAAAAGCATCAGTATAGATTTATATCCTGCTTTTCTCTTCAAATATTTTATCATAGGAATTCCCACATATTAAACAATCTTTGAATATGTGGTTTATAATGGCTGAATAGTAGCCATCATATAAAAATACCAAATAGTATTAGTATTAAGACTATGATAAATATTGTCATACCAAAATCTTTTTGTGCATCTCTGACAGGATAAATTTTTCAAAAATGGAATCGCTAGGTTAGAATGTATTTTATTTAAATTATTTAATTCTAACAACAAACACTATTTCAAAAACTAGATACTGGAAAAAACACAACTGACTCTAGATAAGTCTAAAATTTATCTGGCAGAAGCAGACGTGTTAGACAGAAATAGATTAGCCAAAAAAGTTTACAATGCCATGGGGTAGTAGTTAATATGATTTGCAGAGGAAAAGAAGAGTGTAGGCCATTCTGGTGAGTCAATTAATTGTAAATAGATTTAAAAAGCTTCTGCTGCTTTCAGGTCTATAACTCTATCAAATCATTTAGGCTTTCTAAACCTCAATTTGCTCATTTTGAAAACTGGAGTCATTTCCCATGTTCATGCACCAGAATACTTAATATTGTAAGCTTGAATGTTCTCCCTAAATTGGTATGTAGATCTGCTGTCATCCCAATTACATGCCAGACCAGCATTTTTATAGAAAAATAATAGATAGAAAAAGGATCATAGAAAAGCTGATTTTAACATTTATATGAAAAGGCAAAGGACCTAAAATAGTCAAAACAATCTTGAGAAAGAGCAATGTTGGAGAACTCACACTACCTCACCTCAAGACTTATTACAAAGCTTTGGTAATCAAGACAATGTAGTATTGATAAGAAGACAGACAAACAGGTCAATGAGCTAGAATTGAGAGGCCAGAAATAGATCCATGCTTATAAAGCAAATTGTTTATGATAAAGGAACCAAAGCAATTTAAAAGCAAATAAAATACCTTTTAAAAATTGTACTGGAACAATTGGCTATTAAAAAATTTTTTCTTTAACTTAGACTCCTATTTGCACTTACACTCTATTTCACACCACACACAAGAACTAATTTTAAATGGCGGAAAGATCTGTGGATAGGAGTTTGAGAATCTTGAAAGATAGTCTATAGCAATAAGCATCTGCCCAAGATAGTCTATAGGAATAAGCATCTGCCTTCAGGCATTAGACCCTCACTTATCCTTAACTGGATCAGGATAACTTAGCTTAGGCTAGGACCTGGCCTTCAGCCCTTCCCCACTACTTATTAAAACATTTAAAGAGAAATCTAAATTAAAAATCCAAAATAATAATGCAATTTAAAACTACCTCAAAAAATCCAAAAATCTTTAAGATATACCATTTGAAACAAAAGTGTTAAAAGAGATAGAACAAGAATTTTATGTAAACATGATAAATATACTTAAAGAGATGTAACAAGCTATTAGTAATATGAAGAAGAATAAAAAATCATTAAAAATGAAAATATATGAGGTATAATAGCTGAAAAACTACACCAAAGGTGGGATAAAGAAAGGATAGAAACAGCTAAAGAATAAATTTGTGAATTAGAAAATCAGACAAAGAGGCAATCTCTCGGCAATCAGAAGAATAAAGAGATAGAAGATATACAAGTAAGCATATTCCTCTCTGTTCCCATTATGTAGTATCAACCCTCTCCCCTCAAGAAAAGCAGGTTACTTACCCCAACATTACTATAACTCCCTTCTGATCCACTGGCATGAGGAGTCCAAGATGGCCAGGTGGTAGACCCAGCTTCAAATTCAGTAGAATCCTCACTTTGCTGGTGGAGACATAGCCCTTACTGGGAACGATGTTCTCTAACCTAACAGAGCCTAAGGTTAGAAGACAGGAAGAACAAATTTCACAAATAGGTCACTGGGGATGATCATGTAGGGATCACTTCTATTTCCTTGGTTACCAGACCTGTTTTCTAACCATTAAGGATAGAGCATCATGTATCAGTCCTTATTTCAATGCATATACCCCAAAATTGAGGATCATGCTCTAACCTTCAGAATGTGTTCTCGGAGAGGGCCACTTAGCTGAGCCTTTAAGCCCATTGCATCATTCAGCTAGGCCAGCTGCTTCTGGGTGATGGGATATATGGTGGAACCAGTGAATCCTGTAATCATTGTTGTATGTCCTTTGCAGCAAAATTGGTCCCCTATTTGAGGAAATGTTGTGAGATCCCATATTGATAGATCAGGCATGCTGAAGTGTTGAATCATACTTGGTGTAGATGTAACCTCTGGTAAGGACAAATTGCTGCTGTTTTCCTCAATTGAGGGGTTAGCATCAGTCTCTGAGGCTGACATTCAGCACTGGCTAGATAAGCCCTTTGTGAACTGAATCCCATTCTGTTAGGTGTTTGCATACTTCTATTCCTGCCACCGTTGAATGCCAAATTGCACTGGTACTGCAATAACCAGGAAGAAATGTTGGCTGACATCCACAGGTTTACTCATCCTGTCCACCTGATGGTTGAGATCCCCTTCTGCAAAAGAGGCTTGCTGGGCATCACCACAAGACAGACAGATCTGCATGCTTGGTGCCCACCAACTATAGGGCCCACATATCTCTTTCCCCTGCCTCCTTGTCCTCACTCTTCCCATTCTGGTCCTTCCAGGCCCTGAACAAACTAGCCAAATCATTCGCCACTACCTATTGCTACCTAAGGTCACTTTTCCTTCCATACAAAGTGGACAATCAAGTGTGCTGCTCGAAGCTCTGCCCAAAGCTCTATATAGAGATTTTATACAAGTGATAAAGAAGATTATGGGAGGTAGCCTAAAACCCCTCCCAAGACAGTCCTGTGACCACCACTGTTCCTCTCTAAACTAATACTATTTCTTCAAAGCATTCATTAGTAGTGGAATCTCCTAAAAGAAAAAAGCCCATAGCAGCTTAGAGGGAAATGAAAATAGGGTGAACTGGGAAGGCAGAATGTTATTGAGCATTCAGACATTGGAGGGATAACTCTTCCCCAAACAAAAATGAGACCTTCAAAAAGCATCAATTTAGTGTTTGATTTAATACAATTTTCTTCCATTTGTAATGATTTCATGTGCATTTGTGTCATCTCTTTAAGCAGTGTTTCCATCCCTTTGGAGTCAGGAAGTATATCTTACTCCTCCCTGTATCCACCTTTCTCAGTTCCCATCACAGGGCTAGGATCACAGCAGCTACTCACCTTAGTATTAAATAGTTTGGAATTGACTGATCCTCACTTAGGCAGTCCAGGGCTCTCTCTCTCAATTCTGTCATGATCATGCTGCCTTGACTATTGATGCCCATGCTTCCTCCTATAAACCACCCTTCAAGGTTTTCAAATCCCTACTCATGAGTCTGTCTACCTTTTATTTCAATACTGAGCAGCCATCCTCAACCAAGGTCATTTTAATACCAAGGTCCATGTCCATCACAGGGGTGCCCATCTCTGGATGGCAACTCCAGTCTTGTTTGCTTGTCTCTCTCACACCATTTCTGTTTACTGACTGTTGAAGGAAGAGGCTGCGAGAGCTCCCTATCCCCACATGGCCTGATAATAGAAATGAGTTATTCCACTGGCTGTCAAAATACTAAATCTTCCCTTCATGGATCCAAAACTGGGCTTAGACACTCCTCTACTGTGCTCTCCACTGTTCAGATTCTACCATTGAGGACCTCCTGGAGAATCTGGAATCCCCAACTCTGACATGAAGTCCACAGACTACTTGTCAGTAACCCCCAGGGCATGGTTTCTATGGACCTAAGTTTGTGTCAGTCCGAAGATCAACTTTGTCCCCAGAATGTCTCTCTCGTGTTCCCCTCTGGGTCTTACTGAGATTAATGAGCAGTCCAGTTCTGCTATTTACTAGTTGAGTGATCTTCAGTGAGTTAATCTCTCTGGGATTTTCTTTCCTGAGCTGGCATAGGAAAAGACTCATTTGTATTTCACAGGGTTATGATAAGAACTAAGTGACATAAGGAGTATGTGTTGCTTTGCACAGTGTCTGCTATTTGGTTGCCACTAATTAATAAGCATTGTTATTATAATTCTAGTAATATTGTTATGTACTCCTTTCATACTATAATACCTTCACCACCCATACAGACCATTTTTCTGGCTTTAAAATTGTTTCTCTGCCACCCATCTCTTTTCTACTCTTCCTACTCCTACATACAGTTGTTTAGTGGAGTTGATTTGTTATCATTTTTTTCAATGAAATTATACTACACACTCTGGCAAGTTTTGAAATGCCCCTCCAACATTTTCCCTTGTCTTGCACACCATCCCCTTCACTATTCACTTTGTGATTAACAAAATATTACAAAAAAAGTATAGTATATGACAATGATGTCACCTCTCAAAATGACCAGAAAGTATACATTCATTCACACTAACATGTCTATTTTTTCTGACTCACAGGGCTGTGTTTTAATGACAGATTCATATCCCAAAATTGGGGTAACACCAAAAACACAACCTAATAAGCTATGCCACACAGTGCATTAGGAACAGGCTAATAGATGTTGCCAAGAAGAAACAAGAAGAGAAATGCTCACTGCCTCTCAATATGCAGTAAACAAAAAGCCAAAGTGCTTTACATTTTTCAGTAGAAAGGTCATAAGAATGGGTTAGCCTTGGTATGGTATGACAACTGGTAGTTCCTGCCAAAGGAGATAGTCAAAGAAGCAACGTTAATTTTAATATCAATTACAGATTGATATTAAATAAATGTCAAGGTGCTAAACTACTGTGCCACCTCGCACCACTTGTGATTCAGGAATTATGTTCGTGGCTCTGGTCATGACATGCCCCTCCTCAAGAACCTTCAACTGCCCCCCACTGCCCACAGGACTGACCCCAAATTCCTAAACCAGTTTTTCTAGGCCCTTCACAAGCACACCTGGGCCCTCTGACCAGGTGCATGTTCTTACAGTCTTCTCTGTTTCACGTGCTTCGTTGAAATCCCACCATCTTCCAAGGCTCTGCTTCAATACCAGACTCTCCATTCCTACCTCTGTGGTGGAATACCCATGTCTTCTTCAGTCAGAGCTAATTTCTCTGTCCCATGCACTTCTATATCACTTTTGTTTGTTCCTCTGTTGTAGAACTTACTCTATTTTTCCCTGATTTCAAATGTTTAGATATGCAGCTTTGGTTAAGCCACCAATTCTCACTGAGCATAGTGTGCGGCCATGAGAAATGAACTCAGTAATGCTGTTGACCATCTTCAAAATGGATTTCAAAAACCAGCAGCACAATATGAGTGTAAAATAGAATCATGACTCAATGATTACCCTGTGAATAAATGAACATTTCAGTGATTCCACAGATGATCATTCTCAGTTACATCACTTGGTTGAAACAGGCCAATGAGGCCTTAAAATGCCAGTTAACCCTGAATTGTATAATTCAAATCGATAAATTTATATTAAATGAATCACATTTCATTTTATGTTAAGCAAATCACGAATAAACCTGTTTTGTTTTTTTAAAAAATAACAGGTTAAAATCCCAGCTACTCGGGAGGCTGAGGCAGGAGAATCGCTTGAACCTGGGAGGCAGAGGTTGCAGTGAGCTGAGATCTCGCTACTGCAGTCCAGCCTGGGCAACAGAGGGAGACTCCATCTCAAAAATAAAATAAAATAAAATAACGGGTTAAATCAGCCTGTTATTTTAAAACAGCCCCATCACCATGACTAGAACAGCTAACTCTGGCCAAAGAACCCCAACATGTAGTATGTCCTAGCAAGAATAGATGAGTAGATCAGCATAAATCCATTCACACTGAATGGATTTTCCTACAAAATAGGGTTCTCATTAGAAAGCAGAGAAGTATATAGGTCAGGAGATTGCCCAAGCAAGGTGTGGGAGGATGGAGTCCTTTGTGGAATCAGACAACAGGTGTGGAGGAGTAAGGATGAAAGTGACTAGAAGAATAGCAAAGCTCTCAAGGATTTTATACATTACATGCATTTTCTAGATGAAAGGCTATTCAAAATTTTACAAAGGTCAAATCAGAGCACCTTCATAAGCCAGGTTCCTCTGTTGCCTATGACTTCGGACTTCCCTACAGTGATCTGCTGCTTAATGATGGGCAAAGAACAGGACTAGCTTTGAGCAAATTATGAGGGATGCCAGCTTAGAGTCTGCTCCCCTTCCTTTTTCTGTTTTCACTTTCCTCTAGAGCTGCCCCCTGTATTTACTAACCTTTGAAAGACAGAACCCACCTGCATTCTTCTAAGGGCTTTTCTCCCCAACCAATTATGCAAATTGGAGCGAATCAGACAACCTTAGTCACACACGTGTATATAAATAGCTAATAGAGGTGGTGCATATGACATCTCTCCTGAGAGAAAAGCCTTAAGGCTAAGAGATTAATTTCCAATTATGAAATTGCAACCATCCAGGAATTGGGCAGGGAGAACTCTCCCATGACATCCCCCGCCCCTTCCCTGCCAAGAACACCTTAAAGGCATAAAGCACTTGCTGCCTGCTTGGCCTGTTCATAAAGATTCACACTTACCAAAGAATTCCTTGGTGCAACCTCAAGCTACAAAATTGTTGCAAAGAATATTTACATTTACATTTTAAGTGCAAATACCTAGAGTGGAAAAATGTATTTTTGATCTGGATAGAGGACAATATTTTTAGGTCCTCCCCCACTGCTAGTAAATTTACAGAATTACAATACCCATAAGGAGCCAATAAGTTTTTAAATAGTGATGTTAAACTAAGTATGTTCAGGCATCTAAGGGGTGTTATGTGCTTTACAAAGAACTGAGAATGTGGTTTTAACAAAATGTTTTCACCCCATATACCACAAACACATGTGCAGTTTCGTATTTGGCTCCTGAGAATATGTCTTACAAAATAGGCCTCAAACCAACACCAAAAGATGACTATCTCTCCTGCTATATGACTGCATCCTGCACTGAGTTAGTTATTCAACAAATGACATTCAGTTATGGCCTAGAAAATATTTGTAGTAGAGACGGGGTTTTACCATGTTGGCCAGGCTGGTCTCGAACTCCTGACTTTGTGATTCGCAAAATATAAAAATTTAGCCTGGTGTGGTGGCGCGTGTCCGTAATCCCAGCTACTCGGGAGGTTGAGGCAGGAGAATTGCTTGAATCTGGGAGGCAGAGGTTGCAGTGAGCCAAGATCACACCACGGCACTCCAGCCTGGGCGACAGAGCAAGACTCTATCCCAAAAAAAAAAAAAAAGAAAAGAAAAAGAAAAAGAAAGAAAGAAAGAAAAGAAAAAGAAAATAATTGTTTAGCCTTGTTTTGGTTTTACTTCATAGTTTCCTGACTTCATTCATGAGGGAAAAGGAATGACACCCAGCAGAGCAGGCCCCGTGGAGCTCCTGCACTTGCAAGCACTCACACCCTGCAGGAAGAACTGGTATACACCCGTACACACAGGAAAGGCCACTGAGAGTCAAACACCACCAGCACCAATTTGTGAACTTTGGTGAGGTGTGAGGTATTATCGCAGGGTAGGGTTTATTTATTGTTGCTGCTGTTTACTGAGGTATAATTTCCACACAGTAAAATTAAACATTTTTAGGCACATAGTTCTCTGAATATTGACAAACTTAGTGATGTGACTACAAAAGCAATCAAAATTCTATCACATAAAAAAATTCTTTGTGCCCCTTTCTAGCCAATCCCCTCCCCTCACCCCTAGTCCTTGGCAAATGCTGATTTGGTTTCTATTTCCATTGTTGCCCTTTCTAGAATATCATATAAACAGAATCACACAGTGTATGGCCATTTGTGTCTGGCTTCGTTCACCTAGAAAAACGCTTTTGAGATTCATCCATGTTGTTGCATGCATGAGTTCTGTATTCCTTCTTACTGCCAAACAGTACTGCATTTACGGACACACTACAATTTGTTTATTCACTAGTTGAGGGACATTTGGATGGTTTCTAGCTTTACATGATTATGAATAAAGCTGCTGTAAAAAGTTGTTGACCGGTTTTTCAGTGGACGTCTGTCTTCATTTCTCTTAGATAAATACTCAGGAGTGAGATTCCTGGGTTGTATGTCACGTGTATATTTAACTTTATAAGAAACTTCAAAACTGACTTCCATAGTGGAAGTCCATTCCCACCAGCAGTGTATGATAGTCCAGCAATATATTATAGCTCTGAATCCTTGTCAGTATCAGATGTTGTCAGTTACCTTGATTTGAGCCATTTTATTAGTAATCCATCAACTTTTGATCTAGGCTGGGCCATAAAATTAAACTTTCTGCTAGCTATATATACTGGGTTGAATAAGTGTCCTTCCGAAATACACATTCACCCGGAACCTCAGAATGTGACCTTATTTGGAAGTAGGATCTTTGCATATGTAATTAAATTTAGATGAAGCCATACTGGGCTGAAGAGGGCCTTAATCCCAATGACTGGTGTTCTTATAAGAAGGCCACGTGACACAGGGACACACAGAGTAGAGCATCCTGTGACAGGAGAGGCAGAGATTGGAGCTAGGCTGCAGCAAGCCAAGGAATACCAGAATCCCCAGCAGCTGTTAGGGCCAAGCAAGGATTCTTCTCAGAGTCTCGGAGAGAGCATGGCCCTGAATACATCTTGATTTCAGACTTCTGACCTCCAGAACTATGTGAGAATACATTTCTGTTTGTCGTAAGTCACCCAGTTTGTGATAATTTGTTAAGGCAGTCCTAGAACTAAAACACTATGAATACAATTTACAGAATACAACAATACAAATAGGTTTATATTTGACTTATATAAAGCTTTCTGAGGATAAAAGCATAATAATTGCTTCTACAAAATTCATTCTAATTAGTTCAAGCATATCACTAGAAGCCTAATTTATTAATATGCATAAAAATTCTTGGGCTAAGTTTTTGACTATTCTATAATTCAACATTTCACTCATTGGACTGAACTTCTGCTAATGAGTCAAGATTAGTGAAGACCACTGTTTATCATGAATTAAGAGCAGTGCAGAAGCAGAATCCCAGTGGTTCCTATCTATGGCCATTGAATATGTGAGACCCACATTTTGCAGAATGTTCTACAAAGGATTAAAAGATGAACTTTCTTTTAGTTTAGTCATTTGTGGTATAATGTACTGGAATGCACCTTTAAAATTTTTTAATTGTAAAATTATGTGTTTATTTTTCCTATCATGAAGTCTAGTTCTGAAAAACAAGACTTCTGTGGTAGAGCCAGTTCTGGTTGTTTCTTAAAGAACAGATCCCTTTTCAGTTTTAGCACAAAGCTCTTCCAGCCCCTGACGAAGAAAATTGTCCCTCTCTCAACCTGTATTAGACTTCCTTGGGGAGGCAGAGGGATCTCCCTCCCCACCTGACCCCAAAACCTTTGAAAGAAAGAAGTTGGTTATTCTGTTACACTATTATTCAATTAGAATTCCACTAATTTAATAACAGAGAATAAAAGAATAGTTACAGTCAATAGCAGGTTGTGGTTTCTGCTGCTAAAACTTTCTGAAAACCTATTGCAAATAGACAGATACTGAGGCAACAATAAGACAGGAGGGCAGGTGCAGATGTGGGAGCAGGAATCTCATGTTTTACATTCATTCCTCTATACTATGTAAACCAGACTTTCTCCCCATGAACAACATAAGGTAATAGCAAGCCTATCAGGTGAACATTAGATATCATTATATGGACTTCTGGGAGGAATCTGGCAGTCTTATGAGCACTTTTCTGTGTTGTGCACTGTGGTTACCAGCTGTACCATGCCTATTTCACAGGAATAGCTGGTGAATATAATCATAACTTCCATAAAATTTGCAGAGCAAAGCAGGTTGTCATCCAAACAGAGTCCAACAATGTTCAGTGATCCGAACAAAAGTCAGGCCCATTTTCACCACTCCTGCTCTCTGATAAGCGTACATTGTCCTTTGAGTGTTTTGGGAGAGCACAGAGTTGACCTATTCTGGGGGACAAGGACTTACAAGATTGGACCACTCTGTTCCAAGTTTGGGCAATTTCAAAGGACAGGGCTTTGGGGAATTGGAACAACTTGTTCAACTTCATTGTGTTTGGGTCTCACTAAACATAGAAACCAGCCTCCCTCTTAATCCCCATCCCACGTGTTGAAAACCATAAACTCAAGTTACCACGAATAAAAGGCCATGGAAGAGTGCCCAGATGCCCTTCGGGATGGGATGACCCAGTTAGGAGGTAACAATGTTTGGGGTTGAGATTGTCCCTCTATTAGAAGCAGACAGAGAAAAAGCTATGACCAAAATGTTTGCATGGCTTAATTAAATATCAACAGATATCTCTATTCACTTTAAAGCTCCAGCACACCAGACAAGGGATCCGAGCTCCGGGCAGGAGCCAAAACCACCATTGCAGATATGCTCCCAGTTTTACCAGCTAATTAGATGTTAAACTTACATTGTAACAATCAACCTGATATTATTGCCTACTGCAGATAGAACTAGAATTCTAATTAGGTCAGAATTCTAGCTGGGATTGTGTAGATGGACAAATTCTTTCAGGGTAGTTTGATATCACTGCTATAATTTATGGTAAAGACAGTTGGGATCATACTGGCAAACTAAGTACCTGCCTACACTCCCTCAGGCCTAAAAATGCCATTGATTATCCCAAAAAAACTGAGAAAATAATCCACTACAGTACGGAAAAAGACAAAATAGGGGCACTAACACACAAGAAGCACTGAAGGCTTTCTGAAAGAGTAATCAGGCCTGATGTTTGTAGTTTTAATGTTTACTTTGCAAACAAAGGTAGAAACAGAGTCTGGAGCTCGGATGCCACCACCAGAGAGGGTGGCTGTTCAGCCTCTCTCCTGTGCAAATTAACCTAATTCTGAACCTGTCTTGGTTTAATTCGCACAATTTCAGGTGCCATGCTAGGTACACCACAAATATACCTCAGGGACCTCAATTGCAAAAACCTGGACTGCAAACGTTGGGGCTGCAGAGTTGACTAGGTTAATAAATTCTTTCTGAGGTAAAGCAGATAACACCCACTAATAAAAAGAATGAAACTTCATCGTCCCATTGGCATCCTCGGGTGTGCAGGTGTTCCTCAGAGCAAAGCCCATGGTGTGCCCCATCGCCAATTCGTGACAAGGCAGGGGGCGGGGGGCGGGGGAAGGAAAAAAGCCTGGGATAAGAAATCAGAGAATACAAGTCGCTTTTAAACAAAAAACAGTGACTGTTAGAGTACACCCACCATTGGGGTAACACGCAATAATCTCTCAGCATCACTGACTCCAGCACAGCTGGTCCCCTGGAAAAGGCACGTTGCCGGAAGGTTTTGTGTGTGACCAAGCAATTGGCCATCCCACGCCTTCGCCCTACCAGATGGGTCCCTGCCCCCGGGAGTCCCCTCCCCCTCCACCCTCCAAACCCAGGCAGCGCCCGCCCCTGCCCCCGCTGATTGACAGGCCGTGCAGCTACTCCTGGGAGCCTGGCTTTCGGGGGCAACCCAGGCAGAAGTGACTATCTCTGCAGCAGCCAATAGAAGCCAGGAGGCGGGGCGGGGAAGCGGCGCGGTCAGGTGCTCCGCTCCAGAGTTGAGCGCAGGTGAGCTCCTGCGCGTTCCGGGGGCGTTCCTCCAGTCACCCTCCCGCCGTTACCCGCGGCGCGCCCGAGGGAGTCTCCTCCAGACCCTCCCTCCCGTTGCTCCAAACTAATACGGACTGAACGGATCGCTGCGAGGGTGAGTCCAGGGGCGTGGGTGGCTTCCCTCCCGGGAACCCACACTGCTCCTCTGGGTCCCTAAAGCAACGTCCCCTCCTTGCCACTGCACATCTAAGAAGCCCAGGCCTCGGTGGGCGGGATGACTGGGAATTGGGAACATAACCTACGCCGCGACCATTCTGGGTGGCTAGGATGGAATCCTGGTGGAGAAGATGGACACCCCCGCCCTTGACGTCTACCCGAGCTACACAAACCTACTCCTTCTGCACTTTCCCTCTTCCGTTTAATCGGTGCCCCGTCCTTCCTGCTCTCCAAGTCTGTTTGTGGAGGAAGGGTTGGAGGGGAGAAAGAACTGGAAAGTACTCAATGAAATGTGGAGCCAGATCCAGGGATTCCACTGTTTTGTGCAGCATTTTGTGCACGAAAAAAAAAAAAATTCTGATTGTTTTCATTCCCCACCCCCCACCTCTGTTTATTGCTCTGTGTCATGGATGTGATGTTGAGTCTTCTTGCCAAACATTCCTAAGCTTTAGACAACACTTAATCTTTGCTTACTTTTGTTGGTCCCAAGAAAGCAGTTTTCTCCTGCTTACACATGTGCCGAATTAATTTGCTAAGATAGATGAAAATGAGGTGTTCCATGTAGTTTATTTCCTCTGCTTTTAGCCTTAAATTACATTTGGTTGATACTAGCCTTCCTTGTTTTAAAAAGGTGGGAGAGAAAATTAGGGGGAGAAAGGACAGAGAGAGCAACTACCATCCATAGCCAGATAGGTGAGTAAATATATTTGCAGTAACCTATTTGCTATTCCTTGCTGCAACTGTGTTTAATGTTCCTTCCAGAATCAGAGAGAGTATTGCCATCCAAGAAATCGTTTTTAAATATGACATTTGAGCTATCATCTTGAGACCAATACCTAAAACAATTTCAGTTTAAGAAATGTCTAGGTATGGTGAAAACACAGTTTAAAACCAGCAAAACAGAATTTATTGCCCTCAGCGAATACCCACAATGTACATATACCTTGTATTTCTGAAAGCAAAGCAAGCATGCCAAGTAGTTTTTATTTACCTGTACCTATAATACAGCAAGGTGAAACAGGATATATTTTTGAAGTTTAAAAATGTCTTCAGGCCGGCTGCGGTGGCTCATGCCTGTAATCCCAGCACTTTGGGGAGCCGAGAAGGGTGAATCACCTGAGGTCAGCAGTTTTGAGACCAGGCTGGCCAACATGGCGAAACCCTGTCTCTACTGAAAATACAAAAATTAGCTGGGTGTGGTGGCGGGCGCCTGTAGTCCCAGCTACTTGGGAGACTGAGGCAGGAGAATTGCTTGAACACGGAAGGCGGAAGTTGCAGTAAGCTGAGATCGTGCCACCGCACACCAGCTTGGGCAACAGAGTGAGACTCCCTCTCAAAAAAAAAAAAAAAAGAAGTCTTCAGCTTAGGAAGATATCAAAAGGCAGTTTCAAGAGATTTATTTGTACAAGTGTGGTTTGATCTAAGTTTTGGTGGGTTTATAAATACCTTCATGCAGGAATGGGTAGAAAAATGAGAGAACAAAAGATCCCTGCTGGATGTGCACGCCTGATGAAAACTGACAAAATTTACATATCTATTGTTTATCCATACAGCGTCTTATTAGCTTTCTTCAATAGAATGAAAGTATTTTAGAAATATACACAGATTAGGGGAAAAGACCAGCAACCTTGATTCACAGAGCTTTAAACCAGGGAAGTGCTTTTACTACACCTATCAATGATAAGATTAAATTTTGACAAATTTTAACATTAGGAAAGTCAACAACAAATTTCAGAATTATATTTCTGTTAATATTTAGTTTAGAATCTAATTATTTAGTTCAACGAATGCTGTGATTTGATTATTAATAAATGAATGCAGATTACTTTTCAATAAATATATCTGGATGTCACAAATGTTATTTCACTTCAAGAAACCAAATTCATCTATTTTCCTCTCTCTTTAGTAATACATCTTTTGTCTGTGATTAACCAAACATAGGGGTTGAAAATAGAAGTGTGCATATACATATATATATAATATATATGTATATGCACCATTATTCGATTTGCTAATGATACTTCATTGTTGCTAGGTTGCCATAGTTGCTCTAGCCATAATGTTAAGGATGTTCACAGGTATTTGACTATAAAAAAGTTTCTGACCAGAAGTCAAAAGTCTGGATCAACCTGAAAATGTTTCTAAAAGTTTTATGTAAATGATGTCATATTTTAAAATGCTGTTGAAGAGCTCACTTAAATAATTCCTTTGAGGGATATTTAGATAAATTCTCAGAAGTGAAAAAGTTGTTTAAATGCAGCTAAACTTATTAGCTTTATTATTCATTTAGCCCCAGGTCTCTTATCTAATACGGAGTTCTGTGACATAATTCTTCCAGGCTGTGATTTATGAATATAACTAGGATTGCTAAGCACTGTTACTCTGAGTTTGGGGTAAAGTATACAAAACAAAATTATTGCCTTTAATTTCTATATGTTTATTCTACAGATTATCTTACACTGAACTGATCAAGTACTTTGAAAATGACTTCGAAATTTCTCTTGGTGTCCTTCATACTTGCTGCACTGAGTCTTTCAACCACCTTTTCTCTCCAACCAGACCAGCAAAAGGTTCTACTAGTTTCTTTTGATGGATTCCGTTGGGATTACTTATATAAAGTTCCAACGCCCCATTTTCATTATATTATGAAATATGGTGTTCACGTGAAGCAAGTTACTAATGTTTTTATTACAAAAACCTACCCTAACCATTATACTTTGGTAACTGGCCTCTTTGCAGAGAATCATGGGATTGTTGCAAATGATATGTTTGATCCTATTCGGAACAAATCTTTCTCCTTGGATCACATGAATATTTATGATTCCAAGTTTTGGGAAGAAGCGACACCAATATGGATCACAAACCAGAGGGCAGGACATACTAGTGGTGCAGCCATGTGGCCCGGAACAGATGTAAAAATACATAAGCGCTTTCCTACTCATTACATGCCTTACAATGAGTCAGTTTCATTTGAAGATAGAGTTGCCAAAATTATTGAATGGTTTACGTCAAAAGAGCCCATAAATCTTGGTCTTCTCTATTGGGAAGACCCTGATGACATGGGCCACCATTTGGGACCTGACAGTCCGCTCATGGGGCCTGTCATTTCAGATATTGACAAGAAGTTAGGATATCTCATACAAATGCTGAAAAAGGCAAAGTTGTGGAACACTCTGAACCTAATCATCACAAGTGATCATGGAATGACGCAGTGCTCTGAGGAAAGGTTAATAGAACTTGACCAGTACCTGGATAAAGACCACTATACCCTGATTGATCAATCTCCAGTAGCAGCCATCTTGCCAAAAGAAGGTAAGGCTGACTGAATGAATGGTGAGCTGAGACTAGATGTGCATTTGCCCAGTGTGATCAAATGAACAGGGATTTCTGTTGCTGCGCCTTTAAAGTAGACTTTGCCTGTGTCATGGTAATATTCTGGGATTTAATCCTCAGACTCTGAAAAGACAAAATCTCTTTTTTCAAAGCCTAATTTTTTTTTCCTTTTTCCTAGAATACTGAAATTGATGTGCTCTATGTATGTATGGCAGTAGGTTTTAACCATTTTGGATCCATAGAATATTATGAAAGCTATAGCCTCCCTTCTCAGAAAAATTGAGATGGAAAGATACATACAAAACTTGAATGCATGTACAGTTATTTCATAGAAGCCCCAAAGCCTTTTATAGGTTCCTAATTTGGACCTGCTTAACAAGGAAGCTGTGGAAGATAAGAAGGAGAAAGAGCTTTGGTCAATCTGAGGTTTATTTTCCTTATAAATGTGGAAAGTAATAACAATACCTTAAACTTTTTACAAACCTCTCCTGGAATCCTTATACCAAACCTGTCACCTCAGTATTGTCTCCATTTTAAAGAGAAGTAAATGACAGGTAAGTGACCTCAAAAGGTTTAACATCCTGAGGTCACAAAATAAGTGACAACATGACTCAGACATGCTCTTTGACATATTTTATCACTTTGCAGGGTTGGTCTTAGGTATCAAATGAGAGAACAGATTTTGAAAAGCTATAATATTTCACAAATGAGAATTCCATCCCTCAGAGGGGAATTAGAATCATATGAAACAGCGAATGTTAAAATATGTGTGTGTTTTACACACACAGTTTTCAGCAAACAGCACTTTTTTTCTGGTTTAAGAAAATTAGCTAGGAGTGGTTGCTCACGCCTATAATCTCAGCACTTTGGGAGGCTGAGGCAGCAGGGTCACTTGAGGCCAGGAGTTTGAGGCCAGCCTGGGCAACATAGCAAGACTCTGTTGCTAAAAAAAAAAAAAAAAAAAATAGCCTGGTGTGGTGACACATGCCTGTGTCCCAGGCTGAGGTGGAAGGGTTGCTTGAGCCCAGGAGTTCTAGGTTACAGTGAGCTATGATCATATCACTGCACTCCTCCTTGGGCGACAGGGAGACACAGTCGAAAGAAAAAAAAGAAAGAAAAAGAGAGACTGAGGGGGAAAGAGAGAGAGAGAGGGAGGGAAGAGAAGGGGGTGAAAGAGAGAGAGAGGAGGGAGGGAAGGAGGAAGGGAAGAGGGAAGGGAAGAGGAAATGGAAGGGGAGAAAATTACATTAACCCTTCGATTTCCTTTATAAAATTGGAATGATGTCCTCTTGTTGCGGTGCAGAAGATAAGGATGCAACCTCAGCAATGGATTTGAAAAACAGGAGGATGAAAGACAGTGCCTGGGTAACCGCATTTGTAGTTATAGGGAGTACTTTGGCAACACCTCCAGTGTTTTCAGATGTTTCCATTTTACAAACTGCTTTCCACCTCCAGCCTCTTTTCCCAGCCCTCACCCACCCCTCACCATGTTTTCTTGTCTGGAGATTCTTCGTGTCTGCACTCACAACTACCAGAACCTAGCCATTTTTATTTGGGTATTGCAGTACCCTAGACATTTTACATAGTGTCACTAATTAATATGTGTGTGTATTGAAGTCTTTAGAGGTTTCTGGTTCTATAAAATGCCCTTCCTTAATTCTATAAGGTGAACTTACAACAGAAGATTATTTCCTAGTTTCCCCTCCCAAAATTGTTTTCCCCAAGGGGAAAAAGAATTTTTTCTTATGTTCAGCTCTCTGGTTTTTCACCTCCGTAGCAAGTCTGTTGCCCATGGCTGATGGTAGCTATGAGTATTTTGTTCTGAGTGCCTCTCCTCCCTTCTCTTTAGGTAAATTTGATGAAGTCTATGAAGCACTAACTCACGCTCATCCTAATCTTACTGTTTACAAAAAAGAAGACGTTCCAGAAAGGTGGCATTACAAATACAACAGTCGAATTCAACCAATCATAGCAGTGGCTGATGAAGGGTGGCACATTTTACAGAATAAGTCAGATGACTTTCTGTGTGAGTATGTTACAGTATTTCTTTCCATTCTGCATTACTTTTTGCTAAAATACAACAGTTTAAATACATAATACAGCAGTTTATTGATTGATATTTTTACTGTCTGTTACTTGAATATTAAGGAACTACAATGTTTTCGTACTTATCTAAAAATGCTTTTTTTAGATATTGGTCCTTGATATGTAAAAGATATATACAAAATGTCCCTTTAGGTAGAATTGGGTTTCTATCATGTTTATTGATTAAAAGAAAAGCAGATGCCTGAACAATGGCATTTGTAGTGTGCTCGTGACTCATAGTGGCAGATGTATACAGATACATGGTTTCTGGTTCTTAAAACGGTTTTTGGCCAGGTGCGGTGGCTCTCGCCTGTAATCCCAGCACTTTGGGAGGCTGAGGCGGGTGGATCACGAGGTCAGGAGATCGAGACCATCCTGGCTAACAGGGTGAAACCCCGTCTCTACTAAAAAAATACAAAAAATTAGCCTGGCATGGTGGTGGGCGCCTGTAGTCCCAGCTACTCGGGAGGCTGAGGCAGGAGAATGGCGTGAACCTGGGAGGCGGAGCTTGCAGTGAGCCGAGATCGTGCCACTGCACTCCAGCCTGGGCGACAGAGCAAGACTCTGTCTCAAAAAAAAAAAAAGCAAAAAAAAAAAAATAAACAGTTTTTACATACAGATAATGATCCATAAACCAATGTTCATATTTTTATGTCTTGTGCAGGTAGCTCTTATGTTAGAGGGCTTGCTCAACAAAGGACTGCTATCTTTGGCAAGATTTGTATTTTAAAGTTAATATAAATTCAAAGGGCCCTCTAGAAATGGTTTGCTGAACTACAGTTACACAATAGATTGGTCACCTCTATTTTTGATAGAAAACCTTAATAATACTCAATTTATATTATGTTTAATGATTCAATAATTAATTAAAGATTGACCACTGTATACCTAAGCCAGAATAGTTAAGCCCTAATGCCCCAAAGCAGTGGCTCTCAAAGTGTGTTCCCTGGCCCACCAGCATCCACATCAGCTGAGAGCTTGTTAGAAATGCAAATTATTGGCTGCATAAATGTCTTCTTTTGAGAAGTGTCTGTTCATGTCCTTCGCCCACTTTTTGATGGGGTTGTTTGTTTTTTTCTTGTAAATTTGTTTGCGTTCATTGTAGATTCTGGATATTAGCCCTTTGTCAGATGAGTAGGTTGCGAAAATTTTCTCCCATTTTATAGGTTGCCTGTTCACTCTGATGGTAGTTTCTTTTGCTGTGCAGAAGCTCTTTAGTTTAATTAGATCCCATTTGTCAATTTTGGCTTTTGTTGCCATTGCTTTTGGTGTTTTAGACATGAAGTCCTTGTCCATGCCTATGTCCTGAATGGTAATGCCTAGGTTTTCTTCTAGGGTTTTTATGGTTTTAGGTCTAGCGTTTAAGTCTTTAATCCATCTTGAATTGATTTTTGTATAAGGTGTAAGGAAGGGATCCAGTTTCAGCTTTCTACATATGGCTAGCCAGTTTTCCCATCACCATTTATTAAATAGGGAATCCTTTCCCCATTTCTTGTTTTTCTCAGGTTTGTCAAAAAAACACATGAAAAAATGCTCATCATCACTGGCCATCAGAGAAGTGCAAATCAAAACCACAATGAGATACCATCTCACACCAGTTAGAATTGCAATCATTAAAAAGTCAGGAAACAACAGGTGCTGGAGAGGATGTGGAGAAATAGGAACACTTTTACACTGTTGGTGGGACTGTAAACTAGTTCAACCATTGTGGAAGTCAGTGTGGCGATTCCTCAGGGATCTAGAACTGGAAATACCATTTGACTCAGCCATCCCATTACTGGGTATACATGCCCTACAAAGGACATGGATGAAATTGGAAATCATCATTCTCAGTAAACTATCGCAAGAACAAAAAACCAAACACTGCATATTCTCACTCATAGGTGGGAATTGAACAATGAGATCACATGGACACAGGAAGGGGAATATCACACTCTGGGGACTGTTGTGGGGTGGGGGGAGGGGGGAGGGATAGCATTGGGAGATATACCTAATGCTAGATGACGAGTTAGTGGGTGCAGCGCACCAGCATGGCACATGTATATATATGTAACTAACCTGCATAATGTGCACATGTACCCTAAAACTTAAAGTATAATAAAAAAAAAAAAGAAATGCAAATTATTGGGCCCAAAACAGACCTACTGAATTTGAAACTGTGAGGCCCTGGTGAAACACACAAAAGTTTGAGAACCATTGCCCTTAGGCATACTTTATAAATACCATCTACTTGATCAAGCATTTATGATCGGGGCTACCACTACAAAACAAAGTCCCTATTCATAGGAAAGCTTTTACATAAGTCACAATGACTTAATTTTAAGTCTGAATTTCTAGTAAGAAGTGTGATATAAGATAATTATCTTTGCCTTCATGAGTGAGAGTCTAGGTCCCAACTTCTCATAGAAATGAACACAGCAATCATCCAGTCAATTACAAAGTATATAATGATATATTCCCAGTGCGACTATCAATTAATGAAATAGCATAGTACCCTGTCAGATAATTACTAGTGATTCATAATTTCAGTGCTATTTTTACTTAAATAAACCTAAAAGAATCATGGCATCTAGAATGACTTCTTTAGATACGCTTTTCCTGGTAGATTTCAAATTACTTTGAAATGACTAGGGGTCAGTTTATGACTTTTCGAAAAACTGATTTAGGATTTTTTCGAGGTGGATGGGGCAGGGAGCGTTCCTATTGCATAGTTCCCTGAAGCAAGTATAAGTATTAGAGATGGATTTACTAGTCATTCTCCTTGCCACCTTTAAGATAAAGCCTGTCAGTTTTGCTTGGGTGCCATCTTATCAGCAGTAGCTCCTTTGCCTTGTACCTTGATACCATGCTAAGCACACATGACTTTGAAATCCAGCTATTATCAATTTCGTATCCATTTTATGTCACTTGACACATGTGTCAGAAGACCCCCAAGTTTTTACCTTATTTGTAGCCACACTAAAAGCACATAATGCTAAGTTGGATCCTGATTAGAGCTACCAAAATCAGGAGTTTCCTACTCTCCTCCACTCTGACCTTTGTTTTTTAGTAGTAGATTATAGCTGTAAGTACAGGTTTGATTTTTATGGTTTCTTTTGCTTTTCTTTATGTATCGTATTTTCCCTTTTATTGGTAACTATGAGTTTATTGGCTTCAGATTAAGACTAAGAGCACCTTTATCTCTTTATCTTTAGAATAATAATTGGAACATAGTAGGTACCCCATAAGTATTTGCTGAATATTACTTTGCCACCAGTAAAAAACAAAAACAAAACAAACAAACAAACAAAAACTCTAATTTTTCCCTAACTTGGCTCTGCTTTGTTCTTTACCCTTCTTCCCCTGCTGCTTAAGCCACTGTTGGCCTGTAAGAAAGATTCACAACCATTTGACTCTTCAATTCCTGAAGAGAATTGTGATGTGGACAACAGCAGAGATTGTTTGTCAAAGATTGTTTTATGTTTACAGTCAAACTAGATAAGATGTGCATTTAAGTTCAGAATTTGACCATACAACAATTATGTCCATTTTAATGCATAGTTGGCTAACTTTTTCACATATTTTCTCTTTACAGTAGGCAACCACGGTTACGATAATGCGTTAGCAGATATGCATCCAATATTTTTAGCCCATGGTCCTGCCTTCAGAAAGAATTTCTCAAAAGAAGCCATGAACTCCACAGATTTGTACCCACTACTATGCCACCTCCTCAATATCACCGCCATGCCACACAATGGATCATTCTGGAATGTCCAGGATCTGCTCAATTCAGCAATGCCAAGGGTGGTCCCTTATACACAGAGTACTATACTCCTCCCTGGTAGTGTTAAACCAGCAGAATATGACCAAGAGGGGTCATACCCTTATTTCATAGGGGTCTCTCTTGGCAGCATTATAGTGATTGTATTTTTTGTAATTTTCATTAAGCATTTAATTCACAGTCAAATACCTGCCTTACAAGATATGCATGCTGAAATAGCTCAACCATTATTACAAGCCTAATGTTACTTTGAAGTGGATTTGCATATTGAAGTGGAGATTCCATAATTATGTCAGTGTTTAAAGGTTTCAAATTCTGGGAAACCAGTTCCAAACATTTGCAGAAACCATTAAGCAGTTACATATTTAGGTATACACACACACACACACACACATACACACACACGGACCAAAATACTTACACCTGCAAAGGAATAAAGATGTGAGAGTATGTCTCCATTGTTCACTGTAGCATAGGGATAGATAAGATCCTGCTTTATTTGGACTTGGCGCAGATAATGTATATATTTAGCAACTTTGCACTATGTAAAGTACCTTATGTATTGCACTTTAAATTTCTCTCCTGATGGGTACTTTAATTTGAAATGCACTTTATGCACAGTTATGTCTTATAACTTGATTGAAAATGACAACTTTTTGCACCCATGTCACAGAATACTTGTTACGCATTGTTCAAACTGAAGGAAATTTCTAATAATCCCGAATAATGAACGTAGAAATCTATCTCCATAAATTGAGAGAAGAAGAAGGTGATAAGTGTTGAAAATTAAATGTGATAACCTTTGAACCTTGAATTTTGGAGATGTATTCCCAACAGCAGAATGCAACTGTGGGCATTTCTTGTCTTATTTCTTTCCAGAGAACGTGGTTTTCATTTATTTTTCCCTCAAAAGAGAGTCAAATACTGACAGATTCGTTCTAAATATATTGTTTCTGTCATAAAATTATTGTGATTTCCTGATGAGTCATATTACTGTGATTTTCATAATAATGAAGACACCATGAATATACTTTTTTTCTATATAGTTCAGCAATGGCCTGAATAGAAGCAACCAGGCACCATCTCAGCAATGTTTTCTCTTGTTTGTAATTATTTGCTCCTTTGAAAATTAAATCACTATTAATTACATTAAAAATCAAATTGGATAAAACAATGTTTTCTTTCTGGTAGCGCATAATAACAGAGCACAAGCATCTTTTAGATTTGAGCATTTGAAGATTCAAAGTTGCGAAAGAGCACAAACCATATTAGGTAAAATATTGGCCACTCGATCCTTGAAAAGAACTGTGTGGAGCCTGGAAAAAAAAATTAGGACCACATGTGAGATGTTTACAAGACACCCAGAACAGTGGTAAAGTGTGCATACTAGAAAAAGCAGCAAAATAACTCTTTGTGGTAACAGGTATCAAAACACGGGAGCCGAGATGATATAGCTCTGTTTCAAGAAATATGTGAATACCCACCTACCAGGTGCTCAGTGGAATCAAAGATGAATCCAAGTTCACAAATAGACTTCTACTTCCAAGGTAGTACTTTTGACCTGCCTGGTCATCTCAGTCTTTTCCATTCCAACAACCTAAGGCTGTGCTTTAGATTTCTAAGTAATCAAGAAGTTTGGGAGAGGCATAGTATTACATGTGGCTTCTTAGAGGAAAGAGGAAGCCCTGAAAAGAAAGACTTTCCTTGAAGAAAATAGCATTTTACAGACACATGGATAGTACTGTGATTTCATGTATATATATGTACCAATTGGCTAATGAGTAGGTAAAATTGTATTACTATTCCAGAAAGAAAGGACAAATGGGATGTGAAGAACTAAAGTGACATAGTTAAAAATTTAACCAAATTTAAGTGCTTCCTAAAATTTGGTGAATGTCTTATTTTTTAAAATGATAATACCAATAAGGAATGTTGGCACATAATTCCCATTTCATTATAAAACCTCTTAATAGAATAGAATCAAATAATTGGAAATGGCCTATAGATTAAAAAGCTGAGAAAGTATATGGTAGGTAGCAAACTCCCCAGAAGTATGAACTCTGGATTAGACATCTCAGAATACATGAGCACTCATGTTGGCTTGCTTTGTAGCTATGAACTTACCCTGTATTATTGAAATGTCAGCATAATGACTGGAAGGTGAAATTGGTCCATTTTAGAGCATTACTATTATGCTATCTGTCCATTTAAATTAATAATTGCATTAAATTCATTTTAGAAGGTGCTATTACATTAGTAGTAAGAAAGTAAATTCATATATAAATATTTGATTATCAGATGGTTTACTTACAGATACTTATTTTCCTGTAAAATAGGAGAGTTTACCTGAAGAAAAATAAAACTTTTAACTTTTCTGGGAAAATCACATCACTTATCATCATTGACATCTTTTTGTTGTTGTTTTGTCTTACCTGCATGTCTTCATGGTCAAGCTTTGTATGCAGTGAACTCAAATTAGTACATGGAAATAAAAGACTAGCTAATCTTACTAATTGTAAGAATTTTAGAAAGGTCAGAGGAATGGAGCTTCTCTCTGTGCCCCCATCTTTTCTCAACATCCTCCTACATGAGCCATTTTGTAAAGTTTATTAATTGTTAGGATTTTTTAAAATTCAGTTTGTATTTTACAATTTCTTCTCCATCACCTGCAGTTTAAGTTTAAATTGCTTTTCAAAATGCCCTGTGATCTTGTAAGTATCCTATTATTAGTCTTAGTTTCTTACAAGAACCTCTTATTTCTAGAAAATCTAATGAAAGACCCCAGCTCTTCTAGTTCTCACATTTTTTTTTTCTGTTTTTCGTTAGCTGAAAAACATACTTGATAATCATAGAGTTGGGAAAGCTCTAAGGGATCATTCAACCCTTGATTTAACAAAAGCTCTTGCAAAGCTGTGAAATTTGCATGACATATTAGTGCCAGAGCTGGAGGCAGGACCCAGGTTCCATGACTGAGTTTATACTCAAAGTCAAGCTGCAGTCTAAGTTGGTTTACTTCCGGTTCTTCCTAAGGTAGCCCTTTGAGATCCTACCCCTAGCAGGAGGTGGTTAACCGATGTTCCCACCCTTGGCAGGCTCTCTGGTCCAACTTTTAACAGTCAGCTACACAAGGCTTATGGCTTTCTTTCAGACTGGCCAATGCCCAAGGGCAATGCCCCAGGACAAAATAGTCCTGAATGCTAGACTCTTTCAGGATTTCAGTCTTCTCTGAATGTCACCCTGGTAATTCCTCATAACCTTGTGGGCAATTTGATTCTTTTTAAAAAGACGTTTTAAAATGCATTTTGACTTCCAATCAGGACAGGATAGCATGGTCCTGCTTTTCCTTGTTCCTCCACACTAAGCATAATTATAGAGCCTGGAAATGGTGCAAGAGACTCTGAAGGGTGGTAATAAGGCTGAGAGCTGATTAGGGAACCTGGGCTGGAAAAACAGCACAGCGGCAGGGCTTCACGTGTTTCTCACCTAACAGAAGGAGGCCACACAGAGCCTGCATTTCTTAACCCCCACCTACCAAGACAGCAGCCCAGGGAGGTTTATTCCTCCCCTGGATCAAAGAAGAATCTCTGGTAACATCAGGGCAGCCCATGTCATCAGCAAGGGGAATTGCCATAACCCTCCAACTAGGAATATTGATTGGGAGTCCCATTAAAGAGCAGCCAAGAGGAGCATTCTCCTTCCCACCACTGAAACACTCTTCCACTGAGTCATAGAGGTGGACAAACAAAATCTGCAAAAGAGACCAAGCTACAGCAGACAGTCTGGGGAACCTCTTTGTTCCCATGCCCTGAGACTCTCCTCCTCTACCCAGAGACTTTGCAATGTGCAAGGCGCACCAATAAAGGAATCCCACTACACCATTTCCCTACCAAGAGATACCTGGCAGCTGGCCTGGGGAAAACCCTTCTGCTTTCCTCAGGCAGGACCAGCAGAGACAAGTGGGAATTCCAGCAGCACCACACAATCCAAGCAGACCATAATCCAATAGCACTCCAAAGGCTGTGAAAATTAAGCTGCCATTGGAATCACAGCCCACAAAAGTAGGACAAGATCTACATGCTAAACCTAAACTGTGTGACTTTCTGCTAAAATAAAAAATGTAAAGGGAACTCATCATCTTATTACATAATATATAAGATATCCAGGATACAACTGAAAATTACCTGTTATACCTAAAACCCAGAAAATCACAACTACAATGAGAAAAAAAAAATTGACACCAGCACCAAAGTGATTCATATGTTGGGATCATACAAGAAGAATTGTAAAACAGTTGTCATAAAAATACTTCAATGATCAACACAAATCCTCTTTAAAATGAAAGGTAAAAAATCTCAGCAAAGAAATAAAAGCTATTTTTTAAATGGAAATTATAAAACTGAAAATATAGTGGCATTTAAAAAAACTACATAGGCTCAATAGTACAATGGAATTGGTACAGGATAGAATCAGTGAACTTAAGTACAGAACACTAGAATTCACAAAACATTAACAAGTCTCAGTGATCTGTGGGACAATAAGAAAAAAATCCAACTTCCATATCACCAGGGTTGTAAAAGGGGAGGCTGAAAGACTACTTGACAAAATAATGACTAAAAACTTCTCCAACTTGACTAGACACAAATCTACAGATCCAAGAAGCTGAGTGAATGCCCAAACAGAATAAACCCAAATAAATCCACACCTAGGTACATTGTAGGTAAACTTGTTAAAAAGGGCCCCCCACTCAACAACTTAAAAGAAAAATCTTGAAAGTAGCCAAAGAGAAGCAATGCATTACTTATAGAACACCAAGTCTGATGACAGCAGATTCTTACCTGAAATCATGGAGGCCAGAGGCAATGGCACAGTATTTCTCAAGTGCTTAAAAAAGAAGTGACTTTCATAAATTCTGTATACCATGAAACTATCCTAAAGAATGAAGGGGAAATAAAATCATTCTCTGAACTAGAGAAATTAAAAGAAGTGGCTGCTAGCAGAAGACCCACTTTTAAAGATAGGTAAAGAATGTTCTTCAGACATAAAGGAAATGGTAATAAAAAAAGAATCTTAGAGTGTCAGTAAGGAAGATGGAAAAATGAGAACAGCAGACACTTGAGTACATACAATAGACTATCCTTTTTCTCATGAGTGTAATAAACCATATTTGATGTTTGAAGCAATTATAATGCCACCTGATATTCATGCCAATATTTAGAAGCATGGAAGTTAATGGGACCTAAATGGAAGTGAGGTTTCCACACTTCATTCAAAGTGGTAAAATGCAGATACCAGTAGACAGTTATAAATCACAAATGCATATTATAACACTCAGACCAGCCACCAGAAAAACTATACAAAGAGACACACTCAAAAACACTACAAATAAATCAATAAGGAATTAAAAATTTTAACATAACCCACAGGAAGGCAAAAGAAGAGAAGCAGAAATGAGAACCAGGGGAAATCCTAGAAAACAGATAATAAAATGGCAGAATTAACATACCAATAATTACCTTAAATGTAAGTTATCTAAATACATGAATCTCAAAAGACAGAGATTGACAGAATGGACCAAAAAAACTGACTCTACTATATGTGGTTACAATAAAAGAACTTCAAATTCAAGACACAGTAGGTCAAAAGTAAAAGGGTGGGAAAAGTTGTACTATGCAAACATTAATTTTTCTTTTCTTCCCCTATACAATACCAATGTAAACAAATATTAATTTTTGAAAAGCAAGAATGGCTATGTTAATATCTGACAAAATAGACTTTAGAGTAGAAAGGATTACTATAAAGAGGATTTTACATGATGATAAAAGGAATAATGATAAATTTATATAATATATAATATTTCATCAGGAATACATAACAATCCTAAATATTATAAATCCTAAACAGCAGAATCTTAAAATATATGAAGAAAAAAGACTGATAGGACTGAAAGGAAAAACAGATAAATAACAATTTAATTGGGATTCAACACCCTCCTCTCAATAACTTCTAGAATATCTAGACAGAGAATCAGAAAGAATATAGAAGATCTCTACAACACAACCAACAACATATAGAGAGTACTCGATCAAACAACAGCATAACTGACAAAAATACACACTAGGATAAACATTTTTCTCAAGCACTCATAAAATATTCACCACCATAGGTCCATTCACTATATCCTGGGTCATAAACAACCCTCAACAAATTTAACAGAATTGAAATCATACCAATTGTGTTTTCTGACCACAGGGGAGTCAAACTAGAAATCAACAACTGAAAGATAACAGGAAAATCTCTAAACCCATGGGAACTAAACAACATATTTAAAAATAATTCCTGGGTCAAAAGGAAAGTCTCAAAGGAAAAATTTAAAACTACATAGAATTTAATGAAAACACAATATATAATATCAAAATATAAGATTTGAATCGAAAGCAGTACTGAGAGGGAAGTTTATAGCACTAACGGCTTACATAAAATGAGGAAAGGTCTTAAATCAACAACCTTAGTTCATACCTCAAGGGACTAGAAAAGAAGAGCAAGTTAAAGGAAGCAAAAGGAAGAAAATAATAAACATAACAATAGAAACCAATGAAATTGAAATTAGAAAAACAGTAGAGAAAATTAATAAAACAAAAATCTACTACTTTAAAAAATTAGTAATATTGATAAACCTATATAGCAAGACTGACAAAAAAACAGCCACAATCACAATATCAGAAATGAAATAGAGGCTATCCATGCTGATATTAAAAGGTAATGGAGAACTATTAGGAACAAGTTTACCTCATAAATTCAACAACTTAAACTTGAAAACCACAAGCTACTAAACCTCAACCAAGATGAAACAATCTGAATAGCCTTACACACAATAAATAAATTGAATTCATTATTAAAAAGCTCCAACAAGCTAAAGAAAAATATATGATCATATCAATCTATGGAGAAAAAGCACTTGAAAAGATCCAATACTAAGGTATTTTTTTTTCGTTTTTTAAAGAAAGAAAAAAAAAACCTCTTAGCAAGTTAGGAAAGGAAACTATCTCAACTTGATAAATAACATCTTTTTTAAAAAACTGCAACTAACATCTTAGTTAATGGTGAAAGACTGAATGCTTTCTCTTTAAGATTGGGAATGGGTGAAGGATGTCTGCTATCATCACTCGTATTTAACATAGTACCGGAAGTTCTAGCTACTGAAGTTCTTTCTAGCAGGAAAAAAAAACGCATACATCGTGATAAAAAGAAATAAAACAATCCCTATTTCCAGGCGACATGCCTTTGCAGAAAATCCCAAAGAATCTAAAAAACAAAACAGAAACTCTTAGAACTAACAGCAAGGTCTGAAGACACAAGATAAACACATAAAGATCAGTCAATTTTTATATATGAACAATGAATATATGGAAACTGAAATTAGAAATGTAATACCATTACATTCACTCCAAAAAAAATAAAATACTTAGTTATAAACTTAACAAAATGGGTACAGAATCCTGAAAATTACCAAATACTGACAAAATAAATCAAAAAGCCTTCAAATCGAAGAAGTTTTCAATAAATAATGAGACATACCATGTGCAAAAGTTGGAAGATAACATAGTAAAAGTGCCAACTCCCCAAATTGATCTATAGATTTACCGCAATTCCTATTATTCAAAATCCCTGAAAATCTTTTCTTTTTGGTAGACATAAACGAACTTATTCTAAAATTAATATGGGAACACACAAGCCCTACAATAGGTAAAACAAAACTGAAAAATAATATAGCTAGAAGAATCATTCTACCTGATATTAAGTCCTATTGTGTAGATACAGTAATCAAGACAGTATGGTGTTGGCAGAGAGACAGACACGTAGATAAATGGAACAGAATAGACAAACCTGAAATGCCCATAAATAGTCCCCATAAATAGTCCCAACTGATTTTTGACAAAGGTTAAAAAGCAAATCAATGGAGAAAGGACAGCCTTTTAAACAACAACAACAAAAACCCTGAACCTTGACCTAAACCCCACACTTTATATAAAATATAATTAAAAATGTATCATGGACTTAAATGAAAAACAAAATTTTAGAAAAAAATATAGGAGAAAATCTTCAAAACCTAGAGCAAGACAGAGTTCTTTGGCTTGTCACCAAAAGCACAACCCATAAAAGGAAAAATTGGTAAACTGGGCCTCATCAAAATTAGCTTTTTTTTGTTGTTCTGTGAAAATCCATGAGAAGAGGCTAAAAAGATAAGCTACAGAGGAAGTACTTGCAAACCACATATCCTACAAAAGACTAGTATATAGGATATACATAAATAGTTCTTCACAACTCAAGAGTAAAATACAAACAATCCAATTCAAAAATAGGCAAAAGACATAAAGAGACATTACACCAAAGAGGGTATATACGGTAGCAAATAAGCTCTTGAAAAGATGTCAACATCATTAGCCATTCTGTAATGCAAAGTAAAACCACAATGAAATGTCACTATATTCCTATCAGAAAGGCTAAAATATAAAACAATGATAACATCAAATGCTGGCAATGATGCAGAGAAACTGGACCACTCATATATTGCTGCTGAGAATGTACATGGTACAGCCACTCTGAAAAACAGTTTGACAGTTTCTTATAAAAGTAAACATGTGACCCAGCATTTGTACTCATATTTATACCAAAAAAATGAAAACATATGTTCACACACAAAAAAAACTGTAAACATACATTCAGAGCAGCTTTATTTGTAATGGCCAACACTAGAATCATCCCAAATATCTTTCAGTTTGTTGAGTGGTTAAACAAACTGTCCTACAAACACATCGTGGACTATTACTTGGCAATAAAAAAGAACAACCTATTGATATGTGTACCAACTTGGATGGATCTCCAGGGAATTATGCTGGGTGGAAAAACCAATGCTAAAGAGTTACATACTGTAAAATTCCATTTATGTACTATTTTTTAAATGACAAAATTTGAAATGGAAGGTGATTATAAAACAGCAACGCAAGAGATTCTTATGGTATTGGAACTATTTATTATATTAGCTGTGGTTGCCGTAACAAAATACCAAATATGGCTTAAACAATAGACGTTTATTTCGCACAGTTCCAGGAGACTGGACAGTCCAAGATTAAGATTCCAGCAGATTTGTTTCCTGGTGAGGGCTCTCTTCCTGGGTTGCAGACAGCTGCCTTCTCATTGTACTTTTACATGGCCCCATGGGCATCAACTCCCTATATTTCTTGAAAAGTGCATGCCCAAGTGCCAAGTATGATCTTAGAGGCACTCACCACTTTAGTGTTCAGGCCAGTCATGTCTGGGCCAAGAAGAAAGAGGCTAAGCATTGTCAGGTTGCATCTGTGGGAAGCTAGCCAAAGCCAAAATAAAACTGGAGTAAGAGTATATTGACTGCGTTTGAGGGTATACAAGAGAAGTCTAATACACCCACAGATGTATGGATTCTTGATTTTAACAAAGGTGATTAATTCTGTTTATCTATTTTTTAATCCTTGGGTCAATACTATACTCTCTTATTATATTTTTAGAATTATTCCTGACACCTGATAGAGTATGTCCTACCATTTTATTTTTTTCAAAATTGTCTTGGCTCTTCGCATTTCTACACAAATTTTACAGTCAGCTTCTGCAGTTCCATAAAAAAACAAATAAAACCCTGCTGAAATTACTTGGATGCAATTATCAGTTTGGGAAGAATTGCCATCTTTATAATATTTAACCTTCCAACCTACAAACATGATATAGCCCTCTATTTATTTTGGTCTCCCTTAACTCCTTTATAATTTTCTGTGCAAAGATTCTGCATGTATTTTGTTAGACTTATTCCCAAATATTCCATGCTTATTGATAGCAATGTAAATAATATGAGTTTAAAATTTTCCTTTTCTAATTGTTTTCTGCTGAGATATAGGAATACACTTGATTTTTGTATATTGACCTGATATCTAGCCATTTTTTAAACTCAGAGTTTATCTGTAGATTGTTGGATTTCTTATGTATACTATCATGCATTTGTGAATATGAGTTTTATTTTCCAATACTTACTTCTTTTGCTTTCCTTATTGCACTTGCTAGGACCTGCAGTACAATGTTAAATATAAGTGGTGAGAGTGGACATCCTTGCCCTGTTCCTGATCCCAGGAGAGGAACATTTGCTATTTCATCATTCAGTATATTAGCTTTGGCTTTGTTTTTGTTTTTTTTTAATAGATGGCATTCATCAGCTGGTGGAAGTTTCCTTCTATTCCAAATTTAATCAGTTTGTTCAACTAATAAATAGGTGTTGAATTTTGCCAAATACTTTTCCACATTCATTGACTTGATAATGTGTTCCTTTTTTTCTATTAGTATACAGCATAACATTGATTGATTTTCAATGATCAAAACAATTCTGTGCCCTGTAGTAAACTCCACTTATTCATGTGCATTATCCTTTTGAATTACCACTGAATTCAATTAGATAATATTTAGTTAAGTATTTTTGTTCATAAGAATACTGGTCTTTTAATATATTTTTTCACGTTTTTGTACCAGTGTTATACTGGCCTTATAAAAAGAATATGTTGGCTGGGCGAGGTGGCTCACACCTGTAATCCCAGCACTTTGGCAGGCCGAGGTGGGCAGATCACGACGTCAGGAGATGGAGACCATCCTGGCCAACATGGTGAAACCCCGTCTCCACTAAAAATACAAAAATTAGCTGGGCGTGGTGGCACGTGCCTGTAGTTCCAGCTACTCAGGAGGCTGAAGCAGGAGAATTGCTTGAAACGGGAAGGCGGAGGTAGCAGTGAGCCGAGATCGCACCAATGCACTCTAGCCTGGTGACAGAGAGAGACTCTGTCAAATAAATAAATAAATAAATAAATAAATAAATAAATAAACAAACAAACAAATAAATAAAACGTGTTCCTTCGTCTTCTATTTTCCATAAGAATTTATGTAAAACTGGTATCATTTCTTCATCAAATGTGTGATGAACTAATCAGTGAAACACCTGGACTTGAAGTTTTCTTTATAAGGATTTTTTTATAAATTAATGTCTGATAGATATAAAGCTATTCACATTTTTTATTTGTTTGGTAAGTTGCATTTTTCGGTGAATTTATCCATTATTATGTAAATTGTCAAATCCATTGGCATAATATTCTGTATTATCTTTTTGACATATGTAGGATCTGCAGTGATGGCGCTTCTGTTATTACTGATATTGCCAGTTTCTGCTATCTCCCTTTTTTCTTAGGTCATCTTACCAATTTTACTAGTATGTTTTTAAAAAATAAATTTTCACTTTATTATTTTTTCTCTTCACGATTTCATTAATTTGGATCTTATTTTTATTATATCCTTCCTCCCACTGACTTTGGATTATTTCCTCCTTTTACTGTTTTCCTAAAGCGAAGGCTGTAATCATTGATTCTGAACCCTTCAGCCTCTCTTAAGATAGGCATTCAAAGCTGCAAATTTTCCTCTAATGCTTTAGTTGCATACTATAGATTTTAGTGCTACATATTTATGATCATTCATTTCCAAATATTTTATTTGCCTTATTTTTATTTTTCTCATAAGTTATTTAGAAGTGTATTGTATTGTTTAATTTCCAAATATTTAAGGATTTTCTGAATTGTATTGTTATTGACCCTCGTTCCATTGTGGTCAGAAAACATACTTTGTAAAATTGCAGTTCTTTGAGATTATTTACTGAGACTTGTTTTCTGGTCCTGTGTATGGCCAAACTTGGTAATTCTTCAATGTATACTTATAAAAATAATATATTTTGCAGTTTGGAGCTGTAATCTCCTCTAAATCTCATTTAAGTCAAGGTGGTTAATAAAATCACTCAAGTCTTCTGTATCTTTATTGTCTTTTTTTCTTGGTGTGGTTGGTGTATCAACGACTTAGAGAGGAGTGCTAAATTCTTCAATTATGTTTACGAATTCTCTTTAGTTCCATCAGTTTTTGATTAATGTGTTTTTAAGCTGTTTTTAGGTATGAACACTTTTAGAATTGTCATGCTTTCCTTACATATTGGTCCTTGTACATTAATGAAATCTCTCTGTTCCTGAAAATTATTGTCTTGAAGACTACTTTTTCTGATATCAATATGTATATATTTATTATGGTTAGTTTCTGATATGGTTTTGCTGTGTCTGCACCCAAATCTCATCTTGAATTGTAGTTCCCACAATTCCCACATGTTGTGGAAGGGATCTGGTGGGAGGTAATTGAATCATGGGGGCAGTTACCTCCATGCTGTTCTCGTGATAGTGAGTTCTCATCAGATCTGATGGTTTTATAAGGGTTTTTCGCTGCTTTGCTCTGCACTTCTCCTTACTGCCACCATGTGAAGAGGACATATTTGCTTCCCCTTCCGCCATGATTGTAAGTTTCCTGAGGCCTCCTCAGCCTTGTGGAACTGTGAGTCAATTAAACCTCTTTCTTGTATAAATTACCCAGTCCCAGGTATGTCTTTATTAGCAGAGTGATAATGGACTAATACAGTTTCCATGGCATGTTATTTTCTATCCTTTTTTAAAATTCAATTTGTGTCTTTGTATTTAAAGTGATTCTCTTGTAGACTACATGTAGTTGGATATTGCTTTTTCATCTACTTTGATAATCTCTGCCTTTTCACTGGAATGTTCAGTCTATTTACATCTAATTACAGATGTGGTTTAATTTTCATTTTTGAAAAATGTTTCTTTCATTCAAGATTGGTCCATAGTTTTTTTGTGTGCTATTTTTTCAAGTTCAGTATCAGTTTTATTCACCTTAAAAATAATATACTTCATTTTCTAAAATGTTAGTTTTTTGAGGCAAATATAAACTGATATCCAAGCCTGACAGAGTCACTAAAAAAAAAGGATTATTGTCTTTGAGGCCTGATACTTTTTTATACACTATAACTGCCTCAACCTTTTCCTAAATACAGAAACTGGTATGTTTTTGTTTTCTCTTTCTTTACTGGAGTCAGTTTTATCCAATAATTTTTTTCCTAGGAAATTATTCATTTATATTTTCAAATTTGTGCCAAATAGTGCAGATGCATGATTTTAATAGATATATTTACATCTGTGCCTTCTCTCCTTCAATCACCCGCTCCTAGTCTCTTCTGATTAGGTTAGCTTCTCAGCCTTTCAGCTGCCTCTTCCACAATTCATAGATGCCATTAGGGACTCATGTTTATTGGGTTTTTTTTTTCCTTCTAAATCCTAGCCTCTTCATTCTTCACTTTCTGGAAATTCCTCAATGCATAAGCACAAATCTTTTATTTGTCCAGATTTTCTAGTCCTCAGTAAGAGCACTGGTTTGAATTACACAGTCTACCATTACTGGATACAGAACCCAACATGTCTTTTTAAGATTACAAAAAAAGGGGGAGTGAGGGAGAATCTTCACAGAAATTTCGAGTGTAAAAAACATATTCACTCTCCTCAGTGGATATTTCAAACATTTTGTAAATCAATAGTACTCTGTCTAACCTATAGAAGCCCCTTTATAAAATGGTTATTTATATAGTGAAATTTTCTAGATTTGTTTTGGGGTTAATTTCTATTGCTCCTTTCCACCACTCGCCTACGAAAGTGAGATTGAGCATGGTTGATATGAATGTAATGCTGATTAAATTAATAGCAATTTGTATCTTTAACAGAAGAGGAAGGTCTAGACTGGAGACACATGTCTGTAAATCATCATCATGGAGCTGTCAGTGGAAGAGCTCACCAGGTTGTGTATTGACGGTGGAAATGAGATTTCAGAGGTCAAAAGGATAAAAAAAAGATACGTGGACACAGAAAGCCTGCATAGCAGTTTGGCTTACTCTTTAGGTATAGACTCTGCATTTACCTCCCAGGTAATTTTGACCATGGGACAGGAGTCAGAGGATCTAGTCATTTCAACATATACACATAGTTATTACATAAGAATATAGAACTATACACACATGTGCCTGTACATATATATATTAGTATATACATACATATATGTATAGTATACACACACACATACATATATATATACACTTACACATATACTTACATACACACATACACATATATGTTGTGATCAGCATGTCTGTTACAGGACTCCAGAGCCCAGATGGATCATTTAGATTCTCACATATTCTTTCAAGCAATGGTTGTGAATGTGTGTGTGAGTACACTAGTGGAGGATGGGGTGAGAAGGATGTAATAATAACCAAACATAGGCACTAAGGAGGCTGGGAGTTGGGGGAAGAGGCAAAATTAGCATCTGAACCTCAGGAAGCACAAGGTCTGGAAAATGATTCTAGATACAAGGCTCTCAGCAGCAAGAGTTAACCCATGAGTACACATAGGTAATTTGTTGGTATAAATAAAGTTTTACCACTTTTGAAATAATTCTCTTTCAGAGTAAAAAATGTTCCATTTATTCTTTTGTTTTCCTACAATTCTTAGCAGAGTTCTTTTAATACAAAAATAGGAAATGAATTAATCACTGCTCTAATAGGAGAATTCTTGAATCTATATTCAATTGGACAAGTCATTAAATGCCTATGGCTATGTACAAAGTTTAAACATTATAATGCTTCCCCTACCATCCCCACTATTTTATAATCGGTTTTTTTCAAACCTCTTCTCTTCTACCATAAGCCAATAAATCATAGCTCTGGAGGTTCTATAAAACTTATCTTGGCTTTCTTTCCAATGATGTTCTTATGCTGGATTGTATACTTACACACTGTTTTAAACTTTTTGTTAAAGAGTTAAAAAATCCTAATAAACACCTATGTGGGCTTCTATAATATTACTAAGTCATGTCAACATCTAGCACAGTAAGTATATTTTGCAAGAAGGTAACAAATGTAAAAATCACCAGTGACACTGAACTTTATATTTAATAATTACAGTAAGAATTTTTTGGTAGATTTTATTCACACACATTTTAAAAATCATGAACAAAGTCATTAATTCTGAACTCAAGTAACAGTCAAAAATATTTTAATTTAAATTAAGGCACTACATACACATTTCTTTAAAGCACACTGATGTTATTTTATTTACACACTATTTTAAGAATTAACAATAAATACACATTTTCCATCTCCTCCTTGTCCTTCATTTATAACTTTATATGTTAACAAGGAAGTAAAACCCTCCAAATAAAAGGAATTAAATGCAATAATCCATAAAGCTTATCAGATATGGGCACAAGAAGGAGACACCCAAAAACAATGTAAAAACATTTTAATCCTTTAATGTTACAAGAATTTATCTATAAATTCTTATGCCATTCCTAGTGGAATAATAATATAAAACCTATACACAAACATTGAAATATGTTTTATTCTATTGCTATTTACCAGAAGAATTGCATATAAATAACAGCAGCAGAACTGTCCCTATGTTATACATGAATGTACTTATTCTGAATTCACTGACTGAATTAAAAACACTTAACTCAAACTTTTCCTATTACCTTGGGGTATTGTTTTCACAAACAAGTAAATGTTTCCTAGAGCCAAATACTTTCTACACCCAGAAAATAGAGCAGCATGTTAGTTATTTAACAAAATACACACCAAAACCTTAATGTGAAAGGCTAGTTTTACTATAAGATTTTTCTCAGTGTACTAAAGGAGTCAATGGCTTTAACAGTGATAATTTTTTAAAAGATACAAATGAATTAACACATAGTTCAATATAATATATGTTTTATTAAATAAATACTATTCTTCTTGTCCCATCAACATATACTTTTTAAATTTTTGCTTAATTTACAATTCGAGTTAATATTTTGAGAACGTAAGGAAAGACAAATAGGTAAATGTCTTGTTGAAAGGGTTAAGATACTGACAGGACATACCTTCCTGTTCCATCCTATATAAAATCCACTCATGAGTTGGATGCCAAGTATAGATTTCTGAAACTCATAACCACCAATCACGATAATGCAATCATTAAAACTCACACCATTGCAAGGACCAAGTATAAAATATTCTGCTACTATTTTAGATACTTCAAAAACATCCACTACTTTAAATGAAAAGCTTTAAATGTGTCAATGCTATTTGCTTTTTAATGGAAATTAAAGTAGAATTTTTCTATTATTCTGTTTCGATCAACTATTAACCTTTAGGATAATTGTTTTATGTGAAAAAAATTAGAAATTTTTTTAAAGCAAAATTAGTACTATTGGTTTTTATTTATTTTACTGTTCTTAATACAGTTAACTTATGACCAACAGCATGGATTATTTATACAGGGTTTGAAAATGCCTCTCAACAACCACAAATACAATAGGCAGCAAATACCAGGCTCAAGAAATTAGCAGTGACTCAATAGGACGCACTGTATGTTTGATGACTGGCACCACTGTTGTTCTTTACCATCACAGATAATCAATATTTAACTGGGCTGCATATTTATTATACTTTTATATTTGTAAAACAGTTACCAAGTTTATTTTATATTGTCAAAACTTTAAAGATCATACTATTAACTGCTTGTCTCACGTACTGATGAATGGTTCTTGAGCCCAATTTTTCCCCTACTAAATATAATCTAGTCTGTCACAACCTAGTTTCTTCATATTAATTTTGATTACTAGAAGGTACCAGCTAGCAAAGGCAGGATGACAGTTCTTCACAATAAACCCTTGGCTCTGAACAAACATGTTAAACAGAGGGATTATTTCTGTGATGCAAATACTGGAGAAAAAAGTGGAGGTAGCACTAAGGCTATTCTGCCACTTAACATATGAATGGTGTGAAAGACCAAAAGATACTAAATTTTGTTTAAAATTTCTTAACTATTCTATAGCCTAAAAAGTAAGGCATAAAGTCCCAAAGATAAATACAAAAATCTCCATTCCTCATTCTGTCCCAGTCAAATTGAGATTTGTATTTGGGTCATAAATTTTTCTGTAGCATTTGGATACCTCAGGTTACAACAAACATGAGAGAGTTAAATGATAAAAGTTAATGAAATTAAGTTATGATTTTAACTTGTGAGTTAGGAGAAAGTAAACAAATATGAAGTGCAAAAATAACCTTTCCTGAGATCTGTGTGCTTCAGGAATGTGGAAGCCTGGCCACAGTCCATCTCTGACCTCCTTATATAGTAAATCACATAATGTCCACACAACCACACACAAACACACTTGCACAGGCACACGCAAACAACTAAGTAACTTACATAAAGGCATTAAGCATAGATAGAGAGAAGAGCACTTGTCTCTCTTTTCTTCTGAATTTTTTAACAATAATCTTTAAGACTAACAGCTTAAGACATAATGGTGACAACTCAGGCTTTTATCAAATGGTCTTTGCTTTTTTTTTCAAATAGGTTTCCTTAAAATATTTCTTCATTTGCTATATCTTTTCTGTCTGCTCCAATTTTATTTACCATCACAGAGCATTTCCTACCTCAAGAGGGTACTTGAGATACAAACTAATTAAAGGTAAATATAAAAATATAGGAAGCTTTTCCTCCCTAATATACAAAATTCACAAATTGCATAAAGATTTCTGTTGTTTTCTTTACAAATATATAAATTTATTAGAAAAACATGCCTACTAAATTTTGGTATATTTTCATTTAAAGATGTATCACATCTTCATCGCAAAATACAAGCAGAGGAAGTATTTTTCTCAAAAGCCATTTTTAGTATTTCTAGTTAGGATTGATGTTACCTAATGATTTCCTACCACAAGATGTTACCTAATGATTTACTAACAATTTTACTATGGTCAGCGTTATCTTATTAGCAAATGCACCGAAACAAAACACAAGGAAAACAAAGTAATAATTTTAACATGCTTAGTCTAAGTTCTTTGTCTTTCAAAGTATTCTTTTTCATAGTTACAACACTATTCTTTGGATGTATTCTTAGTTTTGTGATTAATCAAAGACACTTTGTATAAGCCCTAGCACATGTCACCCAATTAAAGGATCATCATCATCTTCTTGTAGCTGAAGTCGAGAAAATGGACGAGGTACAGAAAGTCTATTCTGCATGATTATTATGAGGCATGTTAGCATGGTTAACACCAAGAGTGAACCGATAACAATCGCGATGGCTTCTGGGAGATTAATGCACCACTGGTCAACTAACAAGCACTTAGTATGACCAAAGGTCCCATTATTGGGATGTGGTTTTAATCCCAGGATGTGGCACATCATTGGATAAATATCCACAATGTTAATTGTGCTATGCTTGTAGCCTTTGTGAAATGCAGGTCCGTGGGCAGCTAGAAATGGATGCATACTAGGCAAAGAATTATCATAACCATGGTCACCTACTGAAAAAGAACAAAACAACATCAGTCAATAAGATCAGACTTTTTAGGACAAAATAACTTGCTTCTAGTATATAAACATTCAATTCTTTCAGAAAGGGACTAGAAATAAAAATTTCTATTTCTTCAACTCAGCTATGTTCCATATTTCCCTCTCTCTCTCTCTCTCTCACATACACACACAAACACACACATATGCCCCTTTTCCCAACTGGTCATACCCTCAGACTTTACCACCACTTGTCAACCTGATGTACTTATCTTTCAGCCCGAGTACCAATTACTTCACTTGTCAATCTCAGCACTGTTTGCAAAAGCTCACTGCAAGCAGTACCAGTTATAAAGACAGTGGTCAGGCTGAGGGTTCTGTGTAACTGGGAAGAACAGAAGTGAGTAAGGCCAACAAATGGAGAAAAAGAAAATCTGCAGCCTAACCTATCTCAATTGTTACAGGAGGGATCTTGCGTTGAATGTGTTGTCTAATCTGGTGACTCTATCCCAGTAAAAGTTAGACTTAAAGAAAAGCATATGATAGTCCCTAATACAACTCCAATAATAAATTCCCAATTTTTAGCTTTATTTTAACAAATGTTGCCATTTAACGTACACCCGTTGTATTTAATAAGCTCCCACTTTCATATTAAGTACGGGTGACTGGGTGATGAGTATACTGATATTTGTTATATTATTCTTTGGTGGTATGTTTGAAATATTTCATCATAAAAATAACCAATATGACAAAAAGCAGAATATATAAAGATTTCAATAATATTAAAACACACACACATATATTAGAAAAAAATATATATTTTTCTATATATAATATATAATATATTCTACATATATATGTAGAAAATATATATTATAATTATATGTAATTATATATTATATATAATATATAATATACATTATATATATTATATATATTACATATAATTATATTACATATAATATATATAATATAGATATATATTAGAAAAGAATATATATATGAAAAAAGATTGGATGGGGAGAAATGTCCACAATTAACATTTGCCTATAAATCCATACTGAGGGATTATGGATAGTTTTTGTTCTCTTTCCTATGCTTTTCTATACTTTCGGTTGTCAACAACAAATATGCAACATAACATTGATGTAAATAATATACAAACTTCATTGATTCTGAGTCTGTCCTATGCTTGCCTGATACTTCTAAATTGCTATATATCAGGGAACTGTAAACTACAGCCCATAGCGAAGGTTAGCCCTCCATCCTTTTTGTAAACAGAGTTTCACCGAAGCACACCACTTCAATTTCTTTACAGGTTGTCTATGGCTACTTTTACACAATAAAGGCAGAGTAGAGTAGCTGAGACAGAGACCAGCTGGCCCACAAAGCCTAAACTATTTTCTATTTGGCCCTTTACTAAAAAAGTTTGCTGACCCCTACCATAGACCACAAAATTAGATTTTAAAAAAAGCATTTGAATTGAATATGAAATATGGATAAATAAGCTTCAGTTTGAGGCAAGCCTGTAACTCACCCCTATACATTTTCTCCCCTATATATTTTTTAGGAGAGATTTTGATGTATCTATTTTGTTCACTTGGTGGATTTGTTTGGTTACTTTCTGGTTCTTGCCCAGTGTTCTAAATAGCTGTAGCATTCAGGTAAATGATTTTGTTACTGGGGAAGACTTAGGGTTACTCAGACAAATTTTTTTTAACACACAAAAGAACAAGGATTAGCTAATCTCTCCCCTTTTACTGTTTCTTTACTTCTCTATTTTGTATAAATCAAGAGAATGAATCTTGAAAATTACTGACAGTAATTGCAGTTTTGGAAAGAAAGTAGGACTTTGCCTTCACTCTTAAATTTACTTTCTAATTTAAAGGTGAAATTGTGATTACTGTAAATTGCTATTAAATGAAGACCTGGGAATTATCTGGTTGAAAATTGAACTAATTATTCTGTGTGAACTTCTTTAAATCGAAGTACCCTCTTAACACAACAGTATCACAAGGTATGATTTGTTCCTAGGATACAACAGAAATATCTCAACTAAATACTTACATTTTTGTGATGATTCATTTAGCACAATTGTCCAGCCTTCATCGGCAACCAAAATAATGGGCTGAATTCGATCATTATGTTGGTAATAAAATCTGTTAGGAATGTCTTCTTTGAGATAAACATTCATATGAGGGCTACAGTTTTTCAGTTTGTTATAAACCTCTGTTCTATCTGAGAAAAAAAAAGAAACAGCAAAGGAAACAAGTTATGATTGATAAGGAAAAAATATGTCTAACTAGAATAATTGGAAGTAAATTATAGATAATGTCATCTATTAAATCACTTCTTAAAAAAACAGAGCAATAATAATGTGAGAGTGTTGGGGACTGATACACACAAACACACACCTTTCTCAAACATTAACAAATCTGTTTCACTTTGTGGATTACCATGGTGGACTTTTACAGATAGGGGACATTTTTCAGGTGTATCTTCCTAAGTAAACATAAACTAATTACATGTTACTACTAACTACTACTTCTATGATCAGTAGAAGAAAGTACCTCACCACTAAATATCACACACTAAAATCTAAGATGTTTAAGGATAAAAATTTCCTTTTTCTAGTGCAAATAATTAGATATATCAAAAGCAAAGAAATACTCACTTTGAAACTAAACCATAAGCCATATAACTAAACCATAGGCCAACTGCTCTCAACTTGTAAACAAGAGGAAAAAAACATATAATCCCACTCTGAGTATATGGTTCTAAACTACAAAAAGCTAGAGCTTCATTCTTTTATACAACCCACCCCCCTCAATCAATTGCCCCATTCGAATAATAGTATCCCTCAGTTGAATGTTTACTTACTTATTTTGGGAAGTATTGCAGCAACTGGGCTCAAATCTATAAGAGTGTAGTATGAATGATCGATGCAGGAATCCAGGTTTATCAGTCTGTCCTGAGAACACTGGGTCATCCCATGATCACTTGTAATGATCACATTAAGATTTTCCCATAGCCCTAACATCTTGAGTCTTTGGACTAAGTCACCGATAAGATCATCTATTTTTTTCAACACTCTGCTCATGTTTTCTTTATCTTCAGGTCCGTATTTGTGGCCACTTGCATCTGGTTCTTCCCAATATAGTGTTGCAAAGGTGACTGGTGGGTTCGAATTGTTTAGCCACATAGTAATATTATTTAGTCTTTCCTCAAATGACACTGAGGAGTTGTAATTCATAAAATAGGAAGAGATGGTATCGTGAATGGGTACATCAGTACCAGGCCACATAGCAGCAGCACTTGATCTGTTTTCCTGAAGCTGATTGGTCACCCAAATAGGTACTGCCTCATTCCACCAAAAAGGATCCTTGTCATTAGAGTCAGAAAAGTGTTTCTTTGTGACTGCATCATACATGGAATTAGCCACAATGCCATGGCTTTCTTCATACAAGCCTGTCACAATACTGTAGTGGTTTGGAAATGTTTTTGTGATAAAAACATTTTTAACATGCTCTACCAAAACACCTTCTTTGATAAAATTCTGGAGATGAGGAAATTCATAGTTCTTCAGATAATCAGCTCTGAAGCCATCAAAGGATACTAGTAGTAACTTAGGTGGCAAACTAGAGGAAGAGTCACTTCTAAAACCAGTTATAAGTCCAGAAAACAAAAGTATTACTAATAACTTCATAATGAACACGTTGAAGGACAGCAATCAGGGTTCCTAAAATGTAAAAACACAACTCATAAGTAGTAATTCTATTTCATTTGGGTTAAGTTTTAGAATTTTAGCCCACAGGAGGAGAGAACCAACATTTATATGCCAGCTTTACCTATATTAACTTAAATAATACCATTTATTTAAAAATAACTAAAAGCTAAAATTGGAAAAAAAATTGTCTTGTCCAATTTCCTATTTATATATATGCCCTACTCTATCCTTCATATGGGCCATTTTTATACTCCACATCAATACTCCTTCTAGGCTGTCAGCTCATTTGCCACATTAGAAATTCTTCGAAAGGCTTAATAAAAATAGATGCAGACACTAAAATGATTCTTTTGTAAAACATAACGTTAATGCCAAGCTTTCAGAGGCTCCAGAGATGATGATTATTTTTCCAGTTTAATAAATTGTACTTTATAGTTTCTTTAACCCACAGAAATAATTGGTGGAAATTCTACCATATTGGTTTATTGCCAGTTCTTGTTGAAAATATTGCTATAAAAAAGGGGGAATAAGAAATAAATGCTATTGAGAAAAAAGCCCCCATCAGTCTGTATGTGCCCCAATAGTCACATGAAGTTGATTAACAAACATGCAAAGCCTACATGGACATGGATGCTCCAGTAACTTATGAAGAAATCCAATAGCTATTGAAATGAGTTTTATTACCACATCCCTCTTAAACTTCCTTTTAGCTATCAACAACTATTTTCACTAATACCCTAGGCTTAAAGCTATCTCTGATTTTTTGTTCTTTCTTTAAATCAATTCACTGATGACAAAAACAGCTTTTCCCTAATAAATCTCCCTGCCTTTGCTCTCTATCTTCTTTGGTCTCTAAGAAAATAGGACATGTGAGTGAGGTAAAATGATTCACTTCAGATGGACAGGATGCCTCTTCCATTGTAACAGGAGAGAAGGAGCAAAGGTAGGGGAGCTGACAGATTTGAGGGCTGGAGGTGAAGAGAGTTGCCGGAGGTAGGGTCAATTATTGACAGGGAGTAGAATGGTAAAAGGTTCAGAGGTTTGAGGAACAGAAAGAATGTCTGAAATAGTTAATGTGGAAGATGGGAGAAAGTGTGAGTAAACAGTAGAACTGGAGTCAATGTTGACAGCTGTCATGAATTTTCATAGTGACACAGTTGACTGGTTTTCTCTAGCAACTCAGTAAACCTGGCACAGGCATGAACAAAACAGGCAGCTGATCCTACCTGGATTTGAGATTCTGCCAGAAACTGAAGGAAGACAAAGGAAGCTGAAGATGCTAACTAAAGAGCAGCTGAAATTGGGGCTGCAGCATCTAAGCTGAAACTGACAGATGTAAGTAAGAAGTAGAGAAGTTTTTCAACTAGAGGTTCTGGTGAAGTCAAAGAACTAATGAAGATTAGTTAAGAGTAACTTTTAGTGAAAGTTACAAAGATCTGGGATTGCAGTTAGAATGCAACAAGTGAATGCATTATTTCAGACTAAGAAGACCCTGAACATGGTAACGGGTATGCATGTTGAGGTCCCAGGTATGAAGAGCAGCAAGTTAACTAATATGATTATGAAGTTCAGGAGTCATTTATTGTGTATTCTCTCAAGTAGACTGGAAACACTTTCTCTCTTTCTTTCAAACATGCCACCTGGAGGATCTGCGTACTTGTGGTCAAATACTGACAGAGGCTGTGATCCTCTGAAAAACTGACTTAAAATTAGGAAGACCAAAGGCACAGAATCTGATTTATGAGGATCTTGGGGTCTACAAAATCTCTACTATTTTAATCGGAGACAGGTTGCCTTCTGAATGTGGTGCATGGAACATTTGTTCCTGGTGCTCCCTAATAACCAAAACTAATGCAGAGTAACAAAACCACCTCTCCAAAAGACAGAGTAACAAACCTAATGAGTGGTAGAGGAGGCATATGGGTATTTCCACAGACACAGCCCTAGTCATAGCACAGCAATTTCAGCTATCAAGAATCTAGACAATGGTACTTACCCGTTCATTCAATATTTTATGCCCTCAACACAGTGTTTATGTATGACTTAACTCCTCCCTCAGAGAGTTTTAACTGGGTTCAATCAGATGACAGTATCATGTGGGTTGCTACAATTTTAGAACTTGTGTCAAGGGCATGCAGGTCTCCATGAAAGCTTGGATTGAGTAGATTCCCTGGTTTCTCTCTGGGTATAGTTCCCCATATCCAAATATTTCTTTCCAATCACAGAGTAGACTTTTAAATCAGCAAATACGGCGGCACAGTATCTTCTCACAGGGAAAACATACTCATAAACTTAATTTTTGAAAAACACTATTTACTGCTCTGGCTCTTTCCCTGTGTAACTATTTTATATTCCCAACCAATCCTATCCCACTGCACAGCTGTTCTGCTGCCAAATCCAATCTGATATGTGTCAGATGGAATGCATTCTCTATACCTCCAAATCTTTTCCCCCTTCCTTAGTTCCCAACCCTTTAAAACAGCTTCGCCATTCTCTCAGTAACAAAGAGATCCCCTGAGTATATGATCAGTTGCCAGTCTAGTCAATTCTATCTTCGTATCATCTAATACAGCATATCAGACAAAAGAATCACTGAAGGGAGCTTGTTAAAAGTGCAGCTGTCAAGTCACTATAACTAGGAGATTCTGATTCAGTCAGTCCACAGTAGAGGCCAGAAACCTGCATTTGAAACAAGCATTTTTAACAGCTACCCACTCATCCATCTCTACTACTGCTATATTTTTTAGTCCTCAATACCTCTTGTCCAGAGCACTTTTGTCTCTTAATTCACCTTTCTACCTCAACCACCTTCCACTTTCTTACCTCACACCTGCTGCCTACTCAGTCTCTCTGGGCACAGCTCTGTTCATGTTCCCTTAATTTAAAATATATTCAAAAGGCCCCCCTGCCTATACAAAAAGCCCAAATGCCTCAGTCTCACATTGAAGCCCCTCCAATATCCAGGTCCAACTTGCATGCAAATTACTGTGAAATAAATACAGAAATAACTGCCAACTTGAATTTCCATTCACCATACTTCATTGCCATGGTCTTTCTGAAATGTATTACAACAACATGTAAAGTATAATCATCGTTCATCTTGGTGGCCTATAATAGCTCTTCAGTGTTAGTTTGCACTTCCAGAATATCCTAAAATTAGTTCCTACATATGAAGGTTAACTCAGCAGACACCTGGGTCATTTTGTAAAAAATCATTCAACAAATATCTACTATCACTAATTCCATAACACAAAAGTATATGTATGTGCCATGTATTAGGGGACAAAGAACTTATACTTTTCAAATATATAATAATCAAAACAGGAGCATAAAGAACCAAAATAATAAATCAGGCTGCCAACTGGAAAAAGAAAGACAGGCTTTACACTTTAATCAATTTTGTTCTACAACACCAAATAACAGAATAGACTTAAATCAGCAAATAGGTGGCACAGTATCTTCTCACGGGGAAAAATACTCATAAATTTATGAGTACATATTTGTAACAGTGTGTTTGAGATTCATACACCATAATGTATTATTTTAAAAGCTAAGGTGTTAGAGAAATTACTACAAATGGAATATCACAGTATGTCCAAAAATTTTCCAGTAGATTTACCTCTAAGAGCAGAGGGGTGCCAAGACAATTCAACAAATGGTAGAGGGACAACTGGATATCCACATGCAAAAGAAATTGAAGCCCTGCCTCATACCATACACAAAAACTCATTCAAAGTAGATCACAGACCTAGATTAATAGCTAAAACTGTAAAACTCTTAAAAGAAAATGTAGGAGTAAATGTGGGAGTACATTTTTGTAACCCTGGGTTCAACAGAGCCTTCTTAGATACCACACCAAGAGCACAAGTGACCAAAAAAGAGAAATAAACTGGACTTCAAAATTAAAAAGTCTCGTGCCTCAAAGGATACCATCAAGAAAGTGAAAAGACAACCCAGAGAATGGAAGAAAATATTTGCAAATCATATATCTGAAGAGATTTGTATCTAGACTATATAAAGAATTGCTACAACTCAATAATAAAAGTCAGATAATCCAGTCAAAAAATGAGCATGAGCTGAAAAAGATATTTCTCCAAAGAAGACACAAATGACAAATTAGCACATGAAAAGATGCTCAACAGCATTAGTCATCAGAGAAATGCAATCAAACCCACAATAAGGTACCATTTCACACCCCGAAGGATGAGTAAATAAAATAGATAACAACAAGTGTTGATAGAGAAATTGAAACCTTTATAAACTGCTACTGGAAATGTGAAATGGTACAGCCACTTTGGAAAATATTCTGGCAGTCTTCAAAGGGTTAAACATAGGGCTACCATATAACCCAGCAATTCTACTATTAGGTATGTGCTCAAGAGAAATGAAAACATATGTCCACACAAAAACTTGTACACAAATGTTCACAGCAGCATTATTTGTAAGAATCAAGTGGAAACATCTCAATGTGCACTAACTTATGAATGGATAAATAAAATGTAATATATCCATATAATGAAATATTATTTGACACAAAAAGGAAGGAAGTGCTAACACATTTTATAACCTGGATAAATACGCTAAATGTAAGAACGCAGTCACAAAAAATCACTTATTATATGATTCCATTTAGATAAAATGTCTAGAACAGGCAAATCTATAGAGACTAAAAGTAACTATAGTAACTATCTAGGGCCAGGGGTTGGGGGGGAAATGGGTAATAAATGCCAGTAAGTATAAAGTTTATTTTTGGGGTTATGAAAATGTTTTCAAATTGATTGTGATGACAGTTGCACAGCTCCATAAAGCAGTACTCTTAAAATGAGTGAATTGAATGGTGTGTGATTTATATCTCAATAAAATATTATTTTTTAAAAAAGAGCAGAGGGAAGTGAAATTGTAATCTGAAATGTCCTGCCACAAAACAGGAAACATTTTTGATCTCATTTTACCTCAAAAAAGTGAATTTTATACTCCAAAATACACACTTGAGTGTTTTAATGTGAAAGTTTTATACCACTTCCCATGTGCAAAACAGACCAAAAACCTGTGTCCGTCCTCTCCCACAAAACACAAATCAAAATGCTTCTTCCTCAAATCTTGAGTTAAAAGGATGCTCCAGGAACACATGCTGTTAATCCTGTGGCTCAGTAATCCCTCAGCACACTGCTGGGATCCAAGCGTCCCAGTCCTTGTTCTCAGGATAAGTAGTACAGACAAAGTGGAAAGACTATAGACTGAAGTCAGAAGGGTCCCAGAACCTGAACTCACAATTAGTAGATGGGTGATCTTGGGTAGATCCAACTTTTCTTGGCTTCTGTTTCCTTGTGTGTAAAATGAGGATGTGTAAAGGTTACAGAATAGGCCCTCAAAATTAGTTTCCCTTTATCATTCTAGTTACAAAGATGTTGGGAAAAAAAACAAGACTGTACTATGATAGGCAGAATATTATTGTGAAACTATAAAATACATTAGGAATAATTTAGTCTCATCTCTTCGCATATGATGACCTTGCATATGACTTTGCTTATGATGAAGCTAAAGTCCAGTGATTAGCCGGGCTCAGAAAGCAATCAGTTGCTTCACTGTGTTCTTACTAATTTCATGTCCTCAATAAGTTTACAAGTCCAGTAATAGCAAGTTAACAAGTCTGATAATAATCTCCAAACTATTAACAGAACTCTTCCTGATAGAACACCTTTTATTAGCAGTGCCGGATCCATGTCTGCCACATTCTGTCTCATTCTAATAGGGAGTGTTAAGCTACAGACAAACCAACAATGAGAAGTTCTCAAGCAGTTTCCAAGGAATGAAAATAAAGTTTGCAGGGAATGAAACTGTTACAGTATAAAACATTGAGAGAAATTCTGTAATTTTTCACACCAAAAAGATGTCAAAGAGAAGAAAAAAAGCAGACCTCTCTGGACTGCAACCAAATATCCCTACAACAAATGGAAGTATGAGTTAGTCTTCAATTCAGGGGACAAACTACCTTCTAATTTCTCTGGGAAGACGTTCTTCCCTGGATGGAATGCAGTCAACTCTCACTGGCATTCCTAGCCCATGTGAAGCCAAGAGAGTATAAACCATTACAGGATATGGTGAAAGATATTTGTCACTATTAGCACGCCATCTGCTCTGTAATACAATGAAACTCTCATACACCTTTAAAAACTTTATTCTATGACTATAAATAAGGCAGTTATCTTTAGATTATTATCAGTTGCTTTCTTATAGTCTAAGGAAAAAAATATACTCCTTAAAAATTCCTTAGTCTTAAAAATCGTAGGATTCTAAATTATTCTCCAATTTTGTAAAATACACAGAAATTTCTAGCATACACAAAGTTTTCTAGCAGCTTCAAAACACTTACACTTATCTTACTTTCTACATAGTAAAATACCTCCCTCCATTACTCCTTGTCCTTTCATCAAAATTTCTTCCAAATTAAGTCAAATTGTCCCTGTTTGCAGACGACATGATTGTATATCTAGAAAACCCCATTGTCTCAGCCCAGAATCTCCTTAAGCTGATAAGCAACTTCAGCAAAGTCTCAGGATACAAAATCAATGTGCAAAAATCACAAGCATTCTTATACATCAACAACAGACAAACAGCCAAATCATGAGTGAACTCCCATTCACAATTGCTTCAAAGAGAATAAAATACCTAGGAATCCAACTTACAAGGGATGTGAAGGACCTCTTCAAGGAGAACTACAAACCACTGCTCAAGGAAATAAAAGAGGATACAAACAAATGGAAGAACATTCCATGCTCATGGGTAGGAAGAATCAATATCGTGAAAATGGCCATAATGCCCAAGGTATTTATAGATTCAATGCCATCCCCATCAAGCTACCAATGACTTTCTTCACAGAATTGGAAAAAACTACTTTAAAGTTCATATGGAACCAAAAAAGAGCCCGCATCGCCAAGTCAATCCTTAGCCAAAAGAACAAAGCTGGAGGCATCACACTACCTGACTTCAAACGATACTACAAGTCCACAGTAACCAAAACAGCATGGTACTGGTACCAAAACAGAGATATAGATCAATGGAACAGAACAGAGCCCTCAGAAATAACGCCGCATATCTACAACTATCTAATCTTTGATAAACCTGAGAAAAACAAGCAATGGGGAAAGTATTCCCTATTTCATAAATGGTGCTGGGAAAACTGGCTAGCCATATGTAGAAAGCTGAAACTGGATCCCTTCCTTACACCTTATACAACAATCAATTCAAGATGGATTAAAGACTTAAACGTTAGACCTAAAACCATAAAAACCCTAGAAGAAAACCTAGGCATTACCATTCAGGACATAGGCATGGGCAAGGACTTCATGTCTAAAACACCAAAAGCAACGGCAACAAAAGCCAAAATTGACAAATGGGATCTAATTAAACTAAAGAGCTTCTGCACAGCAAAAGAAACTACCATCAGAGTGAACAGGCAACCTACAAAATGGGAGAAAATTTTCACAATCTACTCATCTGAAAAAGGGCTAATATCCAGAATCTACAATGAATTCAAACAAATTTACAAGAAAAAAACAACCCCATCAAAAAGTGGGCGAAGGACATGAACAGACACTTCTCAAAAGAAGACATTTATGCAGCCAAAAAACACATGAAAAAATGCTCACCATCACTGGCCATCAGAGAAGTGCAAATCAAAACCACAATGAGATATCATCTCACACCAGTTAGAATGGCAATCATTAAAAAGTCAGGACACAACAGGTGCTGGAGAGGATGTGGAGAAATAGGAACACTTTTACACTGTTGGTGGGACTGTAAACTAGTTCAACCATTGTGGAAGTCAGTGTGGCGATTCCTCAGGGATCTAGAACTAGAAATACCATTTGACCCAGCCATCCCATTACTGGGTATATACCCAAAGGACTATAAATCATGCTGCTATAAAGACACATGCACACATATGTTCATTGCAGCATTATTCACAATAGCAAAGACTTGGAACCAAGCCAAATGTCCAACAATGATAGACTGGATTAAGAAAATGTGGCACATATACACCATGGAATACTATGCAGCCATAAAAAATGATGAGTTCATGTCCTTTGTAGGGACATGGATGAAATTGGAAATCCATTCTCAGTAAACTATCGCAAGAACAAAAAACCAAACACTGCATATTCTCACTCATAGGTGGGAATTGAACAATGAGAACACATGGACACAGGAAGGGGAACATCACACTCTGGGGACTGTTGTGGGGTGGGGGGAAGGGGGAGGGATGGCATTGGGAGATATACCTAATGCTAGATGATGGGTTAGTGGGTGCAGCGCACCAGCATGGCACATATATACATATGTAACTAACCTGCACATTGTGCACATGTACCCTAAAACTTAAGGTATAATAATAATAATTAATAAATAAATAAATCTAAGACCTGAGACCATAAAAAAAAATGTCTTCCAAATTATATCCTGTAACTAATTTAAGTGGAGGTGGGGGGAAGACGCACAAGTGCAGCAGGCCTCTTAATTTCCTTAAAACAGATTGAAACAATCTCTGAGGGGAAAAAAGAAGAAATAGAAGCTCATAATACTGAAACCAGCAGTTGATATTTCACAGTAGTTGGCAAATCTTCCTTCAGACTTGGGTCCACAAGATTGCCTGATTAAGCAAAGCCCTTCTGGAGTCAGATCTGGTGTAAACCTGAATCTGCCTGTCACTAGTTGTACAATCTTGGTTGGACGCGTCCCTTCACTTCTCTGAGCCTGACTTTCGTCATCTGTAAAATGGGAATGCTATGATCTCATAGGGTGGTTGTGACAAGAAAAGGAAGCATTGTTTTTAAGTCCTTACGTGCTTTTAATCCAGCCCTTTAAAAAGGCACTTAAATGTACCTTTTATTGTTTGGTTGGCTTGTTTTCCAGGAAATTAGTTCTTAAATATCATTATCTATAATTAACATAAACTCTAATCTAATATTCAGACAGACGGATGTCGATGCCATGGGTGGTTCTCCTTTAAAACCAAAAGCCTGGCGACCCCGCCCCAGCTCCCCTCAATTTTACCCCAGACCCACCTTAGGTTCCTCCACTACCGTTCGGCTGACTTCCCTCCCTTCACACTTAACACCACAGGTTGCCTTCCCCAGCACCTGCTAATTTTTCTTTCCTCTTCCCTTCCTGGCCTCCGCCTCGGCCCGCCACCTCCCTGGCTCTTTGAGTCCCTTCGTGGACGTCCCCGCCGCGCCCCAGGGGATGTGCGTGTAGTGGGGGAGAGTGGGTCATAGGGTCTGGTCTCACCATCTCTATTTTCAAAGCCCCTAGGGGACTGGAGAGGGGGTGACATTGCCCCCCAGAACGCCGAGCGCGCGAGGCGCGTACTCACCAGCCGCCGCGGTCGCTTCTTTCCAATGCGCGGAACTCGGCGCTCGCGGCACCTGGCACTCGTGGGAAGTTGCGGGGAAGGGGGACCTGGAGGAAGAGGGGCGATGCCGAGCTCTTCCTGAGGCGCCTGCGCAGTGGCAGGCGCCGCGCCGCGGGGCACAGCCCCAACGTCCCTATCTGCGCCGCTCGGGGCGCTCCGAGTGTGCGCAGCTGCCAGGCGAGCGTCTAAGGCGCCAGCTCAGGGCTGGCTGGGACCGGGCAGCAGAGTCTGAAACACGTCCTTGGATTGGATGCTAGAACCAGCGTTGAATGTAACTTTCTTTCCGATTGGTTAGACAGGTGCTTGGAGGGGTTGTATCGGACCTAAGAGTAGAGGTTGATTCCACTCTCCCACCACGCACTTTTCGTATCATCCTAGATCTGGATGCCCTTCATGGAACCTAAAAACCAGCGAGTCCCGGAAAGGCCTCAGGCAATTGCCAAGCCGATGGCCTTCTGCCACTTAGTTAATGTGCACCTGGCAGCTTAGGTGGCCGCGGAGAAAGCAACTTTGGCTGCACCAAGGTCCGGCACAAGTCTGGAGAAGCTTCAGCCAGTTCCAGTGAGTTGGGATAAATGAAACGTGGATCTACCATAGACGTCTGTCCGTCTTACTGGATAAGCGAGCACCTTTACCGGGGAAGTTAGGTAATAGTTTACAAGTAAGGTTAAAAGCAGCACAGTGCCTGCGGCAGGGAACCAGTAATGAGTTACAGCTGAGAAATGGGTGCTTACTTTGACAGACGCGTATGTGGGATTGTGCTCCTGCTTTTAATTGGAAGGTTATTTAATAGAATAATGTAACTAAACTTTCCAACATAAAGAGCAGTTACCAAACAGAAGTAGAATTATTCGCTAACAGTTGGGTTGTCCAGGCACACTTGGCAGTGAGAGGATAGCATCTTTTTTCTTTTTATCTGTAGTGCCAAACAGAACTTGGTATAGAAGTACTTGCTAAATCACTATTGAATTTAATTGTCCCGCTTGTTAAAATGCAGGCTCCAGAAGGTATTTTCTTTCTTGTTCACTACTGTATCTCCAGCTCAAATAAAAAGTACAAATAAATTAAGAATATTAATCACATGTGATATCCTCAAGTGTTAAGTATTTAATAGCTGTAAATCCAGTACCTGGATTAGTAAACTGCAGTACTGGACCTTAGATAACAAATTCTGACGTTGGTCCCCTTGGTCTGAACCTTACAGTATAGCTATTACCAACAATCTGGAAGCAGCCATGGAGATGATTTGGCAATAGATGTATTCCGTTGATTATTAGTTTGTGCCTTGATAAATTAATTCCAGTTTTAAGTCTCAGGTTGGCCTGTGCATTGGTGAATATGGGCATCTTAGATCCATGGGCTTTCAGAGCTGGAGGGGATGGTAGTGGGTCTGTAGCTGAATCCCTAGAACCTGCAGACCCTAGAACCTGGTTTGAATACTCACTCTGTCACTCACCAGCAGAGCAATCATGGGCCAGTGTCTCAACCTATTTGAGCTTTCATTTCCTCATCTGCAAAACGCGTCTTGTTACAATACCAACCTCTTACTATCAAATGAATGAGGAAAGCGAGTAGAGTATTCAGCACAGTATCTGACACATGTTGTTTTGGGGATTATTATCATTATGACCAAAAAAGTACCCCAATTTGAACAATAGTCAGGGTAAGGCCAAGTTTTGGGGGAATTTAGGTAATGTCCAATGACATAACATTTAAGATTAGCAGAACTTAAATTTTGTGGCATTTGGGGGTATTGTGCATATCCTGTTTGTTCATTCAGTAGGTGCATATGTATGCTTAAAGGGTGGACAAAACTGAATGCCATCTAGGTCAGATGTGTGGTGAAGATAGCAGCTGGATGGGCATCAGGAGAGGACTCTCTTTATCCACTGCTACTGCCTGTGTGGCTGGGTTAAATTAGGGAGTCTCATGCCACCTGGGCTCTTGCTCTGTAAGATAAAGTGGTCAGGAACAGAGGGACAAAATGACACATAAGGACCTTTGGCCCTAAACTTTTGTTATCCTCTATATATTTACCATTTCAACCACAACCAAAATCCTGTTATAGTAAGGATATTTATCGTCTTGTGGAACAAGAAGTCCAGAGGTAAGGCAGACTTCAGGACTGGTTGAGTTAGCAACTCAACGATTTCATAATGTACTCAGTTCTTTGCAGCTTTACACTTGGCTTTTAACAGAGTAGACTTCTGGTTCCTTTAGTGGTAAATATAACTACCAGCAGCAACAGGAACCATGTAATTCATTTTTCACTTCCACTGGGTGATAGAAATGACGTCTAGATTTCTTCTGTCTCTTAGAAGTCTTCAGCAACTGTCTCCTTTAATCACTTTGGACAGAATTGTGTCACATATCCAAATCTAAGCCAGCAAAGGATATGGTTACCTGTAGACCAATGCAGTCCACATCTTAAACTGAGGTCTCACCCAAACTTTACTTTTTTTCTCAATGGAAATGAGTTGGAATGGGTGCTGGGAAGCCGGCCACAAAGTTCACTATAGTTTCATTGTAGAACTTTAATGATAATAAAAGAAAACATAATAGTAACATAAATTTCTTATTTACAATGTGATTTTTAGGCATAAGTGTTGTTTTATTTAGGTAGGCAAAATAATATTCATTTATAATGTTCTTTCAGCTCAGCTTTTGCAAAGGGAATTTTATATAAATTTTGGAAATATAGAGAGCCTTTAAACCCATTTTATGTTAGAGATTGAAATGAATTAGAGGCAATAGTCTAAACTTATTATTTACAAATGAATATACCCCACAGAGAAATGACTGAGCAAACATACAGTTAGATAGAAGAAATATATTCTAATGTTTGATAGGAGAGTAGGGTGACTATAGTTAAATGTATTTTATATTTCAAAATAGCTAGAAGACAGGACTTGAAATGTTCCCATCACATAGAAATGATAAATACTCGAGGTAATGGATACCCTAAATACCCTGACTGGATTGTTACACGTTCAATGCATGTAACAAAATATCACATCTGCCCTATAAATGTATAGAAATATTATTTATCAATACACAAAAACTAAGTACAACTAGAGCATTTGCCTCTATGGGGCAATGTCAGATTTGGAAGCAGCATGTCAAAGGCAGTTTCTTTTTCTCCCATGAACTACGCTCAAGACTGAACATTTATTCATTAACACAAAATATTTTAAAAATCTTATCCTGTTTTCAAAATTTAAGACATAGCTCTCTATACAATTATTTCTCTTTTATACTCCTAATTGTGATGTATAACTCATTGCTGGCCAGGAGAAGGTCAGAAGTTAGAAGTTACAGGAAGAAGGTTTCAGAGCAAAAGCCACACGCTTCCCAAAGAAAAACAATTCCTGTCCACTGCTCAGTTCTAATTAAACAACAACACAACTGAAACTAAATAATTGAATGTCAAGGAGAGTATTTAAGGTTCACTTTTTAATATAAATTAGATGTTTAAGTAATACAGATTTTATCTTAAATATAACAGGGGAAAAGGACCTTATGAATCATTGCATTTTAGTGATTTTGAAAGTTCCTTTGGTGAAAACTTTTCACCTACTCCATTTTCAGTAAGATTATATTGGAATAATCTCAATCAAGTTAAGATTGTAAAATATTTTTAAGTGCTCCTTTAAAAAATGATTCTGTATTAACCACCATGAACTATTGTGTTAGACCTTCACTCTAAAGGAATTTTTTCAAATATTTAATAAAGCTGTGAAAGAATCAGTATAAATTCTTTTGAGGCTTTCCTATGTGGAGAGCAATGTGCTCAATTTTTCAAAAGATACAAAAATAAGTAAGATTAATTCCTTGCCCTCAAGGTGCCTCTAATCTAAGAAAATGAATGGAGAGGACATTACTCTCTTGCTTTTGCCTGCCCAGCATTCATTCCTCCTCCTTCTGGCAATTCCTCCAAGAGACAAACCCACCTTCATTCTTTGACTATGGGAGTCAGATGGGGCTGACTGTTAATTCCCCTCATCCACGGGGCAGACTCCTAAGGTGCCAGCTATCTTGGTTTGTCCCAAATGGAAGAGGTTCCTGGGACATGGGATTTTTAATCCTAAAATCAGAAAAGCAACAAGCAAATCGGGGTGAGTTGGTCACCCTAAGCCTGACTCAAACTTGGCCTTTTGGAGCCAATTTTACTCCATTAACCACATGAATTAGTTCAGTGATGGGGACATGCCTCAGTCCAGGCCATAAAGACTCAATTCTGAAACTTTTGTTGAAATAATTGGGAAAGAGTCCCTGTTTCAGCAACAATTGCTAAATAGGTAGAGTATAAGCTTACCTATTTGGCAATTGTTGATAATCTACCTATTTAGCAATCACTGAAGCTGCTGGTGGCCATCATTGTCACTGTAAAGGGAAAGTCTACCTGAGAAGAAAGCAAAGCCAAGAGCTGGAGTCCAACACGTGATGACATTGAGCACGTGGGTCCAAGTTAACCTGAAGCTCCATCCTTGGACTTTTCACTTTACATGACTCAGTAAATTATCTTTTTGCTTAAACTATTTTTTTAACTTTTTAAAAATATATATATATATTTTAATTATACTTTAAGTTCTAAGGTACATGTGCACAACGTGCAAGTTTGTTACATATGTATACATGTGCCATGTTGGTGTGCTACACCCATTAACTCGTCATTTACATTATGTATATCTCCTAATGCTATCCCTCCCCTCTCCTCCCACCCCACAACAGGCCCTGGTGTGTGATGTTCCCCTTCCTGGGTCCAAGTGTTCTCATTGTTCAATTCCCACCTATGAGTGAGAACATGCGGTGTTTGGTTTTTTGTCCTTGCGATAGTTTGCTGAGAATGATGGTTTCCAGCTTCATCCATGTCCCTACAAAGGACATGAACTCATTATTTTTATGGCTGCATAGTATTCTGTGGTGTATATGTGCCACATTTTCTTAATCCAGTCTATCATTGTTGGACATTTGGGTTGGATCCAAGTCTTTGCTATTGTGAGTAGTGCTGCAATAAACATATGTGTGCTTTTGTCTTTATAGCAACATGATTTATAATCCTTTGGGTATATACCTAGTTATGGGATGGCTGGGTCAAATGGTATTTCTAGTTCTAGATCCCTGAGGAATCGCCACACTGTCTTCCACAATGGTTGAACTAGTTTACAGTCCCACCAACAGTGTAAAAGTGTTCCTATTCCTCCACATCCTCTCCAGTACCTGTTGTTTCCTGACTTTTTAATGATCGCCATTCTAACTGGTGTGAGATGACATCTCATTGTGGTTTTGATTTGCACTTCTCTGATGGCCAGTGATGATGAGCATTTTTTCATGTGTCTGTTGGCTGCGTAAATGTCTTCTTTTGAGAAGTGTCTGTTCATATCCTTTGCCCACTTTCTGATGGGGTTGTTTGTTTTTTTCTTGTAAATTTGTTTGAGTTCTTTGTAGATTCTGGATATTAGCCCTTTGTCAGATGAGTAGATTGCAAAAATTTTCTCCCATTCTGTAGGTTGCCCATTCACTCTGATGGTAGTTTCTTTTGCTGTGCAGAAGTTCTTTAGTTTAATTAGATCCCATTTGTCAATTTTGGCTTTTGTTGCCGTTGCTTTTGGTGTTTCAGACATGAAGTCCTTGCCCATGCCTATGTCCTGAATGGTATTGCCTAGGTTTTCATCTAGGGTTTCAATGGTTTTAGGACTAACATTTAAGTCCACCTTGAATTAATTTTTGTGTAGGGTGTAAGGAAGGGATCCAGTTTCAGCTTTCTACATATGGCTGGCCAGTTTTCCCAGCACCATTTGTTAAATAGGGAATCCTTTCCACATTTCTTGTTTTTGTCAGGTTTGTCAAAGATCAGATAGTTTTAGATGTGTGGTATTATTTCTGAGGGCTCTGTTCTGTTCCATTGGTCTATATCTCTGTTTTGGTACCAGTGCCATGCTGTTTTGGTTACTGTAGCCTTGTAGTCTAGTTTGAAGTCAGGTAGTGTGATGCCTCCAGCTTTGTTCTTTTGGCTTAGGATTGACTTGGCAATGTGGGCTCTTTTTTGGTTCCATATGAACTTTAAAGTAGTTTTTTCCAATTCTGTGAAGAAAGTCATTGGTAGCTTGATGGGGATGGCAATGAATCTATAAATTACCTTGGGCAGTATGGCCATTTTCATAATATTGATTCTTCCTATCCATGAGCATGGAATGTTCTTCCATTTGTTTGTATCCTCTTTTATTTCATTGAGCAGTGGTTTGTAGCTCGCCTTGAAGAGGTCCTTCACATCCCTTGTAAGCTGGAATTCTAGGTATTTTATTCTCTTTGAAGCAATTGTGAATGGGAGTTCACTCATGATTTGGCTCTCTGTTTGTCTGTTATTGGTGTATAAAATGCTTGTGATTTTTGCACATTGATTTTGTATCCTGAGACTTTGCTGAAGTTGCTTATCAGCTTAAGGGGATTTTGGGCTGAGACAATGGGGTTTTCTAGATATACAATCATGTCATCTGCAAACAGAGACAATTTGACTTCCTCTTTTCCTAATTGAATACCCTTTATTTCTTTCTCCTGCCTGATTGCCTTGGCCAGGACTTCCAACACTATGTTGAATAGGAGTGGTGAGAGAGGGCATCCCTGTCTTGTGCCAGTTTTCAAAGGGAATGCTTCCAGTTTTTGCCCATTCAGTATGATATTGGCTGTGGGTCTGTCATAAATAGCTCTTATTATTTTTAGATACCTCCCATCAATACCTAATTTATTGAGCATTTTTAGCATGAAGAGCTGTTGAATATTGTGGAAGGCCTTTTCTGCATCTATTGAGATAATCATGTGGTTTTTGTCTTTGGTTCTGTTAATATGCTGGATTACGTTTATAGATTTTCATATGTTGAACCAGCCTTGCATGCCAGGGATGAAGCCCACTTGATCATGGTGGATAAGCTTTTTGATGTGCTGCTGGATTCGGTTTGCCAGTATTTTATTGAGGATTTTTGCATTGATATTCATCAGGGATATTGGTCTAAAATTCTCTTTTTATTCTTGTGTCTCTTCCAGGCTTTGGTATCAGGATGACGCTGGCCTCATAAAATGAGTTAGGGAGGATTCCCTCTCTTTCTATTGATTGGAATAGTTTCAGAAGGAATGGTACCAGCTACTCCTTGTACCTCTGGTAGAATTCGGCTGTCAGTCTGTCTGGTCCTGGACTTTTTTTGGTTGGTAAGCTATTAATTATTGCCTTAATTTCAGAGCCTGTTATTGGTCTATTAAGAGATTCAACTTCTTCCTGGTTTAGTCTTGGGAGGGTGTATGTGTTGAGGAGTTTATCCATTTCTTCTAGATTCTCTAGTTTATTTGCATAGAGGTGTTTATATTATTCTCTGATGGTAGTTTGTATTTCTGTGGGATCGGCGGTGGTATCCCCTTTATCATTTTTTATTGCATCTATTTGATTCTTCTCTCTTTTCTTCTTTATTAGTCTTGCTAGTGGTCTATCAATTTTGTTGATCTTTTTAAAAAACCAGATCCCGGATTCATTGATTTTTTGAAGGGTTTTTTGTGTCTCTATCTCCTTCAGTTCTGCTCTGATCTTAGTTATTTCTTGCCTTCTGCTAGCTTTTGAATGTGTCTGCTCTTTCTTCTCTAGTTCTTTTAATTGCGATGTTAGGGTGTCAATTTTATGTCTTTCCTGCTTTCTGTTGTGGGCATTTAGTGCTATAAATTTCCCTCTACACACTGCTTTAAATGTGTCCCAGAGATTCTGGTATGTTGTGTCTTTGTTCTCATTGGTTTCAAAGAACATCTTTATTTCTGTCTTCATTTTGTTATGTACCCAGTAGTCATTCAGGAGCAGGTTGTGCAGTTTCCATGTGGTTGAGTGGTTTTGAGTGAGTTTCTTAATCCTGAGTTCTAGTTTGATTACACTGTGGCCTGAGAGACAGTTTGTTATAATTTCTGTTCTTTTACATTTGCTGAGGAGTGCTTTCCTTCCAACTATGTGGTCAGTTTTGGAATAGGTGCAGTGTGGTGCTGAGAAGAATGTATATTCTGTTGATTTGGTGTGGAGAGTTCTGTAGATGTCTATTAGGCCTGCTTGGTGCAGAGCTGAATTCTATTCCTGGATATCCTTGTTAACTTTCTCTCTCGTTGATCTGTCTAATGTTGACAGTGGGGTGTTAAAGTCTCCCATTATTATTGTGTGGGAGTCTAAGTCTCTTTTAGGTCTGTAAGGACTTGCTTTATGAATCTGGGTGCTCCTGTATTGGGTGCATATATATTTAGGATAGTTAGCTCTTCTTGTTGAATTGATCCCTTTACCATTATGTAATGGCCTTCTTTGTCTCTTTTGATCTTTGTTGGTTTAAAGTCTGTTTTATCAGAGACTAGGATTGCAACCCCTGCCTTTTTTTGTTTTTCATTTGCTTGGTAGATCTTCCTCCATCCTTTATTTTGAGCCTATGTGTGTCTCTGCACAAGAGATGGGTTTCCTGAATAGAGCACACTGATGGTTCTTGACTCTTTATCCAATTTGCCAGTCTGTGTCTTTTAATTGGAGCATTTATTCCATTTACATTTAAGGTTCATATTGTTATGTGTGAATTTGATCCTGTCATTATGATGTTAGCTGGTTATTTTGCTCGTTAGTTGATGCAGTTTCTTCCTAGCATCAATGGGCTTTAAAATTTGGCATGTTTTTGTAGTGGCTGGTACCGGTTGTTCCTTTCCATGTTTAGTGCTTCCTTCAGGAGCTCTTTTAGGGCAGGCCTGGTGGTGACAAAATCTCTCAGCATTTGCTTGTCTGTAAAGGATTTTATTTCTCCTTCACTTGTGAAGCTTAGTTTGGCTGGATATGAAATTCTGGGTTGAAAATTCTTTTCTTTAAGAATGTTGAATATTGGCCCCCACTCTCTTCTGGCTTGTAGAGTTTCTGCCGAGAGATTAGCTGTTAGTCTGATGGGCTTCCCTTTGTGAGTAACCCGACCTTTCTCTCTGGCTGCCCTTAACATTTTTTCCTTCATTTCAACTTTGGTGAATTTGACAATGATGTGTCTCGGAGTTGTTCTTCTTGAGGAGTATCTTGGTGGCATTCTCTGTATTTCCTGAATTTGAATGTTGGCCTGCCTTGCTAGATTGGGGAAGTTCTCCTGGATAATATCCTGCAGAGTGTTTTCCAACTTGGTTCCATTCTCCCCGTCACTTTCAGGTAACCAATTAGACATAGATTTGGTCTTTTCACATAGTCCCATATTTCTTGGAGGCTTTGTTCATTTCTTTTTATTCTTTTTTCTCTAAACTTCTCTTCTTGCTTCATTTCATTAATTTGATCTTCAATCACTGATATCCTTTCTTCCAGTTGATCGAATCGGCTACTGAAGCTTGTGCATTCATCATGTAGTTCTCGTGCCATGGTTTTCAGCTCCATCAGGTCCTTTAAGGACTTCTCTGCATTGGTTATTCTAGTTAGCCATTCATCTAATCTTTTTTCAGTGTTTTTAACTTCTTTATGATGGGTTCGTACTTCCTCCTTTAGCTCGGAGAAGTTTGATCATCTGAAGCCTTC